>NC_000001.11:189434587-190059587 GCF_000001405.40 Homo sapiens | reverse complement strand
ACAGTTACATTAAAGACATTTATACTAACAGCTCTTGGATTGAGTAATGGCCTTGATTAGTAAGATTATTTATTCAATCAGTCTATTTACTAAAAGATCTCATCAAGCCTTAGGGTGGAAAAATAAGAAGATAGAAAACTGAAGTGATACTTTAACTTATCAAAAGAGTTGGTCATGTATACAAAATGGGTAAAAAAATATTTCCTAATTTTGGTCTCCATAAAAACAAATATTCAGTGAGCAATTCAGTCAAGCACACATTGACAGGTTAATGACTAGAAGATTCCATCAGAAGAGTTAAACTGATTTGCATAGACACCATTAATAATTGAATGTCTCTAGATTTTTAAAATAAATTGAACACGACTCATCTGAATAAACAGATTTGACATTACATGCATTCAATGGGATTTAAATAACTATCAAGATAAAACTCTCATTAGAAGTTTCATTAGAAAACAAAGAAACCAAAAACAATTTTGAACAGTTTGCTTTAAAGAATTGTTTAAGAGAGTCTAGGAAAACTTAATGGGGCAGTATAACTGCCTTAAATCAACCTTAAAAAATAATATTTCAAATATTTTTTATGTGAATTAAGGTATTGTTACAAGCAAATAAATTTTATATGACATAGTAAAGGAAGTAGAATATATTAAGAATTTGGTGTCAATTATGAAGATATTGCATGTTTAATTTTCATAAAAGACAGTGGCAAATATTATTTCATGTACTAAGTGATTTTTGATTGATGTTATGAACTCTCAGGAGAACCTCTTCATTTAGAATATTTACTTGAATATCTAGGTCCAACATTTTAGATCCCATACATCCTATTTACAAAATTTTATGGGTGGCTCCACTCTAGGTTTGCTTCATTTGAAATAATCATCTGTTTGGAAAAATATACCTTAAAGGGCAGTGAAAAAAACTATACTCATTTGAGTGCTACAGTAGTAGCTTTATACAAGCTATAATTCAAAAAGAAATTAAATATTAACTATTGAAAAAAATTAAGGAGAAGACCTCTGTAACTCATTCTATGAAGCCAGAATCAGCCTGATACCAAAACTGAACAAAGACACAATAAAAAAAGAAAACTACAGGTCAATATCCCTGATAAACATAGATGCGAAAATCCTCAGCAAAATATTAGCCAACTGAAAAAGTTAATTCACCACAATCAAGTAGGCTTCATCCTGGGATTTAAGGTTGGTTCAATATACACAAATTAATAAATGTGATTCACCATATAAACAGAATTAAAAATCATACATTAATCTCAATAGATTCACAAAAAGCTTTTGATGAAATCTAACATCACTTCATGATAAAAAAGAAACCCTTACGAAAAAAGGTATTGAAGGAACACACATCAAAATAATAAGAACCCTCTATGACAAACCCACAACCAACATCATACTGAATGGGCAAATGGCAGAAACATTCCCTTGAGAACTGAAACAAGACAGGATGGGATGCTCACACTCACCACTCCTATTCAGCATAGTAATGGAAGTCCTAGCCACAGAAGAAAGGCAAGATAAATAAATAAAAGGCATCCAAACAGAAAAAGAAGTCAACCTATCTCTCATTACAGACAATAAAATTCTATTCCTAGAAAAGCCTAAAGACCCCACCAGAAGGCTACTGGAACTGATAAACAACTTCAGTAAAACTTTGGGTTACAAAATCAATCTACAAAAAATCAATAGATTTTCTATACACAAATAACTTTCAAGCTGAGAACCAAACCAACAATGTAATTCCATTTACAATGAACACACACACAAACACACACACACACACACGCACACACACAAAGACACATAGGAATATATCTAACCAAGGAAGCGAGAGATCTGTACAAGGAGAACTAAAAAACACTGTTGAAAGAAATCATAGACCACAAAAACAAATGGAAAAATATTGCATACTTATGGATTGGAAGAATCTACATTGTTAAAATGGCCATACTGCCCAAAGCAACGTACAGATTCGACACTATTTCTATCAAACTACCAACAGTCATTTTTCACAGAATTAGAAAAAAAATCTTCAAATTCATATGGAACCAAAAAGGTCCCAAATATCCAAAGCAATCCTCAGAAAAAAGAACAAAGCCAGAGGCATAACATTACGCGACTTCAAACTATGAGACTACAGTAACCAAAACAGCATGGTGCTGCTACAGAAACAGACATATAGATCAGTGGGACAGAATAGAGAACCCAGAAATAAAGCTGCACATCTACAGCCATCTGCTCTTCAACAAAGCTGACAAAAACAAGCAATAGGGAAAAGACTCCCTTTTCAAAAATGGGTGCTAGGATAGCTGGCTAGCCAAATGCAGAAGAGTAAAACTGGTCCCCTGCCTTTTCACTGTGTACAAAAGTTAACTCAAGATGGACTAAAGATTTACATGTAATTACATGTAATATGTCAAATTATAAGAATCTTAGAAGAAAATCTAGGAAACAACATTCTTGAGAAAGAACTTATGAATAAGTCCTCTAGCAATTGCAACAACAACAAAAAAATTGGCAAGTAAGACCTAATTAAACTAAAGAGTTTCTACAGAGCAAAAGAAACTATCAACAGAGTAAACAGACTACCTACAGAATGGGAGAAAATATTTGCAAACTATTCTTCCAACAAAAGCCTGATATCTAGAATCTGTAAGAAACCAACAAGCAAAAAACAAACAACCTCATTAAAATAGACAAAGGACATGAACAGACACTTCTCAAAAGAAGACTTACAAGTGGGCAACAAACACATGAAAAAAATGCTCAATATCACCATGAGGAAATAGCAGAAAAATAGGATAAACTAGAATATGGCAGATTATTTCATTCAATTTACCCCAATTTTTTTGCATTTCATCAGGAAAATGCAAATCAAAACCACAGTGAGGTACTTACCGTCTCACACCAGTCAGATGATTATTACTAAAAAGGCAAAAAACAACATATACTGGCAAGGCTGTGGAGGAAAGAGAACTCATATATGCCATTGGTGAGAATGTAAAATAATTCAGCTACTGTGAAAAGCAGTTTGAAGATTTCTCAAATAACGTAAAACAGAATTACTATTTGATGGAGCCATCTTATTACTGAGTTTATATCCAAAAATAAATGATTCTACCAAAAAGACACATGCAATCATATGCTCATTGGCAGCACCATTGACAATACCAAAGACATAGAATCAACCTAGGTGCTTATAAATGGTAGATTAATTTAAAAAATGGCACATATAAATCATGAAATACTATGAGCCATAAAAAAGAATGAAATCATGTTATTTGCAGCAATATGGATGAAACTGGGGGCCATTGTCCCAAGCAAATTCACACAAAAACAGAACATCAAATATCGCGTATTCTCACTTATAAGTAGGATCTAAACATTGTGTACTCATGGACATAAAGATGGCAACAGTAGATACTAGGGAGGAAAGGAAGCAGCGGGGAATGGCTGAAAACTGTCTATTGAGTATGATGCTTACTACCTTGGTGACAGAATCAATATTATCCCAAACCTCAACATCACACAATATACCCATGTAACAAACTTGCATATGTACCTTCTGAATTTGAAGTTATAAAAATAAAGTAAAAAAGGGTTATTGTCTTAAAAATTTATGTTGGCAACTAATAAATAACTGAAAGATCTAGATATGTCTAGATACAAATATTAGATATTAAGAATTAAAGTACTATTAAATTTATGTATTCATAAGTACTTGTACAAGGTTTGATTTTAAATACAACTAGAAAAATCTGAGTCACCCTTTCTCAGATTGAGTTGACAAAATTGAGTGATATGAGTTCAGTGATATAATTTGAGTTACATAAATAAGGTAGATATTTGCTTATATATGGAACAGACATTATATAATTCAGAATGTTTTTGAATTATCTATTTAATGCCCTAAATGTTTTCAGATATGAGTTCATTTAACTTTCAGAATTTAACCTTCAGAGGTACCTTCATAGATTTCATGAGGAAGGCACAATTATCAACCCTGTTTCATAGATAAAAGAGTTATGTTAAAGAGAGGTAAAATAACATCCAAACCATATTGCTAGAAAGTGTCAAGGCTCTTAAGCAAACCCAGCCTATCTGGTCCAAAGTCTACAGGGTAGAAATTTGCCAGATACCAGTGTCTTTATAGGCACCCTGAGTAAATAGCAGAACAAATAGGATCAACTACAATATAGCAGTTTATTTCATTTAATTTAACCCAGTTCACTTATATCTCTGTACCTTATAGATACTCAGCTTCACCAATTCTCCCTGCCTCCTTTCCACCACTGATATATACTAAGAGTTATATTTCAGGGTGGCCAGGATCATCACATCCTTTCATTCCCCAGTCAGTGCTTCCTAAGAAATCAATTCGCAGCAATAAAGCTGGAGATTACGTAGGAAGACAGGTCACTTGTGAATGTCACAGTGAAACAGACTGAAACTGAATAAATTTTAGTAACAATCCACTCTGAGCTTTGTAGTTTTCATGTGCTTTTTTAAATCAAGAGATAAGTGAAAATCTACTGACTTGTTTATATTACTCAGAAGTGAAATCTAATCCTGAACATTCCTAGCAGGAGAAGAAATAGATTCTAATTTAGGGGAACAGATCCAAATAGATGTTTGCAAAAATACCAGAAAGCATATTGTGTACATTTAGTGGCCAATAAAACATGCTCAGTAAGGATTATTAAAGCAGAGACATGTTTAGGAAGTAAGAATGTGATAATCCTATTTACTGAAAACAGTGGGACTAAATAGTCCTCTCATCATTCACAGGTGTATAAACTGGGAAAATGAAATATAATTCAGAATGAGTAGCATGACATGGTTCTACAACATAAATAATGGAAAATACTACTCTCACATTGTCATACATAACTGTAGTATTTTGTGATAGATTTAATATTAAACAGAATAATATTAAACAGAAAAGCATCTGCTTTTCACATGAGTAAATTTGAGGCAGGGTGGATGATGTGAGACAAGAGAGGAAAACAAGTGATAAGAAAACAGACGAAATAAAAAAAACAATAATTGACATTCTGGAAAAAAGGAAAAGGCATATTTTTGGAAAACTATAAATATTTTTAGAATGATATGTACAGAAAAAACACTAAATGCAAAATAATTTTGATGTGAAAGATACAATTAATACCCATAATTTAGATAAAAAGAAAATAAAATTAAAACCACTAGAGTATGACAAACACAAATCAGAGATGGAGACGCAGCAAACTATTATATTAATTATTTTTTAAAGACCAAGAAGTTAAAGATAATAATTTTAAATAAATACAAAAAGAATCCCGAGCTGAGGAAATATCATGTTGTAAGAATTTAGTACTCTGCTATCCATAAAGAAAAATAAAAAGGAATAGTCCAACATACCCATATACATACATGCACAAGTGCAAAATGAAAGGACATTTTTGGTATTTTGTTGACAGTACTATCTGGACAACAAATATAAGGTTTGCTTTAAAACTGATCAATAATTCATCTCCCAAGATGTCTAACTTTGAGGATCACATGTCGGTTAAAAAGGGTGTAAATTCATAGCTGCTAAATTCATCTTCTATACCCCTTTCCACATCCTCAAGAAAATTTAATAAACTCTTTAAACATGTCAGACTTTGACGTAAAAATAACAGTTTTCTTATGGAAGTGGTAGCACGTGTTTGTCCCATTCATTTGTCCCAGTTGAATTGGAGTAAGAAATCAGTTTACATTTGAGAAGAAAGCTGATCCAAAGATCATGCCATGATTATGCAACACTCTAAACTGGACAGCAGCAAATTTGAGATTCAAGAAACAAAATGTCCTTTAAAATTGGACACTGGTGGAAACAAGTGACGCTGTACCAGAAAGCACAGATAAGACTCCAAAGAGAGAAACCCTGTGACTATGCGATAAGGGGCAATGTGAAAGGTCTTTTTTCCAATTATTACGTGTTGTTTAGTCTAAAGTTACGGATAAGCAGATAATTATTCATTAAAAGTCAATGGTTGTATTGAAAAAATTCTGGAATGATATTAGCAATGATTGATGATAAAAATAAATATTTACCAAATTATCTAGAGCTCAGGGGGTTGAGATGCCATTAATAGAGTTCAGCAGTGTTATAAAATACTTCATATATAGAGAGCTCTCTCTTGAACATTTACAGCACACATCACGTATTATGTCTCTGCTATAATGATACCTATTTGACTCCACATTACTTGGGCGTGTTTTCGGCTCTGACTCATTATTATTTAGCAGATTGATGTTCAATAAATAGCAATAGCAAAATATAGATAAGCATAGTTGACAGATCAGACAAGAGGAAACAATAAACTCTTATAGGAAGCATAAAAGCAGAAACACATAAGAAGACAGGTGAAGTATAACATACACCCATGGGAAAAATTCATATATTTAAAACATTATCCCTGATTCTGATTAAAAATAAATTACATTGATAACTAACTAAATAAAAGGTGACAAGAAAGATTAAACCAAATATTTGGAAAGACATTAATTGCAACAAAACATAAAAGACTGGGTGACAAACCAATAGCATTATATTTCAATACATTACAAAAATATTAACATTTTTAAAATATACTAAGGGAAACAAAAGGGAAAAATAATAAATCAGAAAGCAAAAAAAAACAATAGAAATGACAGAAAATTTCTATGAACTAATTATTTGGAGTAAGCAAATATATCTGGAATATTTTAACAAGATAAAATAATTAACACACAAATGCATAAAATTAAGAATGATACAAGGGCATAACTCATCTACAATTCTCTTAAGAACCAAGTCGAAGCAGGTTTTCCCTACATAACTTCATGAAAACTGCAATTATCAAGATTACCAGTGACTCACATTTTACTAAATCCAATTGTCTTTGTCATCAGTTTATTTTAACTATCAGGAACAGATAAGGCAATTGAATTTTTTTCTCTTCTCCTTTGCTTCGATTGTTTTAAAGGACACCACAAGTTCCAGGTTTGTTTTTACCTTTGCGATCGTTCCATCACAATCTCTTTTGCTGGATACCTCTCTATTGACCTCTAAGTATTGGAACGCCCTGAGGCTCAGTCTTTAGTTTGCTTGTATTTTCTTCCTTTGGTTGATTATCTGATGACCCTATCTGGCCATCTGGCCTTAAGAATCAGTTAGAGCCTGAGGGTTCCCAAATTTTTATCACCAGCCAAGACTTCTTCACTTAACTACAGATCCATAGGACTATTGAACTACTTGAAATTTCTACTTCAAAACCTTTAGAATGGACACTTCAAAGTTGACATGCAAAAAATGAGCTTCTATCCAAAAGTTACAATAACCCTTAAAATCAGCAATAGGAAAGCAAATAACCCAATTTAAAAATGGGCAAAAGATGTGCACAGACACTCAACCAAAATAATATACAGATACAAAATTAGCATGTGAAAGGATGGTCAACATTATATGTTATTTAAGAGCATCACAAATCAATAACTGGGATACCATTAAATACCTACTAGAATGGCAAAAATCCAAACCACAGACAACACCAAAAGTTGATGAGAATGTGAAGTATTGGGAACTTCATTCATTGCTGGTTGTAATGCAAAATGGAGTATCCACTTTAAAAGACAATGTTGCATATTCTTACAAAATTATACATACTTTTACTATATAATTCAGCAATCATGTTCCTTGATATTTACTCAAAGGAGTTGAAAACTTATATCCACACAAAAACTTGCACATGGCATTTTTAATCATAAATGCTAAAGCTGGAAAGCAACCAAGAGTTGTCCTCCAGTAGGTGAATGGATAAATAAAGTACATCCAAGCAATCAAATATTACTAAATCGTGAAAATAAATGAGCTATCTAGCCATAAAATCACATGGGGGAAACATTGTATATTTAAAGGGGCAAAAATAGGTTTCACTTTGTCAAACAGTTGTGATGAATCATGAATTTTAAAAAATACATATATATAGGCAAATTAGGCTTTTTAAAAGGTCATTTTCATCATAATAGAAAAGAATATTCAAATCAATCAGTAACAATTTGTATCAATTAATGTAATGAAAAGAGAGCAAAACAGTGATCAGTACAAAGCTTTAGCAATACAGGAACAAACTTTTAAAATGCAACTGAGTACAAAGTGTAAGAAAAAAACATGTATCTTTTTATGCATATCCGTATGTGTAAGAAAACATGAATGTAACAGTGTAAAGCAAAAGTATATAACAAATATCTTTGCATATGCAGATTTGACAATTATCTCATTTTTTAATTATGTGAGAAATGGAGATGGCAATCAGTACACTGTGCTTTTTAATAATTTTTATAATGTGTCTCATTTATATACCAATATAAATTTTAAATTAAATATTTAAAAGAAAATTCTAACACACACAAAATATTAATGAATAAAATATATGTAGATAAATACAATTCATGGTGAAGGAATTAGTTTTCAATATTACAAGAGCGCTCAATGAAAAAAGATTTTTAATGTACAAATATTCAAAACTTTCTCTCTAAAAATAGCATTGGCAATATTGAAATGCCAAATGCCAAACTGTGAAACAAATCATTACAGCATTCTTCAAATATATAAACACTAGGAGAGCAAAAATTTGTTTTTTTGTTCTCTATTTTGTTCCCTAAAATATTGCTTTGCACATTCTTGACATAGGACAATATTTGTTCAATGACTAACATTTATAAAATGTGACTACTATCAAAAAATAATGTTTAAAGGATATGAACAGGCAATTTAACACAGTAATAATAATAATGGCCAAGACACACATGAAAAATATTTACATCACTTTGCACACACACGTGAACACACACGTGTGCATGCATGCACAGGAAAAAAAAAACACAAAAAACAAGGCTCCCAGCGACGTTTCATTACTCAGCTTTCTTTAGACTTGTAATGACCTAAAAGGGATGCTGCAGAAGATAGAAGGTGGAGGAGAATTATGGTATTAGTCAGATGGTCAAACAGCATCCTCTCAACCAAACTGCGGGGCAACTTGTGTCACTGGCATCTTTGTATCTGCTAACTCCCGATGTCTCCTCCCTTTTTCTTTTCTCCTTCCTGAGGAGATACTCTTTTATTTCCATTTTGGAAATGATCATCTTAGCAAAAACTATAGAGAAAAACTATCTTAAAAATTAGAAACTGAACACCTAAAAGTTATTCTAAAACGATCACACAGTACGTCTTTATAGAAGAATAAGAAGAAAATAAAAAGGTTAAGCTTAAAATAATAAATTACAGTAACGTGCTTTATAACAATCCTTTGGTTAATGATGGACTGAATAACAAAGGGTGGTCCCATAGATTGTAATTAAGTTGAAAAATGTGTATTGCCTACTGACATAGCCATCTGAATGTCAAAGCATAATTACTTTATTTTTTATAAATGTAGTGTAGCCTAAGTGTATAGTGTTTATAAAGTCTAAAGCAGTGTACAGTGATGTCCTAGGCCCTCACGTTTACTCACCACTTACTCATTGACTCACCCAAAGCAACTTTCAGTCCTGCAAACTCCATTCATGGTAAGTGACCTATACAGGAGTATCATTTAAACAAATATTTTATACCATATTTTACTGTAGGTTTACTATGTTTAAATATGCTTAGATACACAAAATAATTACCATTGTGTTATAATTGCCTACAATATTCAGTAGAGTAACATTCTGTACAGGTTTCTACCCCAGAAGCAATAAGCTGTACCACATAGCCTAGGTGTGCAGTAGGTTATAGCATCCAGCTTTCTGTAGACATAGTTCATGATGCTTGCACAATGATGAAATTGTCTAAAGACACATTACTCAGAATGTACCCCCATCACTAAGTGACACATGACTGTACATGGAATCCAAAAAAAGCAGTATCTCTTTGGAGTGGTTTCTTCACTCTTTGATCCTTCATCCTGCTCCCTATCTTTAAGTCAGTGGGCATCAGCTTAGACCTCTGGGCTTTGCTTAAAAGAATCCACATTAATTACTGCTCATCAGCATTCATCATGGTGACAGCTCCTGTTAGCGGTGCTGTTTATTTTGTTCTCACCTTTTCTGCCTGGCTGTCAAGTGGAAGAATTTTATGGTTCTTGAGGGAGCAATTCTTTGCTATGACCAGCTGCTTTGAGGAAAAAAAAAAGTCTTCTCTTCAGTGTTGCACTGGCTTTGGTAATTCCTTGTAAAATAAAATGGCATGAATGCAGCAATTAATAGTGTTCCTTAATCGAGTTCATTGATAACATAACAGAGTTAAACCAACCAAAAAGCTGTTGAACAAAATCCTGAACTCTGATAGTATTTCAAGGACTTTTTATAGCTAATAAGATAACTTTACATTGTCTTCTATAGATCATATTGCTATATTATTTGGCTTAAACTTTAACTAAAATAATGTGTTACTGCTTTATAATATCATTTATATTTATTTTGTATTACATGCTAATAAGTTATGTTTTGGATGTTTTTGGATTAATCCTTTTTTATTGCTGGGGTTTTCCTTAATTGTATCTTAAACCCAGTGTTTAATAAAGACTGGTGCATCTCTTGCAGGCTTTTTCAGCTCATCAATTGAATGTCTTTGCTTATGACATAAGTTTATACTAAAAGTAAAGACTGAACTTCAAATAATTAGAAGCACTTAAAAATACTGTAGTGGCTTTAGGAGAGGTATTTGCCTTGTGGTCATATGAGTTTGGTAATTTTGGAAATATATTTCACTGAGTAAAGCTAAAAAAGCTAAATTAATATTTGTTTAAAAAATCTTAAGCATCAAGTAACTAACAGAATAATACAAAATTACTGGCCACAATTTAAAAGAAGAAGACAAAATTTTAGAGAGGTAAGACCAGAAATAAGGGCTTCTTTTGTCAAGGGGGGCATTCAGTCACCCCATAAATGGTTAAAATAGAAGAGAGATTTGACAGCCATACAGGGCTAAAGAAATAGATGCACAAGATCCTAAAAATAGTAAGTACAAATCAGAAATAAATTAGCCTTTTCAAACACTACAGTTCCATTGGAAATCATTGTTCCTGCCTAATAAATCTCAAGAACTAAAATTTAATTAAGGTGAAGGTATGCTGCCAAGTACCATCCAAAAATAATGCAAATACTTCTGGAAAAAATAACTTTTAACTCTCAAATTTATTCTGCAAAGATTTTATTTTTAAATTTAATGTCTAATACACTATCAAAGATATTTAGACATGCCAGAATAAATGACAAGATGAATAAGAAATAGCGTAAGAAATAGACTTGTTTTGTAGTAGATTAACACACACAGACTGCAAAACAAGGATAATTAATATGTTCAGGGAGATAAAAGCCAACATTAAAACTTTTTTAATGAGCCCCAGTAGAAATTCTAATCTCAATATTTCAATAAGTGAAATTGGAATCCAGTGGATTAGCAGTAGATTAGACACAGCTTAAAAATGATTTAGTGGTTTGAGTTAGAAAAAAAAATCCAGAATGAAGATCAGGAGTTATAAGAATTATAAATACAGAAGAGGAAGTAATTAACTTAGAAGATGCAGAAAATATTTTAACCTGTCTTTAGTTGGAGTACAATGAAAAGGGAAATAGAATAGAATGTGGCAGAGGTTATATTATTTAAAAACACAAGCTGAGATTTTTGAAACTAATAAAAAAATTAACCCACAAAGTTAAAGAACCCAGCAAATTCCAGGCAGAAAAGATAAAACAGGAATTCACACCTAAACATATATACCCATCCTATAATAAAATTAAAGCAATTAAACACCGTAATGAAAATCTTAGAAACAGAATGCGATAAGATTAGTAACAGATTTTACCAAAAAAGGGATAAAAAAGATTAAAAAGGACCAATAGATTTATAATGAAGTTCTCAAGAGCAGCAAAGGAAGTTAGAATGAGTGAATAATAAGTATGTTGAGGAAAATAACTACCAAGCCAGAATTCCATACTAGCTAAAGTATCTTTGTTCCTTTGTAGGTCAGCTATGTTCTCTCTTTAGCTATTCTAATAGTTTTTATTTCTCTCTGCTTTTCCGAAGTTCCTGAGGTGTTTAAGTCCAGATTTCTGGTTTCTTTGTTTTTGTTTGTTTGTTTAAATGTCTTTTATTTGGAATTCATTAGTTTTCTGAATTTTCTTTCTATAATGGAAATTTTGTACTCATTGTAATTCCTGTCACCTCTCTACCACTCTATTCATTTCCCTTTGGAATTATGTGTGCACATACACACGTATAGATAGAATAGAGAGATAAATAGATAGATAGATAGATAGATAGATAGATAGATAGATAGATAAGCAGATAGATAGATAGATAGATAGACAGATTGTCCCTCAACTTACAATGGGGTTAAGTTCTAATAAACCCATTGTAAATTAAAAATATAGCTAAGTGGAAAGTTAATTCATTTCACCATATTTTCAACTTATGCATGCCATGCTAGATTGTCAGTGATGCTGCATACTAAATGCAGTATTATAAAGTTGAAAAATAAATTGGGAGTCATCTGTGTGTCTGTATATACATATGTGTGTGTGTGTGTGTGTGTGTGTGTGTTTATGAATGAATGACGGTCTCTTTATACTTTTTGTCTCTTACAATTTCTTTGTTAGAGTGTTCTCCAACTCATCTTTTCATACTGTCACTCAAAGTTTCTTCAACTCTTCTTCCAGTTCAATAATTTTCTATTCTGCTCTTTAAATCTGCCCCAACATTTGTATTATCAATTATAGTATTTTCATTTCCACATTATTTTTGGTTCTTCTCAAAATTTTTCTAGTAAATTTTCATACTTTCAAATACTCTTCCCATACTCTAAATCACTTCATTTTCTTTTAAGCACTAATTTACATATTTTGCATTTTGCATCTGTTAATTCCAGGTTTTCCACCTTCGTAGGTTTGAATGCCCCTTTTTAAAATCCTAATGACTCCTTTCAGTGTTTCTTTTTTTTCTTAGTTTAATTTTATTTTTAACTTTATAACCCTTGAAACATAACCAGTGTAAAACTTGTTGGCTCAGATTTCATTTTCTTTTCCCTTGAGAAAGGAGTCTCCTTTACTTCAAATACTTCAAATTCTTCCCTCCCTCCCCTCCCCCATTTCTGCCTCCCTCTGTCCCTCCCTCCCTCTCTCTCTCCCTCCCTCCTTTCCTTCCTTCCTTCCTTCCTAGCTTCCCCCTCTCCCCTCCTTCACTCCCTCCCTCCCTCTCCTCCTTTCTTCCTTCCTCCTTCCTCCCTCCCTTCCTTCCTTCCTTCTTCCTTTTCTCCTTCCCTCCTTCCTTCCCTCCTTCCTTCTTTTCTCTTCTGTCTTTCCCTTTTTCCTTTCTTCATTTCTTGCCATACTTAATGTTGGAAATTATTGCTCCAGAGCCATATTCATTCGAACCTGTAGTTAAAAGTTATCTTGGGCAAATTTTATTTTTTTGTCTCTTTTATTATTTCTTCATATTTCCTCTAAATCTAAAGTGAAATAAATACATCAATGTTACTTTTTTCCTAATTTCTATTATACTTTTTAGTAAATTAAAAAATTCGCTTTATATAGATCCTGCAAATTTCTTCCCCAGTTTGTTTTTAAAGAATTTATAATTTTCGTGCTATAGTGTGTGATATTACCTATAGTTATGATTTGATCTAGTTATTTTTTATAATGTTTGTAGTAGGCACATAATATATATAGCTAACTGGCTAATTACTCTTCAACAACCTTTTCCATCTTTCTCTTTGGTCTTGCATCAAAAGGGCCTTATATTTCATGATTTAATCATAATATTCATCACCTTTGGGCCCAGTGGTAGATCCTATCAGTTAATTTGAGACATACCAAAGCAGAAGTCTTTCTTTATAATATTTTAAATTGCATCCTCAAAGCAGGTGGATCTAAGGATGTATAAGTAAGTGCTACTTCAAGCAGCCAGGTTTTATATCACTTGAGAAAGCCTGTATGAGAAAATAAACATATTAAAATAAAAGAAAAAGAGATGAAAGAGATGTCTGTTATGAACATCCCTTTTTACTACCGAAATATACTTATGTGAGAAAATAAAGTATTTTTATTTATTATTTATTCATGCATTTGTTTTGCTTTGGCTAGTTTAAGTTGTGTTTCTGGTAGGTCATAGGATAGGGCTCTATGCTTTTAAAAATAGCTTGGGCACAGGCTCTTCCATTTGACCAAATCTTCCTATAATTCGGAGTTCTGCTTGCCTTTTATGATTTCATATCAACATTTTCATTTTATCCTATAAGCAGAACATTATTTTCCTTGATTTGATTGTCTATAGAGTTCCTAGTCCAGGTAAATAAATAGTGTATAAAAAACAAATTTAAAAGGATTGAAATTAATGGAGAATTTGTACTGTCTCATTACTTAAACAAACAAAACAAAGCTAAAAAAGATTCTTAGAGTAATAGAGCAAAAGATTTGAAAGACTAAATAATTAATACTTACTTTCCCTCCTGTGTCAACATATTTTTGTTTCTGAAGCCTCCAAAAGGTAAAGAGGCTTGTTAATGTCACTAAGTTGTTATGGGAAGACCAGCTTGGCATGTGTCTTTGGATGTTTAAGGGCAGGAGTGCGGGAGGGGGGTGGTATTTTAAGGTTGGCAAATAAGTAAGGAAGGGGCTAGAGGAATAGGAAAGATATGAGCTATGAAGCACAATTTTCAAATTAAAAAATTAAGAAAATCCAAATGCTCCTTCTAAAAAATATAAATTGTGTTTCTGTTGCTTGATGATAGGTGTGTTAAAAAATATATATATATATATTTTTAGAAAATTATCAATTTGGTCATAATAATAAAAATAAAATACAGAAAACTTTAACCCCAAATATATGTACTTACATTCTCAACCTTTTCAAAATAAAATTATCAATAATGATTGTAGTGCTCAGCATTACTTATGATATCTGTTATACATTTATTGCTTCTTAGCTGTCAATTTTCTTTCTTTCACCTTGTTTTGAAGTACAGAAAGTAGAGCCTGTAAGCATTTCTCCTTTTCAAGTTGGTACCATGTTAAGACTTTGCCGATAAAGGACACTGGGAGGACACTGCAAGGCATAACTGAGAAGAGGTTTTGTTTTCTGGTTCCCTTTTTTGAAAAATAAATTTTCTACTTTTTTTTTAAAGAAAATATTATTATTTTAAAGTGTTTCCTAAGTCTAAAATCTGAAACATCTGTGGATATATGTCTAATATTTATTTATTTTCCTTGATTCTTGGACATATTTTCTTGACTTTTTGTATGTCTAGTGATTTTTAAATATGTTGGTCTGATATTTTGTATCAAAACCCTGTAGAGTCTCCTTCAGATGATACCTTTCCTCACGGAGGATGGTTGATAATCTATCAGTAATGGAGCTGGGGCAACTTGGGGCTTTCATTCTGATGAAACTTAATTCATATCTAATTTGTTCCTTTTCCCTGAATGTGACTCTTGTGGGTTTTTGTTGAGAAAAAGTATTCAGCCTTGTATCCAGATCTCCTTGAGACTGGGAAATACATGTATGCTATTGAACAATTTCTGAATTAGTTTCTTACCCTTTAACCCTACAGCATAAAAATTTGGAGAAGTTCTTGAGTGGATATCTGGTAATGGTTGAGGCAGCCACCATTTTGGAATGCAATTTGTCTCCCAAGCACCTTGAGACTAAAAATATTTTATGCTGATATAGCAGATTAGTCTGCCCCAGAAATCAGCCAGAATATGAGGAAACCCAGGGTTGGCCAGTCATCCAGTTTTCAACCCACCACAACAGTCCTGAATGACCATGATGCACTGCTGGTTTCTATCTCCCATAGTTTTGGTCTCTCTGCTGGGAGCAAGTTGGAATCTCAGACTGTCCGCAAAATCAACAAGAAATTTTCAGTGGAGAAAATGGTCAATAACCACCTGGAAAGGACTGTTTCCTCCACAGAATCATAATATGGTGAAACATAATTTTTGTAGTTTCTCTGCTCTTCTCTATTAATGTGTGTGAAAATATTGGAACCTCACAATCTACCATATCTTATCTGAAAGCAAAAGTTATTGTTTTTCCTTATTGAGACTTACTTATATGGAATACATTTACTCAATTTAAGCTTACATTTTGAAAAGATTTGGAAATTTTATATAGTCATATAATCATCACTGCTATTCATATTTCTATTACTCTAAAATATTTCCCTACACTTCATAAAGATGATTTCTTGGCGTATTTTGATTTAGTTTTTCTCTTTGAAATAAATGTGTCTTTTTATTTAAATTTTTTTCTGAATACTGTCAATTCTTATTTTCCAACTTTTTTTGTATATTTCTATTCTAAGTATTTGCATTTCTGACTTGCATCATGTCATATCTTTCATTAGTTATTTAATTATCTTTAATTCATTTTGAAGTGTTATAATCCCCTTTGTGGTTAGATTTTGGGGTAGTGTTTTTGTTAGCTAATTAGTATTGATTATCTCCTGTTTTACTCTATAATTTAAGGCCTACCTCTTCCCATTTATTTTAATTTGTTCTCATTCTTTTCCAGACCATCAATTACAAGTATTTCTAAGGAGAAATTGGTATTTGAGGGAAGTTTCTATAATACATAACATCTTTTTTTGAATGACAAGTTTTGGTGAATCATCTGATTTTGTAATGGGCCTCATAGGTTCATCCTCTGGTTGGTAACTTTTCTTTGCCATCAAGCCTCTAAGTGATATCATTCTCTTTCAAGTTTCTTTAGTTTCTCTCAAAATAGTGTTTTCCAAACATTATTGTGTCTGTAAACAAACTGATGATACTATGCCTTTAGATACCATAGTAGTCAGTGTTCTGATCACTAGCTGTTAGAACACTTCCCAAAATTCTCCCCAAATTTTCTCTCTCAAGATAAAAACTTTTGCTTTTTCTGGTGATGCTGTCAATTTGTCTACCATTAGGACCTTGATGTGTTTTCCTTTATCTTCGCTTGATCTTTATCTGTCTCTGTGGAGTGATGTGAAGTTCAGAGTAGGCTCTATCATTTTCAAATATTATTTACATATAGGTAAAACAATTTTTGAAATCTTTGTCTCCTGGTTTTGATTATGTGTGATTTTTAGAGAAAATGAGAGATTTTTTAATATCGTTATTGTCTGGGAAGCCGGATTTCATATTTTAGATCCATTTCCTTAATTTCATATCCTTGTCCTGCAATTTGGCCCTTCAGCTGAAAAAAAAAACAATTATTTGTCCTTATAATCTACTTCTTCCTTTTTCAATATCCATTACGTTCAAGTCACCCTGGTTTCTTATTTCCATATCCAAAAAATGGAAAGTCATTCCATTCTTAAAATCTTTGCATATCTTATTCCCTCTGCCTGAGTGCTTCTTCCCCTGAGATCATGCCATTGCACTCCAGCCTGGGCAACAAAAGTGAAACTCTGTCTCAAAAAAAAAAAAAATCCTTCCCATTATTAAGAGTTCTTCAATACTCACCCATTCTGTCAGAGATGTCTGGCCATCCTAGTCAAAATAGCCTCCATGCCTCAATTAATATAACCATTCCTTTCCTACTATTATCTTATCTCATTTTATTGGTAACATTTACACTCTTTGCAAATTTATTATCTTCATAAGAAATTCATCTATTTATTCATATGTTTATATATTTATAATCTGCCTACTCCAATAAAAGAAAACTCAATATAAGCAGATATCATGTTAGTTAATATTGGATTTCTAGAACCTAGAATCATGCCTACACATAGTAGATTTGTAATATATCTTTGCCAAACTAACAATTTTGGTAAAATCCAGTTTTGTTTTGTTTTTACCTGTGTATACATAATAACACATTGAGAAAAATCCAGTATTTCACCAGAAAACTGTGTCAACTTTGTATTCTATTTTAATTTATCACATCAGAAGTGTTGTCTGTTCTCTAAGTAGGATTACTAGATCAAATTGGAGCTTTGAATTATGATTCAATTTATAGATTTGTATAGACATCACCTGAAACTTATTTAAACTTCTGCCATTATCAATAAAGAAGCATTTTAAGTCTTTCTGACCTATGTGCAAGTTCAGAGGAAGACTCTTCTGCTGAAAAGGATTTCTTGTGATGTAGATTTTCTAAGCATCTCTGCAAGATTTCTCTCTATGAACAACTTTCACTCTGCAGGAATTATTATTTACCCAATATTCTTTACTCTACCTCAAAGCAGCAAGCACTTTCAAGGAGCTCACTAACAAGATACAAACATCACATTTATCATTTCACATGTGTTTTGACTTTCTTTGAAATTCTTTCTCCTTAAACTTAAGTCCACAACAAATCTTAGTCTTGAAACATCCATTAAAAAAAAGAAAACTAAAAATGAGAAAATTGCACAGTTCTATGGGTACTTTTCCATTGAGCTCTGTAGGGTTCTCCATTTTTCCAAAATATTTGAGCCAAAGGAAGAAGAAGCAATTTGCCTGCTCCTACGTTTAGCAGTATCCCGGGGGCAGAACAGAGTCCATTAAATAGAAAGAAAGAGAGAATGGGCATTTGTTATTCCTAAAGGTAGTATTTCACAAACATCCTTGTGCAACATTCTAGAGAAACGCTTTATATTATAGGGAATCAGAGTTAGGAAAATTCAGAAATATGGGCAGCTAAGGAAAAATAGCATGGAGAATAATTATTACTCCAGATATGTGATAATAATGTCTAAAATGCTATCAGTACATTGAAATCAAGAGTCATTTGTTCCTGACTCTCCTAAGCAAATATTGCCACAGTTATTGAATAAAGTTTTATATATTAATCAAATATACTTGGATGTTATTGTAATGTTATAATTAATAGAATATCTGAGAAGCCAAAAGCACATAATGATATATTACCTCCTTGTGTGGTCTAAAGTACATGTAAAGATTATTAGAACACCCTCTTTTCTTTAGAATTGCCACCTTGTCTTCTGTCTACAGAGAAGAGATATTTTCTGCCATTCTGATTAGCAAGATAAAATCTTGTGCTGTCCTGCTTCCTCTGGCCCTGGACATTAATCAACTCTTTATCCAGGATATCCATACTTCATATGCTACCTTCAACTTAGTCACTTGGGAGCCTTGATTATTAGATTGAGAAAACATAGTATATACAGATGGTCTCTGACTTACAATGGTTTGACCTACTTTTTTTTTTACATTATGAGAAGTTTATCGAGTTATTAAATGCATTGTTGACTTAAAAATATTTTCAATTTATGATGCACTTATCAGGGTGTAACCCCATAGCAAATTGAGAAAGACCTGTATAGGGTTTAGTGCTATCTGTGGTTTCAGGTATGCAGTGGGGGTCTATGACTTACGGACTTATAAAATAGTTTCCATAAAATCAGATTCAGGTAACCTGGAGCATGCTACAGAGCATGCATAGAGATTTCTATTGAAGTACAATTATTTTTCTGAAAATATAAGGTGACGATATATAAGAAAATATGCAGGTAACTCTGTCAGATAAAAGACAGGGTAAAATTAAAATGTCTTGGAGATTGTACAGAGGTTACAACATTTGAAAACAGAGTAGTATTTCTTGCAGGCAAAGATGAGAGTAAGGATAGATTATTAGCTAAGTGTAGAAAATCTTGTGATGATTTTGGGTTTATATTACCTACCTATAGCACACTGGTTTATTTTGTGGAGCATTTGATATTTAACTTGGATTTATATCACCAATCTGAGCAAAGTATATTTTTTTTTGGTGAACAAATGAAGTGAGGGAACAACTGAGGCAATTACATATATACTACAAACCAAAGAGGGACGTATCATCACATAAGCTGTTGGATAATTCTCCCTCTGGCCTGTGGTCTAAAGTACATGTACAGATTATTAGAACATCCTCTTTTCTTTAGAATAATTGCCTCAAGTTTTGGCGTTAGTAGGTGTTTGTCCAATCTGTTTGGTGGAATTAGTCCAATTCTGAGTAAAAATGAGGAGGCTGACTTCACATTTATTGTTTAATTGCCTCATAGCTCCTCATCACCTTGGCTGTGGAAGTCTGGCCTGTAGTTGCCAGTAGGGAAAGGGAGATCACCATTCTCTCCAAGTAACATCATTTTCTAAATGACTATTGACATTATGAAGCTATTCAAGCTAACCTATTAAAAACATAAAAAGGCAATCAAGTTAGCTTACTAACATTTACAGCAATATTATATACAAGAGATTGAGAAGCTGACTTTTCAGTATGTTAATATGCAACTCTGACAAAAATACACGAATACCAAAATTCATACATTCAGCAAGAGCAAGATGTCTCGACTGGGGTCGTCACAAACACACACTTGGTTAGAATTAATCAATTACTTTCTAAATTATTGTCAAAAGAAAAGACAGTTGTTTCTACTTAGCTGTGTCTATCATCCTCCCTGGTGTATTTTATCTCTCTTATTTACAGAATATCATGTTGATTTGTATCTTCCCATTAGTATAATTTTTTATTCTACCAAAATAAGACTATAAATCAATACTAGCTACAATAGAAATGCAATTACATAATGCTATTTGAAATTTGGCTTCTATCATAAACAATCTTGTGTAAGATTCGTTTTTCCCCCTTGTACATTTGTATACAAGTTCTTTACTAGCCTACATAAGAAATGTTTTAAAAATGATTCTCTCCTTATGAAATTTATTCTAACACTTTTTGAGGAAGAATAAAAATGCAATTTGTTTTCTTTTATACCACTGTGATAGCTTCATTGCCTCAAGGTTGGATATTATACAAAAAAAGCATCTCATGAAATGTCTGAGTATGACAATATATTTGAATTATTAGGATAATGTTAGATACAAACACAAAAATTATATTGAAGTTATGCAAACTGAGTATTTTTTGTCTATTTCACTTTTTTTTAGTTTTTGAAATTTATTTTTCAACTGATATTTTCCATTTTTAAACTTTTGAAAATTTATTTTTCAAAGACCTCTTCTTTGGTGAGGAATGTCAATCTTCTGTTCATATAGAGACTGCTTTGCAATGCAAGGATATACGTGTTGTGACCTTTAGCTACTTCTTAGACTCTTCAAAGAACAATATTCCTCACGGCTTCATTTTTTGTTGTAGGATATTCTCTTCTTAAACAACAAGATGTTTTATCTATTACCAAATGTACTAAAACATTTATAAACCAGACTAAGTAATATGAGATTATATGTCTCTTTAATATTGTCTTCCAAAAATAAAATATTTTAAATAATTATGAAAATAATTTTATCAATTGCCTAAAAGTTAGAAGAATAATACTTTATTCTAGGAATGAAACAATCAAATAAAAGATTACATTATCTTTTATTAGTGCAACTCTCTGGAATGGGTATGCATTTGATTTTATAAGTAATTTAAGGATGTGTTTTACTTGATATATTTTTATCAAGAGTTTTCCATTTGCTTCTGTCAAATTTTTGCCACTTTTGTGAACAATATGACAACGTATTTTCTCTTCAGTACTATTGTACTATTTATATTAGCTAAAGGTATAGTGTGAGACTAGAAAAAGTATTCTTATCTTTCTGCACAGTTAGGACTTTCTGTGAAAATTTTACTGAAACTTAGAACCTAGACTAAAAGACAGCCTTGGAAGTAAAATTATGCTGACTAGAAAAAGAACTCCAGATCAAGTTTTACTTCTCTAGAGGTATGCGTTTACATTTCAAGGAGGATGAGACACAAGACCATACAGATATTCTGGGGGTTTTAAAGTTTGGGACATTAGTTTAATCTTCCCCCTAAAAACATACATTTACATTCCAAAGGGAAGTAATCCAGGATCTTTTCCCTTTAGTTCTCAAGAGAAACATTTATTAGGAAGCAAAATGTTTCTCTGTATATTTCTGAAAGGGAATATGTGACAACTGACCCACTGCTACACGATCTCCTAGATTCATATAGTTGGGGCTTCCGTACTTCTTGCCACTCTGGTGCCTGTGAATGACCTCCTAACTTACTCTCACAGTGTTGCCCTAGAAGGGCATATTGGGACTTGGGGAACTGGCATGGTTATTGCTTTAACCGGCAAGGTTATTGGCTTTAAGTGAATGAAAATATGCTTTGCTCCAAAAACCATGAGTATACATTCAGGATAATATTAATAAGCATAGACATTAAAAACTTAACATATAGTATTTCTAAACAGATCATTATTTGAATGTAACATTGTTGTTAAATCCCTGGGGAAATTTTTTTCAAGTTCCCAGCCTATTCCTAAATTTTCTAACTCTAGCTTGTCTTTGAAACCACAAAAGAGAGATTATATTCAAACATCCATTAAATCTCAGAAGGAATGCCTACAGAAGAGTAGGTCAGACAAAATTTATAATGCTTGCTTAAGAAAATAAAAGTTCTGTGAGCATTCATGAATTGCTGAACCATTTTTATATATAACAGCTTATCTTTCGGAACTTCCAGAAAAATGAGATAAATATATTTTAAAATATTTAGTAAAATGTTTAAAATTGTCTTAATGATTGACAGTGTTGCTGATCCTCAGTGAGACCCTCACAGGTCACAAAACAGTTCACAAAGTAGGCAGACTACTTAAGGTTACTCAACTCTACCTGAGGTTCTTAGTTCTTCCTTTATAAGGGCAAAAACCATGAATATTCTTCCCATGAAGCCACATGCAAAAAGCCAGAAAGCTAAAGTTAAACTATAAGTTAACCCAGATAGACTCAGAGACAAGTCAAGCAACTAACACAACTTGAGATTTCCATAAAGAGATTTTTACTATGGGTTAGTACAACATGTTATGAGACATATTAAACTGAAGTTATTAAGATGTAAGTTACTATTTGGGATATTCTTTTTTGTTTTTTTGTTTTTTCGTTTTTTGTTTTTTTTGTTTTTTTTGAGACAGAGTCTTGCTCTGTCGCCCAGGCTGGAGTACAGTGGCGCAATCTTGGCTCACTGCAAGCTCCATCTTCCGGGTTCAGGCCATTCTCCTGCCTCAGCCTCCCAAGTAGCTGGGACTACAGCCGCCCACCACCATGCCTGGATAATTTTTTTGTGTTTTTAGTAGAGACAGGTTTTCACCGTGTTAACCAGGATGGTCTCAATCTCCTGACCTCGTTTATATAGCATACATTTGCTTTGGTACAGGCAGTTGTGAATATCAATGTGTTTTAAGAAAGGAAGTTCAAGGGTGCCCTAAGAATTTTTAAAAATCAATTATTTTAAAGGCAAATTTTAAAAATTAACTGTAGAAATGACAAAATAAAATTAAAATCGTAAAAAACTTACATGTAAACCACTTCAGATACAAGTGTCCCTAGATACACAAAGATTACAGAAACTAAAATTTGTGTGGTTGGTCACTGTTGTATAACAGATTTCTTCGTAATGATAGTGTGATTGTTTATACTGCGTGTAAATTTTTAAACCCCAAACTGTCTCTTTAATAAATTCAACCTGATGCATCTTTTGAAGTTGAAAGATTTACTGCTATTTTAATTGACTCAAAGGCAATATAGCTTTCTCTGGAATCATTGCCAAAAACAAATGACATGCCATTGGATCTATGCTTTCAATTCCTGGGGCAGCAGTATCTTCAAAGGGAGAAGCATTTGATTCATACTATGTAACCTCAGGCTAATTCTCTAATTAGGTGATAATTTAGATGCAGTGCATGCCCTAAATGCTGTGTGGAGTGTGAGGTGCAGACAGGAAGATGCCTAACTGTGGTAATGTAAAGAGAGCAGATGGCCGAGAAAACACAATTTCTACAATTATTTTAGAGTTGTAATTCTGTTAGTCAATTAAGCATTATTATTAAACCTTAATTTTTGGAATATTCATCAGAAAAACTATGCAAATATTTTCAATCTTCAGAAATAATTTACCAAGTAGATCAGTAGATGAGCATTCAAATTTTGCCATAGTATAAAATATCAATAATTTTCTCCATGCAATCTGCTATGTGAATAACAAAAAAATGAGTGCAGAAACGCAATGTTAGTACATTTAGCATAGCTTTGTCCCTGCAATCTGCTATACAAATGAAAAAAAAAAGAGTTTAGAAATGCAATAATAATACATTTACCATTGGTTGAATGCTTTGCTCAATAACATAACTATTTGCACCATGTTTATATTTTATTTATCATTAAAGTATACCTGCTTCGAAATATGTATGCACCAGCTTAGATATGTACCACCAAAATGGCAACAAAAGCATTGGTTTTAAAGATGTATATTCTTTCAATCAAAGTTAAAGATAAATTATACTTTGAAAATAGAGTTTCCTGGATAACGGCATTACAAAATCTCATAACTATTAGTAACAGCAGAGAATTATCAAACTTGTAAATTGTGAATTTTAACTCATATTTCTATTTATTGTATATAAAAGTTGAACATTTTAACCAACATGTTAAATGTAAATAAAGAATATTAGCATTTTCGTATATATTTACTTAACCTTCCCATTCAGTGGAATTTCTCTACTTCTGTCCTGTTCACCTGATGCTAATATTCTGTCTTGCAAATATCTTTGTTCCTTTCTAAACAGCCCTGCCTCCTTTAATGTAGACATTACTTAGGAAATTTGTTTGTTTGGTTGGTTGGTTGGTTGAGATTTTTGGCTTTTTTTTTTTCTTTTTGTGGAAAACAGGGTCTCACTATATTGCCCAGGCAGTTCTCAAACTCCTGGGCTCAAGCTATCCTCCCGCCTCTGCCTCCCTAAGAGCTGGGATTACACGTATGAGCTACTGCACCCGGCCAACATTACTTAGTATATTCCAGTCATCTGCTATGTTTGCCACATCTCAGGATTTCTTTCTCAGTGGGTATTAAAAAAAAAAAAGGCTGTGTCAAAATTATATTAGAAATTTCAGAAAATGAGACTTCCAGTTAATGTCAGGAGGAGATATATAGCATGGAAAGCAGATTTTCTCACTCCAAATCAAACCTGAAGATATTATAGAGGCAAGAAAAGAAAAGAGATTCAAGAAACTAGTGAAGACAATACAGGATACAGAAATGCTGGAGGATGGGTGAGTATGGGAGATGTGGCTGTAGGTCTAGACCAGAGAGCATCAAGAAGAACGCTCGATGTTGGACGAAGAGTTTTAAGCATCAGATCTTGCTTTTACTCCCCACATTGTTTTAGAACAATGATTGCCTCCCTTTTGCTGCAGAAATCAGCAACAACAGTTGATATTGATGTTCACCGGATATCAAGGTGGTACGAAAGCTTTAGTGAAGTAAAAAGCTGATGTTAAAATGCTTCCACTGGCCAGAGCTTTTACTTCTTGAATTTTCACTTATCCCTTTCCTCTCCGGGTGAATTACACCAGGAACCTGCCACCTTGAAGCTAATTCCCTACTTCTCTTTAAATTTATGGATAAGAGCCTGTTATAGGACTATCATTGTTACTAAATTAACTGATTCCACAAGGAGAACACAAACTCACATGCCAAAACTAAACATGTAAAAAGCATACATACTTAAAAAATATAACATACTAAATAACATACGGAATAATTCTCCACTGAGGAAAGTTATGTGAAGAGGAAGAAAAATAACTAACAATTAGGTTGTTTTTTAAAAAATGTGAATCAAAATATTAGCAACATACAACAAGAATAATAAAAAGAACCAAGTGGAAATATTGATGAATATATTAACTGATATATAACACACACATATATATGCACAAACATAAACACATTAAAACTATGACAATAGATAGGATACATAGCAGGATGATAGGAAAGTATAAATAAAAACAAAATCTTCTTCTAACCAAGAGATTCTCTCCACCAAGGTAGTAGAGAAAGACAACATTCTCATTATTGAATAAACATAAATATTAACTGGTTCTCAAATAAGAGGACTTGACAGAACCTTTCATCACACATAGCTCATCCTAATGTATGGTAATTGGGAGGGCCACTTGTCTTAGCTAATTGGCTTTATCCAAAGGAGAAAGTGTCTTTTCATATCTTTAAACAGGAGGTCGTTTTGCAAACTGGAGCAAATCAGTCACCAAAGTTAGGGTTCTGCTTTTCCATAAAAACTGGGAAATAGAGGTATTATCTACTTTATTGTTTACATTTAAAAGAGATGGTCTTCAAGTCCTTGAGAAAGAAATTTCTGGGTCATAAAGTGATAGAAAGCCTAGCTAACTTTCAAAAGGAAATATACATGTTTCAAAGACAGAACATACTTAGAAGTTTTTTAAAGTAAATATTTTAAGAAAAATGAAAGAAGGAAAATTTCTTTCCTTATTTTCAACAAGAAAAATGAACTCTCTTAATTTTATTTGTTTTGCTTACAATAGACCTGAAAAACATGAGTCACAACAATACATTAAAATCTCTACCAAGCCCGTCTGTAATCCCAGCTATTCAGGAGGCTGAGGCAGGAGAATCACTTGAACCTGGGAGGTGGAGGTTTCAGTGAGCTGAGATTGCGCCTTTGCACTCCAGCCTGGGCGACAGAAAGAGACTCTGTTTCCAAAACAAACAAACAAACAAACAATCTCTACCACAGAGCAGCAGAAATAATTGAGAAAAAACACACAAAACCTGAAAGCTGAGAAATACAGAGTTAGAAGAAGAAATCTGAGACATCTACTTTCCTATTTGAAAATATTTCAAAGCTACAGTAATAAAAATGTACACAGTATGGTACTAGCATAAAGAAATAGGCATAGACCAATGAAACAGGGTGAGCCAGAATTATATCAGCATAATACACAGTCAACTAATCTTTTACAAGGGTACCAAGATTACACAATGGGGAAAAAAATAATGTCTTCAATAAATGGTGTTGAAAAAGGTGAATAATTATGTGGAAATAATGAAATTGAATTTTTATTTTAAAATATGCTTAAAATATCAACTCAAAATGGATTAAAAACTTAAATCTAATACCTGAAACTATCAAACCACTATAATAAAAAACAGAGGAAATGCTCCGTGACATTCGTCTGGACAAAGATTTTTTTTTTTTTTTTTTCAGATGGGGTCTCACTCTGTCACCCAGGCTGGAGTGGAGTGGCATGATCTCAGCTCACTGCAACCTCTGCCTCCTGGGTTCAAGCAATTGTCCTGTCTCAGCCTCTCAAGTAGCTGGGATTACAGGTGCCAGCCACCACATCCGGCTAATTTTTATATTTTTAATAGAGAGGGGGTTTCACCATGTTGGTCAGGCTGGACTTGAACTCCTGACCTCAAGTGGTCTGTCCACCTTGGCCTCCCAAAGGGCTGAGATTACAGACATGAGCCACTATGACCAGCCAATTTTTAAAAATATGACCCCAAAAGCACAGGTAACAGAAGTAAAAATGGACAAATGAAATAAATAAAAAGTTTCTGCATACAAAAGAAACAATAAACAGAATAAAAAGAGACCTACGAAGTGGGAGAAAATATTCGCAAGCCACTGTAGATCTAATAAGGAACTCCTACCATCTCAAAATAAATAAAGAAAGAACAAGTAATCTGATTTAAAAATAAGCTTCAGTAGAGATTTCAAAGACATTCAAATGGCCAACAGGTGTATGAAAAAAATGTTCAACATTGCTCATACCCAGGGAAATGCAAATCAAAACCATGAGATATTGCCTTGCATCACTTAGTATGACTGTTGTCAAAAAAACAAAAGATAAAAAGTCTTGGCAAGGCTGTGAAGAAAAGGGAACCTTTGTATATCACCATTGTTGAGAATATAAAATAATGCATGCCCTAAGAAAAACAGTATGGAAATTCCTCAAAAAATCAAAAATAGAACTACCATATGATCTTATGGTACCACTTCTGGATATATATCTACAAAAATTTAAATCAGTATTCAAAAAGATATCTGCACTTACCTGTCATTGCAGCACTATTCACAATAACCAATTAATTGACATAACCTAATGCTCATTGACAGATGAATTAATAGGTATGATATCGTATATACATACATTTATATGTTTAGTCAGCCTTTAAAAAGGGGGAAATCCTGCTATTTGCAATGACATGGATGAACCTTGAGAACATTATTCTTAGTAAAATAAGCCAGTCACAGAAGAATAAATACTGCATGATTCCACTTAAAAGGTGACAAAAAATTGTTGCTGAAACTCTATTTATTCTGTCAATATGTAATATTCATTAATAGATACATTGGGAGCAAAAGTAGCTATCTCATTAAAGGATACATTTTAAGTAACATTATACTTTCTGTTAAATAATGATTTATCTACATTTTATAAGCTATTTATGATTTTGATTGATGGCATATCAATAATAATTTTAAGATAACTCAAAGTAGACATTGGCTTAGGCAAGTATTTCGACAAAGAACCCAAAAGCAAATGCAATAAAAACAAAGATAAATGGCTGAGACCTAAATAAACTAAAGAGCTTTGCATGGCAAAAGGAACAGTCAGCAGAGTAAACAGACAACCCAAAGAGTGGTAGAAAATCTTCACAATCTACACATCTGACAAAGGACCAATATCGAGAATCTACAACTAACTCAAACAAATCAGTAAGAAAGAAACAAACAATCCCATCCAAAAGTGAGCTAAGGACATGAATAAACAGTTCTCAAAAGAAAGTATACAAATAGCCAACAAACATATGAAAAAATGCTCAACATCACTAATGATCAAGGAAATGCAAATCAAAACCACATGGTGATACTATCCTACTCCTGCAAGAATGGCCATAATCAAAAAATCAAGAAACAGTAGGTATTAGCGTAGATGAAGTGAACATGGAACACTTCTACACTGCTGGTGGGAATGTAAACTACTACAGCCACTATGGAAAACAGTGTAGAAATTCCTTAAAGTACTAAAAGTAGAACTACCATTTGATCTAGCAATCCCACTACTGGGTATCTACCCAGAAGAAAATAAGCCATTACATGAAAAAGATACTTGCACACTCATGTGTATAGCAGCACAATTCACAATTGCAAAATCATGGAACCAACCCAAATGCCTATCAATCAACTAGTGGATAAAGATACACACACACACACACACACACACTATGGAATACTATGTAGCCATAAAAAGGAATGAATTTATGGCATTTGCATCGACCTGGGTGAGATTAGTGACAATTATTCTAAGTGAAGTAACTCAGGAATGGAAAATCAAATATGGTATGTTCTCACTGATATGTGGGAGCTAAGCTTTGAGGACACAAAAGCATAAGAATGATACAATGGACTTTGGGGACTTGGGGACGAGACTGGGAGGATGGCGAGGGATAAAAGACTACAAATATGGTGCAGTGTATACTGCTTGGGTGTGGGTGCACCAAAATTTCACAAACACCACCAAAGAACTTACTCATGTAACCAAATACCACCTGTACCCCAATAACTTGTGGAAAAATAAAATTTAAAAAAGAAAAATGTAAGATTCTTATGTACAATAAAAAAATAATTAAATTTAAATTATACAATATTACACAACATATAATATGAAATTAATAAGGGATAAGAAGTATATTGCCACAATTTTCTGATGGTAATATAATTAGGAATTTGAGTCCAATGAAAATAAGGAGTGATGAGAAGGGTGTGAAATCACGATGACTTTTAGATTCCACTGGATGCATTTAAAGGTACTACAACAATTTTTACCATTATAATAAAACAATTCTATTCTAGTGACAGTTTTCATAAACTCTCACAGGCTCTCCTTCCAAATCCATCTGTATAGCAAACAACTTTGGAAGGTAGATATAGTATCTCCCTCTGAGGAAGAGGTCATATTTGTCATTCCTAGCAGTATAATAAAGACAATGTTTCTCTACAGGGCAAACATCGGGCAGGTTTGCTAGCAAATTCATAACACTGGGGATTTCAAAAGGTCATGGTTTCTCAGTTGAGACAACTCCACTGTCTGTGTGTCATGCACATAGTCATATCCCAGCATTGCCCCCATGAGACTTACAAACATGAAACATGCTGTCTGCTTAGCCAAAAAAAAAATCCTTTTTCTGACCCTGGAGTCTCATGCCTTCTGCCAGCATCTAGCAAACTTTGCCATGCTAGTGTGTTAGCACATGAGTAAAACCTCACACACTTTGCAGTTATTGACAAAATATTTATGTTTATAATAAGCAAAACTATGTCCTTTGTATTTATAATTATGATCAGATGTTTAGATCAAACTATAAACATATGTGCTCAGATGTGAAGACCATGGCTATATATTTAATTTATTAATTATATAATTGTTAGCCACTGTAGCGGAAGGAAGAAAGTTTTCTTGTCTAGATTTTCTTTCCTACTACAGCTATATCCCTAATGATCTGCCTGCCTGCACATAGTAGGTGTTCCAAATCTCTATGCTGAATGAGTGAATACTTTAAACAGTCTACCACTAGTAAAAAAATATGAATGAAAGGCAATATCTTGAAATTTTGATAATTCATATTTGTGGAAAATAGAGGAGAAGCTATATTTTGTTTTTGATTTCAAAACTTACTCATACAATTGTATAAATTTATGCACAATTCCTTAAAATGATAGACAACATTTGTTGATTCAATTTTTCAAGATATTTGCAGAAAACATTAGCAGCCATCTTATTTTATGAGATATTCTGGGGTTTCATAGATGTTGAGATGATTATGAATAACCTGCATGACGTGGAATATCAGAGTTTATTTGATAATGTGTGGCCATCTTAAAAACTTGATATGGGTTCAGCAATTTTAAGTAGGGAAACACTTTGCACACATATTGTCAGCGGTATACCTGGATTTATTTATAGTGCTTTTTAGTGAAAAGATGAAGAACTCCAAAACCTTCTCGGTGTCATCAAATCTGCATGAAATCTTATTCAAATACATGTAAAATTCAATATACTTTCCCAAACATTTGAAAGCAGAAATAAGTACTTAGTCTTCAGAAAGTTTTGCAGTTAGTCAAAAACCTGATGGACACTGACAGAGGACTTGAGCTGTAAAGGTTTTACCTATATAATGACTGAACACTGACACTTGTATGAAATTATTTTTTTAAAAACTTGCTGGTGAATTAGTGTTTGGCTGACATTGGATTCCAAACATTAATGTAATTTGAGTATTTTATTATTATAATTAATAAATGCTAAGTATTAGAACAATTATTTCTAAAGAACTTAATTTTTATCATGAAAATAGAAGAATCTGAAAAATCTGATATGAATTTCTAAATCATTTTCATAGAAGTAGATCCATATGTGTGCCATTAGAAAATGTATGAATAACGGCTCTGTTCTGTTCCATTGATCTATATCTCTGTTTTGGTACCAGTACCATGCTGTTTTGCCCTCAGAAATAATGCCGCATATCTACAACTACCTGATCTTTGACAAACCTGAGAAAAACAAGGAATGGGGAAAGGATTCCCTATTTAATAAATGGTGCTGGGAAAGCTGGCTAGCCATATGTAGAAAGGTGAAACTGGATCCCTTCCTTACACCTTATACAAAAATTAATTCAAGATGGATTAAAGACTTACATGTTAGACCTAAAACCATAAAAACCCTAGAAGAAAACCTAGGCATTACCATTCAGGACATAGGCATGGGCAAGGACTTCATGACTAAAACACCAAAAGCAATGGCAACAAAAGCCAAAATTGACAAATTGGATCTAATTAAACTAAAGAGCTTCTGCACAGCAAAAGAAACTACCATCAGAGTGAACAGGCAAACTACAACATGGGAGAAAATTTTCGCAACCTACTCATCTGACAAAGGGCTAGTATCCAGAATCTACAATGAACTCAAACAAATTTACAAGAAAAAAAACAACCCCATCAAAAAGTGGACGAAGGATATGAACAGACACTTCTCAAAAGAAGACATTTATGCAGCCAAAAAACACATGAAAAAACGCTCATCATCACTGGCCATCAGAGTGATGGCAAATCAAAACCACAATGAGATAACATCTCACACCAGTTAGAATGGTGATCATTAAAAAGTCAGGAAACAACAGGTGCTGGAGAGGATGTGGAGAAATAGAAACACTTTTACACTGTTGGTGGGACTGTAAACTAGTTCAACCATTGTGGAAGTCAGTGTGGAGATTCCTCAGGGATCTAGAACTAGAAATACCATTTGACCCAGCCATCCCATTACTGGGTATATACCCAAAGGATTATAAATCATGTTGCTATAAAGACACATGCACACATATGTTTATTGTGGCACTATTCACAATAGCAAAGACTTGGAACCAACCCAAATGTCCAACAATGATAGACTGGATTAAGAAAATGTGGCACATATACACAATGGAATACTATGCAGCCATAAAAAATGATGAGTTCATGTCCTTTGTAGGGACATGGATGAAATTGGAAAACATCATTTTCAGCAAACTATCACAAGGACAAAAAACCAAACACTGCATGTTCTCACTCATAGGTGGGAATTGAACAATGAGAACACATGGACACAGGATGGGGAACATCACACTCCGGGGACTGTTGTGGGGTGGGCAGAGGGGGGAGGGATAGCATGAGGAAATATACCTAGTGCTAAATGACGAGTTAATGGGTGCAGCACACCAACATGGCACATGTATACATATGTAACAAACCTGCACATTGTGCACATGTACCCTAAAACTTAAAGTATAATAATAATAAAATAAAAAAATAAAAAAACAATAAAAATTTAAAAAACAGATTTTTATCTACACTTTGTAAATACCTGGGTTTTTCTGATAAGTGTAAGGGCTCATGTTATTATTGTGAATTAATTTTTCTTACCAAACATCAATTTTTTTCTTAGATAATGTGAGATGAGGATTCTTATACATAATAAATCCATTTAGGCTGCCTGTAAAACAACAACAACAAAAAAGAAAATGTATGAATAAATAATTAAAAATTATAATTGGCAATTTTGATAACATATTGTCTTCTATATTGTAAGAATATTATAAGTAGCTGTGTGTTTCTAAGTATTGACAAAATAACTATAATAAAATGCCAATAATTCCAACAAGAATATCTAGATTATAAAAATTTTAAATTTGCTTTGTAAATAGAAGAAACTAATTAAGAGATGGAAATTCTTGATTTCTTGTTGAAATATTATACCAATTTCCTTTTTTTCCTTGATATATGCAAAACCAAGCCTCATCTAGAGTATGGCTAATTTAATCAATAGTGGGTATTTCTTTATCCAACATGTTCTTAAAAATAATATACTTGCATGACCATATGCACAGAATATTTGGGATCAAATTTCAATTCAATACAGTCTCAGAGTAAGTATAACAGAAAACCTGTTCCTTGACCTATAAGGTATTGAATAGGGATTAGTATCTAAACTTTTGTAGTTTGAAAGACTCAAACATAAGTTCGCCAATTCAACAAAGATATATGATTCCATACTAATTCATCTCTTTCAAATAAATTTCACTGTGTTGGTATATATTCTATATGGCCTTAGACCTTGAGGTTATAGTTGTAGGTGATAATTAAGAAGGTACTTGGTGAAATTCATCATTTTTTGGCCAGGTGTGGTAACTCACACTTGTAATCCCAGCACTTTTGGGAGGCCAAGGCAGGCAGATCACCTGACGTCAGGAGTTTGAGACCAGCCTGGCCAACATGGTGAAACCTCATCTCTACTACAAATACAAAAATTAGCCGGGCGTGGTGGCGCATGCCTGTAGTCCCAGCAACTCAGGAGGATGAGGCAGGAGAATCACTTGAACTCAGGAGGTGGAGGTTGCAATGAGCATAGATCACGTCACTGCACTCCAGCCTGGATGACAAAAAAAAAGAAAAAAGAAAAAAATCATCATTTTTGAAAAAACAATTAAAAGGGTTAAACTAAAAATGTTCAAAAGATCTCATAAGTTTTCAATTAAATTTCAGTTGTAGAATCAGATGCAATAACTAAGACCCACTTAAATATTTTTAAATTATACCATACCAAATAAGCTCACTGAGTAGTATGATCCATGCAGAGTATATTCACTTTCTCCAAATTGTTTTGCTTATAAAATGTAGATCAATGTTAGTTAAAAAGCAAACAAAGAAATATATGGCCAGCCGGGTGCAATGGCTCACGCCTGTAATCTCAGCACTTTGGGAGGCTGAGGCGGGCGGATCACGAGGTCAGGAGATCGAGACCATCCTGGCTAACACAGTGAAACCCCGTCTCTACTAAAAATACAAAAAATTAGCCAGGTGTGGTGGCGGGCGCCTGTAGTCCCAGGTACTCGGGAGGCTGAGGCAGGAGAATGGCGTGAACCCGGGAGGCGGAGCTTGCAGTGAGCCGAGATCGCGCCACTGCGTTCCAGCCTGGGTGACAGAGGAAGACTCCTTCTCAAAAAAAAAAAAAAAAAAGAAAAGAAAAGAAAAGAAGTACATGGCCAATTTGTTTCAGTGGGACCAATTTGAAATATGTGTGCACATATACACTATCGTATATTACTTCCTTTCACTGTTAATGGGCAAGTAGTGCATCTTTAAATGAAAGTCAGAATCTATTAAATAATTCTAAGTTATATGTGTTAATATGTAATTTTGTAGCCATCCCAACTTACAAAACATAATCTTTCAAAGATAAATTACTATGGATATTTCCAGAATATAACCATCTTGCCTTCCCTAACTTATTTTTCTAAGGTTTTCATTTATTTTTGTTTTTCAAAGGTCCTGCCATTTCAACTATTTTGTAATGGTTAATCTTAAACACATGCAAACCATGTAAATAAACATAATGACAAATAAAGTCTAAGAAAATTATGTTTTTACTTTGAGTGGAAGATAATGAGCTATAATTAATCATAAAGAATGTTATGTACTCACATAGCAGTGCTGTTAAATACTGAGTTGAGATGCAAACACAACACCAGTAGGAAAGAATACCACTCTTCTCTGTTTAATAAACATAGTAATTAATATCTCCTGCTGAATAGTTTACAAAGTTATAGTCCCTGTGGTTAGAAAACCATTATGAACCTTAGGGGGACATCTAATCGTATTTAACAGTAACAAAAACAAACAAATAATTGACTATTTTAGTAGCAAATATAATCCATAATTCTGTCTTCTTCCTGGGAGCTAGTGACATATTTAGAAAAGCATATTTGCAAATGTTTTCCGTATTTTGAATACCTATCTTTATTGATTTGTAAATATAGTTATTTATAGAATCATTTAAAATACTTTTAGAAATTTTACTATTGGATCAGAATGGCAATTAGGGAGAAAAGTAAATGCATACCACAAATAGTAGTTGAAATTATATTTATAAATCATAGCTAAGAAAGAAAAGATTGAAAATGTCTTGCAACTAGAGCTTCTTATTCTTAAACTTACTGTAACAAACACTTGATGTTAATACTGAACTTTCTGTGAATAAATAAAATGTCTATAAAATTCTCATAGATATTTACTAGCAGAAATAAACACCAAATCAACAAAAAACAATAAAGCAAAAACGACCATTTAAAAAGTGTACGTTTAAAATATAAAGAGTATGAAGTCAAGTAAAACTTATTTAAATTTGTTTCTTTTCTTATTCCGTCTTCAAATTCATTAACAAATGGATGATGCATCTTGATATTGATTCACTGCATCTAAACAGCTCTGTAGATGGGGGACACTACATATTTTAGGCCAAGAATTTAGAATAAAACACGGTTGTCTTAAAACCTTATGGTATTATTTGATTTTATAATCAGATTACACAAATAATTGGGATCGAAAGTCTCCTTTTAAAAAATAAATGCTCTTACTCTAATACTACCCTGTGCAATAAGCTAAAGTATTTTCATACATTCCTGCTTTCAGTCATAGCAAGAAAGCCATAAAATAAGTATTTGGGAACTTTGACATAAAGAACCCAAACTTAGATGCCAAGGAACAGCTCCGGGAACACCTATATACTTACAGTCTGCAACAACCCCTTCAAGTGCCTCTGAAAACCTGAAAATCTAAGAGAAAAATGTCATTATGTGTAAATTCACCAGATTGTTGTTCCGAAACCATTTCTGAAAATAAATTTCAGACACAACCTCTAAACTTTCTTCAAAGTAGTATAGATATTTCTGGTGGGCTGGTGGGAGCAGAAAAATAAAATTATCTTAAACTGACAGAAATTTCAGGTGCATTCATTTGATCCAAGGCAAAGAGTTAGCTTTCCAAGAGAAAGACAATCTTCAGAAGGAAGGCTTGGGACAAATTATTAATAGCTAGATATTTGATATAAAATTGAATGACTGGAACAGATCATATTTTAATATGTTCTTCTCTACACTGCAAGATTATTTTAAAATTATTCATGCATTATTAAAATTATTATTGAATACAATTATTCAAAATAATTTAAAAATATTAATAATGAATACAAAAGATACTTAGTGAAAACTTTCCTTTATTGAAATCTTTATAAGCCACTAAAATATACTATTGTGAAAAAGGACAAAATAAATAAATTAGTATTTTTTAATTACATTAATATATTTTCTTTTAAATCAACTTTATTGTGGGGGGAAGAATTTTAGCTTCATAGCAAACTTGAGGGACACTACTTTTACATACCTTATTCTTCCCGACTCCACATATCCATAGCCTCCTCCATTACCAACACCTCCCACACTTGTTACAACTAACGAACCTACATTGATGAGTCATTATCAACCTAAGTTTGTGGTTTACATTATGATTCATTCTGAGTGTTGTACTTTCATTGAGTTTAACAAATGTATAATGACATATGTCCACCATTATAATATCGTACAGAATAGTTTCCCTGCCTTAAACATTTCTGTCCTCTGTCTATCCATCTTTCCCTCCTCTGAATGCCTGACAATCACTAATCATTTTACTGTCTCTGCAGATTTGTCTTTTTCAGAATGTCATGTAGTTTCAATCATACAGTATGTAGCCCTTTCCAATTGGTTTATTTTACTTATTAATGTGCATTTTAAGTTTTCTCCATGTATTTTCAAGGCTTGATAGTCCACTTCTTTTTAGTGCTGACTAATATTCAACTGCTTGGATATTCACAGTTTAATTACCGATTCACCTACTGAAGGACTTTTGGTTGCTTCTAAGTTTTGGCAATTATGAATAAAACTGCAGTAAACATCTGTGTGCTAGTTTTTGTGTGAACTTAATTTTCCATTAATTTGGGTAAATACCAAGGAACATAATATGCTGGATTGTTTGGTAAGAGAATGTTTACTTTTATAAGAAACTGGCAAACTGTCTTTCAAAGTAGTTGTACCATTTTGTATTCCCATTAACAGTCAATGAGAGTCCTATTTCTTCACATCCTTGCCAGTATTTAGTGTTGTCAGTGTTCTAGATTTTGGTCATTCTTTTAGGTATGTAGTGATAACACATGGTTACTTATTATGCATTTCCTTAATGACATATGATCTGGAGCATCTTTTAATATGCTTATATGTCAACTGCACATTTTCTTTGGTGAGGTGTAGGTTCTTCTCTTTGTCCATTTTCAATTGGTTGCTCAATTTTTTAAATTTAGATTCAAAGGGTATATGTGCAGATTTGTTGCATGATTATATTGCATAAAGGTGGGAATTGTGCTCCTAGTACACCCAGCAGCCAAACAGCGAACACTGTACCCAACAGGCAATCTTTCAACTCTCACTTCCCTTTCAATCTCTCCCCTTTTGGAGCCCTCAGTGTCTATTATTTTCATTTTTATATCCATGCGCACACATTATTTAGCTCACACTTCTGAGAGAAAATGTGGTATTTGCTTTTCTGTTTCTGAGTTATTTCACTTAGGATAATGGCTTTCAGCTTTATTCATGTTGCTACAAAGGATATGATTTTATTATCTTTGATGGTATTCCGTGATGTATATATACCACATAGTATTCCATGGTGTATGTATACCACATTTTCTTTATTCAGCAAAATGCTGATAGACGCTAAGGTTGATTTCATGGCTTTCCTAATGTGAATAGTGTCATGATATTGCCTTATTTTTGAGTGCTAAGTTACTTGTAAAGTTTCAGTAACAGCCCTTTATCAGAAATATATTTTGCATTAATGCATTTTTTTAAAAAGGGGGGAAATATATCAGAGGAAATGCTTCAAAAATAATTCTTCTGTCAAGTTCAGATAATACTTTTCACATGATGTGATAATAGAAGTAACTCAAATTTTGGTCCTACCTGTTTACAATCACTAGGTGCATGGTTTATGTAGAATCTATTGTTAAACAAAAGAATATGTAGCTAAATGGGCATCATAGACAAGAAAGACATGCAAAATGATTCTGATCTATTCCGAACCGCCACAAACTTAACACTTGAAACAAATGTGTGTAGCTGGCCTGTTTGACCAATGTCATTATTATTTTAAAAGATTCTATAGAGAATGCCTCATTACTCATATTGCCTCCACCTGGTGCAGACTACTCTCACTGTCCCACCCCTGCTATGGCACCTTTGAGTGGTATGATCATAGATATACACATAGGCACATCCCATCATCTTCCTACAGAGAAAATTAAGCAATAACACAATGGAGATGAGCATTTTGGATGGAGACCTCTGAGTACGAATATTCTCAGAATATTTTGCAGAAGTCCAAGAATTCTCATTATACATCTTTCACTGCCCTTTATTTACTTTATGTACTATGGTCATTGAGGTTGACAGCAGGGAAATGTGGAGGTTTGTTTTACAGGATTTACTTTTGTGAAGGTAAAAATAAATCACTTTCTTTATAAAAGACTTTAATATGGTAAAATAAAAGTAGTTTTGGTCATTTGCAATACCCATACCAAATCTCATCAAGAAAGTAAGTTTGTAATCCCCGCACTTTGGGAGGCTGAGGCAGGAGGATCACGAGGTCAGGAGAGAGAGACCATCCTGGCTACTGGCTAACACGGTGAAACCCCGTCTCTACTAAAAATACAAAAAAAATTAGCCGGACATAGTGGCAGGCGCCTGTAGTCCCAGCTACTCAGGAGGCTGAGGCAGAAGAATGGCATGAACCCGGGAGGCAGAGCTTGCAGTGAGCCGAGATTGCACCACTGCACTCTAGCCTGGGCGACAGAACTAGACTCCGCCTCAAAAAAAAAAAAAAAGAAAGTAAGTTTGCTTTCCTTTTCCCCCGGGGGAAGACATACAGCTTCATTGAAGAAGAGCCCACTTAGGCATCTGTTGCTTGTTGTTAGGCAACTGCATAAGCAAACAAATACACGATCCCAAAACTATATTATATATATTTTTAAATTTTCCTAATTAATGTATTACCAAATATGACTCAGTGTCAATGCTACAGCAGTGTTTATACATTTTTATTTTTCATTTTTTCCTGTAACTTTGCTTTATATTTGTTTCTATATGATATTATTCACTGTTATAATTTGCTCAAAACAACTTAACTGTTATTTTCATCATGAACAGTTGTGGATTGAGATCTTTTCATTATTGTACAACAGGTCCTTGAATAATTTCATTTTGTTCAATGTCGTTTTATGAAAACGTAGATGAGAAAAGAGAATCTGTTCTCCGCTGGGGCTACTGTCTCTGTGCAATTTGCATATTCTCCCCATGTCTGTGTGGGTTTTCTTTGTTTGCTCTTGTTTCCTCCCACATCCTAAAAATATGCACCTTAGTTTACTTGGTGTGTATACAGTGTCCCAGCATGAGTAAGTGTGAGTGTCTGGGTGAATGCACCCTGTGAGGAAATGACGTCCTGTCTAGGACTGGTACCCACCTTGCGTCCTGAGCTGCCTGGACGTCTTTAGCCACCTGAAAACCTGAACTGGAGTAAGTAATTATCTTACTTGCTTTTATTAATATTTTTAAAATGTATATTTAATACACATTTATTTTAATGTCTAATATTAGAAGTGTTTTGGTCTTTATTTAGAAGTTGTTGATGATTTTGTGACCAGAAATATGCCATGAGAACTTAATTCTTTTGCGTATCAATTAGCCTATGGTAAAATTGGTTTCATTACATGTCATTTTGCTTAAAGTAGCAGTTTCTTTTTTGAGACAGTCTCGCTCTGTCGCCCAGGCTGGAGTGCAGTGGCACAATCTCGGCTCACTGCAAGCTCCGCCTCCTGGGTTCCCGCCATTCTGCTGCCTCACCCTCCCTAGTAGCTGGGACCACAGGCTCCCGCCACCACCCCAGGCTAGGGCTAATTTTTTGTATCTTTAGTAGAGACGGGGTTTCACCCTGTTAGCCAGGATGGTCTCGATTTCCTGACCTCGTGATCCACCCGCCTCGGACTCCCAAAGGGCTGTGATTACAAGCGTGAGCCACCGCGCCCGGCCTAAAGTAGCAGTTTCTAAGAACCTGCTGAGGAGATTAAGTGAGAACTTGTTGTACTTCAAGATGCCTGCGTTTACTCATCTATAAAATGCGGAACAAATAATAACAGCAACCTCATATGCTTATAGTGAAAAATACTCTAATTAAAATTCAGGAAAATACCTGGCATCTATATAAACGCTCAATAAATATTAGCCCTTTATATGTTCTACCTGTTGTATTCATACTTTCAGCTTCATCGCTTAACCAAAAATCACTAAACTAAAACATTATTCATCAGTTATTATGTTTCATTGCCTTTTAGCCATTTTTGAAAATGTTGAATACTCTTTCTAAGCATTTCTTTCTCCTTGGCTTTCATAAAATATCTTTCTCCTGGTTGTCCTTTCTCTTTTACCATACCTTTCTAGTCTCTGTTGTAGGCTCATATATTTATGGTGCTAAAGAGTATATATATATACACATATATATACACACATACATATATATGTAAAGTATGGATATATATATGTAAAGTAGGGATATATATAGATATATATATATGTATATGTAAAGTAGGGAGGGATATATATATATATATATATATATATATATATATATATATATATCCCTCCCTACTTTACGTCTATATTTGGATCTCTGCTCAGTTAAGTCCATAAATGAGATAATCTTTCTCTATCCTCTGTCATTTCTTTATGTATTTTTCTTCTGACAGCATTATCTGAGAAATTTCACAAGCCAGAAAACTTGGACTCATCCTTTGCTTGCTTCTATAATTCCAAATCTAATAAATTACCTTGCTCTGTTGACATTATTTGTTAAATATCTTTTGTATTCATAAACTTTTCTTCATCTCCATTACCAATTCCAGTTCTCCTGTTGATTGTTACAGAATACTTCCAACTGGTTTTCTGACTAGAAATTTTTCTGTCCTCCTCGCTATAATATAGAATGTAGCCAAAGCGTAGTTTTCATGTGTATATTGCATTTAAATGTGCTTAAAACACCACTCAATATTTTCAATATTTTAGAATAAAGTCTATAGTTCTTAATGTAACTTATAATGCAGAGATGGTGATAGTGTGGCCCAGATATATAGAGATTATATATAGAGATATAAGTTTATACATATTTGTACCTATTAGCCATTCAGTTCTCAGATTCTGTGAATCATTTGCATATTTAATTTTTTCCATTTTTCTCATTGATTTGCAAAATTTTCTTGTATAATCTATTAATTGTTTAGCAATGTTAGATAGTACAGATTATTATATAGTCTATCTCCAATCTTATCATTTATTTATATTATAAAATATTTTGATTCAAAATATTTAATTCTGTTGTTAAATCCATCAATTCTTCACCTTTGTTTTTACATATCTTTGTGTCAGTTTGAGAATAGTTTTACTAGTCTAAGGCCACAAAAGTTTGTTGTTTCATTTTCAACATTTTGTTTGCTTCATACTTTAAAAGTATTTAAGTTTATTATTTCATTGTAGAAGAACACTAGTAATTTTGTAAGTTAATTTAGTGTTTTACTACTTGCAGAATTCAATTAATTTTATTTTTGTTGCTTATATTAATTTTCACATAAATATGTTTATATCATTAACATTTAAATTATGTCTTTTCTTCAAATTATGTAATTTAATTAATCTTAGTCGTATTGATCTATGACTTACATCTAATATTATCATGCATTTAAAATGTATAGTTTGATGAGTTTTGATAAATGTATCCATTCATAAAACCACTGCAACACATGAACATTTACATCACTCCAAGAAAACTTTCCTTCTGCACTTTTGCTTTTAATACCCTTGTCCTACTCCTGCTCTTAGGCAAGTCATTGTTCTGCTTTCTGTCATTATACTATTGCCTTATCTTGAATTTTATGTAAATTGAATCAAATAGTATATAGTCTTTGTGTTTCACTTCATTCATTTAGCATGATATTTTGGAGAGCCAAACATGCTCTTTTGAGTGTCAGCAGCTTGTTCTTTTATGTAACTGAGTATGATTCCTGTAATATACTTCATTTAGTTTCTGTATTTAACTGATGATAAACATTTGCTTTATTTCACACATTTGACTATTATGATTAATGAAGCTATGTTTATTTCCATACAAGTCATTTTGTAGACATATGTCTTAACCTTTCATTGATAAATACCTGGGAGTATAATAACTAGGTTATATGATAAGTGTATGTTTTATTCATAAGAAAATGTCAAGCTGTTTTCACATGTAGCTGCATGATTTTGTATTCCCACAAGAAAGGCAGAAGAGTTCCAATTGCTCCCTATCCTTATTATCAATTTATATTTTTGATCTTTTAATAGGTATGCAGTGATGTCTGAATATGTATTAATTTTTAATTTCCTGGTGACTATTCTTTGTGAGAATCATTTCACGTGTTTATTGCCAATTAAATTTCTAAAACTGTCAAACAAACTTTGCCATTTTTATTGAGTAACTCATCTTTTATTGACTTAACTATAAATTCTGTAATGAAGCACTTGGTCAGATATATATTTGCACAATTTTCTTATGTGCTGTATTTCACTTTTTCATTTTCATAACAGCTTCTTTCAAACAACAAGATGTTTAAATATTGACAATGTCTTATCATTGTTTTTCCTTTATGGCTCATGCTTTTGTTTTTTTATGTAAGAAATTTTTGCCTGCTATATGGCCACAAAGATTTTTGACTCTCTTTTGTTACAGAATTCTAATGGTTTCACATGTATTCTTACATTTAAGTTTATAATTAATGATTAATTTCAGTTAACTTTTGTGCATGGTTTGAATTAAGGGGTAACATTATTTCCTATAAGAACATCCAGTAGATTTCTGACTCTCTTTTGTTACAGAATTCTAATGGTTTCACATGTATTCTTACATTTAAGTTTATAATTAATGATTAATTTCAGTTAACTTTTGTGCATGGTTTGAATTAAGGAGTAACATTCTTTCCTATAAGAACATCCAATAGTTTCTGCAACTTAAAAAACAAAAAAAATTACCATTTAATCCATTGAATCACTTAAGCACTGTTGTTAAAAATCAACTGACCATTGAAGAGTGATTCATTGAAAGTGTTCCTTTAGTCTATATGTCTATCATTAGCACAATACAACTTGTCCTTCTTATTGTAGACTAATGGTATTGACTCTCACCTGGGAGTAAATTTGCTCCTGAGGGGTCATTTAACAATGTCTAGAGGCACCCTTGGTTGTCACAACTGGGAAAGCGGTTACTGTCATCTGGTGGGTAGAAGCCAGGGATGCTGCAAATCACCTCAAATTGCACAGGACAGCCCCAAACAACAAAGAAACATTTGGCCCTAAATGTATTTGGCATCAACCTTGATCATCTCTGTTTTGTAGTAAATTTTAAAATTGGATAATACATATCATCCATTTTCTCCTATTATTTTAAATTTGTTTTTGTTAGAGGTCAGAATTCAGAAAAATTATTCTGTTAAAAGTAAGAAAGTTAACGCTTATGGCCCATATGATTTCTTTTCTAACTACTCACCTCTGTTGAAGTAGCACAAAGTACATAAATTAATGGGTATAGAAATGTTCCCCCCAGAAATCTTAAATACCAGGAGTCATCTGGACTTCATTCCTATTTTGTCCATCTTCGTCTAAGTTATTTGCATGTCCATGTAAATATTAGAATTTACTTTTATGTTTCTATAAAAAGCCTGCTGAGATTTCAATTGGAAATATGTTTAATGTATAAATCAGTTTAGGGGAGAACTATCATCTTAAAAATTAGTGTCTTCAAATTTATAAATTTATCATTCCATTTATTTGTCTTCTTTAATTATTCTCAACAATGTTATTTAGTTCCAGGGTGCAAGTCTTGCATATATTTTACAAATTGTTGCTCATTTCCTTGCTCTCTAGTCCTGATGGACTTAGCTAGCTGCTTTCTGAACAACTAGGAGGAAGAATGCCTTGTTCATAAAGTGGAATCAGAATGGTGCACTACAGTCTGATTCCACTACATGGGTGGAATCAGGATGGTGCACTATATCCACTAGAGATTAAAATCAAAGCAAAAAGAAAGCAAACCTCGACTGTAAAATCATATTCTATGAATAACTCAAAGAATAGCATTTGTGTCTATTAAAGGTATAGTACAAAGTTAGAGGGTATACAAATGCATATAAGACCATCATTTCTGACACCAACTGCAAGTTCAACATAACGTCCCCTAAATCTCCTCAGATTTCATCATTCACTAGAAGGTCTCACAGGATTTATTGAAAGCTGTTATATCCACGATTGTGGTTATTGTAGGAAAAGGATACAGGTTAAAATCAGCCAAGGGAGAAAGCATATATAGCAGAGTCTGGGAAAAGTATCAAAAACAAAACTTCTGTTTTACTCTCCCCATGAACTCATAGACAGTGTTAATTTCTCCACTTTGATGTGTGGTAATGCATATGAAATATTACCAACCAGGAAAGTTTACACGAATCTTGAGTATTTATTTAGGCTTCATCATGTCAGTATGGTTGACTGACAACATGGCTGATCTCAGCCTCTAGACTCTCAGGATATCAAACTAATACTTTCAGACCCAAGGGATCATCACTAAACCACATGTTACTCTCTGGCTGGCCAAAGATCTCAAACAAAGCCACTGAACAGGCATGGCATTCCATGGCATTAAGAATTACCTCTCATAAGCCAAGGCCAAAGGCAAGACCTCATTTTGGACTATGTTAAATTCTTTGATATACACAGGGATATTTAATAACTAATATTATGTTTTAGTAACAAGCTTTCAATGGTAGACAAATTTTTCTCTTGGCACATCGTGTTTTCCATATCACTATGGAAACAAAAATAATATTAATTCAACAAATATTTATGACTTTTCTGTTAAATTCAAAGAACTTCTTTGATGCTGTTGGTGTAGGAATGAAAAAAATAAAATTGGCCTATTGCTGAATGAAACTTACATTTAAATTAGAGTTGTCAATAAGGAAATAAGCTAATTTTTTGAAAGCCTAATATTGAGATCCAATCCTGGACTCTGGAAATATGGAAGTAAACAAACAATCAAACACACACACACACACTCACACACACACACGCACGCACACGCTGCTAACCTCATGTAGCTTGTCTTTTTTTTAATTTTTATTTTAATTTCAATTTTTCCATAAGTTATTGGGATACAGGTGGTATTTGGTTAAACACGTTCTTTAGCGGTGATTTGTGAGATTTTGGTGCACTCATCACCTGAGTAGTATACACTGCACCGTATTTGTAGTCTTTTATCCCTAGTTCCTCTCCCACCCTTCCTCTTAAGTCCCTAAAGTCCGTTGTATCATTCTTATGCCTTTGCATCCTCATAGCTTAGCTCCCACACATCAGTGAGAACATAAGATGTTTGGTTTTCCATTCCTGAGTTACTTCACTTAGAATTATAGTCTCCAATCTCATCCAGGTCACTGCAAATGCCATAAATTCATTCCTTTTTATGGTTGAGTAGTATTCCATTATATATATATATATATCATATCATATCATTATATATATCATTATATATATCATTATATATATATCATTTTATATATATCATTTTATCAGTTTCTTTATCGACTCACTGATTGATGGACATTTGGGTTGGTTCCACGATTTTGCAATTGCGAATTTTGCTGCTATAAACATGCCTGTGCAAGTATCTTTTTCATATGATGACTTTTTTTCCTCTGAGTAGATACCCAGTAGTGAGATTGTTGGATCAAATGGTAGTTCTACTTTTAGTTCTTTAAGGAATATCCACATTGTTTGCTGTAGTGGCTGTATTAGTTTACATTCCCACCAGCAGTGTAGAAGTGTTGCATGTTCACAGCATCTACACCAATATCTGCTGTTTCTTGATTTTTTTATTATAGCCATTCTTGCAGGTGTAAGATGGTATTGCAATGTGGTTTTGATTTGTGTTTCCCTGATCATTAGTGATGTTGAGCATTTTTTCATATGTTTCTTGACCATTTGTATATTTTTAGCATTGTGTATTCATGTCCCTACCCAAATTTTTGATGAGATATTTTTTCTGATTTGTTTGCGTTTGCTGTAGATTCTGGATATTAGTCCTTTGTCAGATGTATAGATTGTGAAGATTTTCTCCCACTCTGTGGGTTTTCCATTTTCTCTGCTGACTGTTCTTTTGCTGTGCAAAAGCTCTTTAGTTTAATTAGGTCCCAGCTATTTATCTTTGTTTTTATTGCATTTGCATTTGAGTTCTTGGTCATGAAATCCTTGCCTAAGCCAATGTCTAGAAGGTTTTTTCCAATGTTATCTTCTATAATTTTTATAGTTTCAGTTCTTAGATTTAAGTCCTTAATCTATCTTGAGTTGATTTTTGTATAAATGAGAGATGAGGATCCAGTTTCATTCTCTTACATGTAGCTAGCCAATTATCCCAGCACCATTTTTTGAAGAGGGTATCCTTTCCCCACTTTATGTTTTTGTTTGCTTTGTCAAAGATCAGCTGTCTGTAAGTATTTGGGTTTATTTCTGGGTTCTCTATTTTGTTCCACTGGTTTATGTGCCTATTTTTATACCAGTACCATGCTGTTTTGTGACTATGACCTTATAGTTTAGTTTGAAATCAGGTAGTGTGATGCCTCCAGATTTGTTCTTTTGCTTAATCTTGCTTTGGCTATGCTGGCGCTTTTTTTGGTTCCATATGAATTTTAGAATTGTTTTTTCTAATTATGTGAATAATGATGGTGGTATTTTGATGGGAATTGCATTGAATTTGGAGATTGCTTTTGGCAGTATGTTAAGTATGGTAATTTTCACAATATTGATTCTACCCAGCCATGTACCTGGGATGTGTTTCCATTTGTGTCGTCTGTGATTTATTTCAGCAGTGTTTTGTAGTTTTCCTTGTAAAGGACTTTCACCTCCTTGGTTATATATATTCCTAAGTATTTCATTATTTTTGCAGCTACTGTAAAAGGGTTTGAGTTCTTGATTTGATTCTCAGCTTGATTGCTGTTGGTGTATAGAAGAGCTACTGGTTTGCGCACATTAATCTTGTATCTGGAAACTTTGCTGAATTCTTTTACCAGTTCTAGGCACTTTCTGGAGGAGTCTTCAGGGTTTTCAAGGTAAACAATCATATCATTAGAAAACAATGACAATTTGACTTCCTCTTTACCAATTTGGATGTCCTTTATTTCTTTCTCTTGTCTGATTGCTCTGGCTGGGACTTCCAGTACTGTGTTAAAGAGGAGTGGTGAGAAGGGGGGCATCCTTGTCTTGTTTCAGCTCTCAGAGGGAATGCTTTCAACTTTTCCTCCTTCAGTATTATGTTGGCTGTGGGTTTGCCATAGATGGCTTTTATTATGTTGAGGTACGTCCCTTGCATGCCAATTTTGCTGAGAGTCTTAATCATAAAGGGATACTGGATTTTGTCAAAGGCTTTTTCTGCATCTATTCAGATGATCACGTGATTTTTGTTTTCAATTCTGTTTATGTGGTGTATCACATTTATTGACTTGCTTATGTTAAACCATCCCTACATCCCTGGTATGAAACTCACTTGTTCATGGTGGATTTTCTTTTTGATATGTTGTCGGATTCGATTAGCTAGTGTTTTGTTAAGGATTTTAGCATTTATGTACATCAAGGATATTGGCCTGTAGTTTTGTTTTTTGGTTGTGTTCTTTCCTGGTTTTGTTATAAGGGTGATGCTGGCTTCACAGAATGAATTAGGGATGTTTCTGTCTTTCTCTGTCTTGTGTAATAATAGTGTCAAAAGGATTGGTACCAATTCTTCTTTGAATGTCTAGTAGAATTCTGTTGTGAATCCGTCTGGTCCTGGACTTTTTTTGTTGGTAATTTTAAATTACTGTTTTAATCTTGGTACTGGTTATTGGTCTGTTCAGGGTAACTAATTCCTCCTGATTTAACCTAGGAGGGTTGCGTTGTTCCAGGTATTTATCTCTCTCTTCTAGGTTTTCTAATTTATGTGCGTGAGAGTGTTCATAGCAGTCTTGAATGATCTTTTGTATTTCAGTAGTGTCAGTTGTAACATCTCCAATTTCATTTCCTAATGAGGTTATACAGATCTCTCTTCTTTTTTTGGTTAATCTTGATAAAAACCTAACTATTTTATTTATCTTTACAAGAAACCAACTTTTTGTTTCATTTATCTTTTGCATTTTTTTGTTTCAATTTCATTTAGTTCTGCTCTGATATTGGTTATTTCCTTTCTTATGCTGGGTTAGGGTTTGGTTTGTTCTTGTTTCCCTAGTTCCTTGAGGTGTGACCTTAGAATGTCAGTTTGTGCTCTTTCAGTCTTTTTGATATAGGTGTTTAGGGCTATGCATTTTCCTCTTAGCTCCACCTTTACTGTATCCCAGAGGTTTTGATAGGTTGTGTTATTATTGTCATTCAGTTTGAAGAATTTTTATTTCTATCTTGATTTTGTTTTTGACCCAATGCTCATTCAGAAGCAGGTTATTTAATTTCCATGTATTTGCATGTTTTGAAGGTTCCTTTTGGAGTTGATTTCCAGTTTCATTGCACTGTGGGCTGAGAGGGTGCTTGATATAATTTCGATTTTCTTAAATTTATTGAGGTTCATTTTGTGGCCTATCATATGGTCTATCTTGGAGAAAGTTCCATGTGCTGTTGAGTAGAAATAGAATGTGTACTGTGCAGTTGTTGGATGAAATGTTCTGTATTTATCTGTTAGGTCCATTTGTTCAGAAATAGTTTAAATGCATTGTTTCTTTGTTGACTTTCTCTCTTGATGACCTGTCTAGTGATGTCAGCGGAGTATTGAAGTCCCCACTGTTACTATGTTACTATCTATCTCATTTCTTAGATCTATTAGTAATTGTTTTATAAATTTGGGAGCTCCAGTGTTAGGTGCACATATGTTTAGGATTGTGATATTTTCCTCTTGAAAAAGGCCTTTTACCATTATATAATGTCCCTCTTTGTCTCTTTTAACTGATGTTTCTTTAAAATTTGTTTTGTCTGATAGAAGAATAGCTACCCCTGCTAGCTTTTCGTGTTCATTTGCATGAAATTCCTTTTTCCACCCCTTTATTTTAAGTTCATATGAGTCCTTTGTGTTAGATGAGTCTCCTGAAGGCAGCAGAGAGTTGGTTGGTGAGTTCGTATTCATTTTGCATTTCTGTATCTTTTACGTGGAGCATTTAGCCCATTTACATTCAACGTTAGTATTAAGATATGAGGTACTGTTGCATTCATCATGCTATTGCCTGTGAACCTTTATTTCGTTTTGTTTTTTGTTTTTGCTTTTTAACTTGCATTTTTGTTTTATAGGTCCCTTGTGATTTATGCTTTAAAGAGGTTCTGTTTTCATGTGTTTCCAGGAGTTGTTTCAAGATTTAGAGCTCCTTTTAGCAGTTTTTGTACTGGTGGCTTGGTAGTGGTGAGTCTCTCAGCATTTGTTTGTCAGAAAAAGACTGTATTTTTCCTTCATATATGATGCTTAGTTTCACTGGATACAAAATTTTTGCCTGATAATTGTTTTGTTTGAAGAAGCTGAAGATAGGACCCCAATCCTTTCTAGCTTGTAGGGTTTCTGCTGAGGTATTTGGATGTCTAGGTTTCTAGCAAGGCTGGGGATGTTTTCCTTGATTATTCCCCCAAATATGTTTTCCAAACCTTTATATTTCTTCCTCAGGAACATCAATTATTCTTAGGTTTGATCGCTTAACATAATCCCAGACTTCTTGGAGGCTTTGTTCATATTTTCTTATTCTTTTTTCTTTGTCTTTGTTGGATTGGGTAATTCAAAGATCTTGTCTTTGAGCTCTGAACTTCTTTATTCTACTTGTTCAACTCTATTGTTAAGACTTTCCAGAGCATTTTGCATTTCTATAAGTGTGTCCAATGTGTCCTGAAATTTTGATTGTTTTTTCTTTATGCTATCTATTTCCCTGAATATTTCTCCCTTCTCGCATTATTTTTTGGATTTCCTTGTATTAGTCTTCACTTTTCTCTGGTGCCTCCCTGATTAGCTTAATAACTAACCTCCTGAATTACTATTCAAGTAAATCAGAGATTTCTTTTTGGTTTGGATCCATTGCTGGTGAACTAGTGTGATTTTTGGGGGATGTTAAAGAACCTTGTTTTGTCATATTACCAGAGGTGGTTTTGTGGTTCATTCTCATTTGGGTAGGCTCTGTCAGAGGGAAGGTCTAGGGCTGAAGGCTCTTGTTCAGATCCTTTTGTCCCATGGGGTGTTCCCTTGATGTAGTACTCTCCCCTTTTCCTATGGATGTGACTTCCTGTGAGCCAAGCTGCAGTGATTTTTATCTGTCTTTGGGGTCTAAACGCCCAGCAAGTCTACCTGGCTCTGAGCTGGTACTGGAGGTTATCTGCACAGAGTCCTGTGATATGAACCATCTATGAGTCTCTCAGCTGTGGATACCAGCACTCGTTCTGGTGGAGATATATAAGGAACTGAAAATTAAATATAGCATTTTAAGAGATACTAGGAGATGCCATTTTCATTAAGCTGGTCAGAGACGATCCCACTGAGGATCAAATGTTTATATGAACAGCTAAATGAAAGAAAGAAAGGTGAGAATCATTAAGTAACACCTTCCTCGCCAGGTACAGTGGCTCACTCATGTAACCCCAGAGCTTCAGAAGACCGAGGCAGGAGGATTGCTTGAACCCAGGAGATCAAGACCAACCTGATCAACATAGGGAGATCCTGTTTCTAAAAATAAATAAATAAATAAATAAATAAAGTAAAAAATAAAAAAAATAAAAAAATGACCCAGGCATGGTGGTACATGCCTGTGGTCCCAGATACAAGGGAGGCTGAAGTGGAAAGATTGCTTGAACCCAGTGGATTGAGGCTGCAGTGAGCTGTAATTGTACCACTGCACTCTGGCTTAGGTGACACAGCAAGAAAAAACAAAAGAAAAGAGGAAAGTAAAGGAAAGGAAGAAAAGCTTTTTTATAAGATAGTTGAGGTGAAACAAACCTGGAATACTTAAGGAATGGCAAAATGTTCAAGGAGCTGAAGGGAATAAAAGAGTGAGCAGACAAAAATAATGTTGGAGAAGGTAATTTCCTGAATATTACATTAAAGACTTTCTCCCAGTTTTTTTGAAATGTCATTGGAGTTTTAAGGAAGGTAATGATGTGATTGGTTAGAAGTTTTGAAAGGATGATCCAGATTCCTATGACAAAATGGAAAATAATTAGGAAAGACTAACAGAGAGCTCAGTTAGGAAATTATCGCAGTATCTTAGGAAAAAGTTGATTATAGCTTTATCTAAGGTAATGGTAGACAAGTTAGGATTAAGTGCATGGATTGGAGATCTATTTTGTGGAACTAATAGAATTTGCTGATGGATTGGATACACAGCATAAGAAAAGAGAAGAGTCAAAGATGAATTGAAGCAACAGTGTACCAGTAAATGTTTGATAAATGGCTTTTCAAAATTATGTGTGTGTATATTTGTAGCACACAATATCCAAATATTAATGAGATATAAAATACATATTATGATTTTCATATAACCAATTTATTCAAGACATATTGTTGATTGTTCTTTTTTCTGCCAAAATTTTGTATCTGTAGACAACCTATGATTACAATTCAACCATGATGTGACAAATGGAGTAGCATGAAAATGTACTAACTCTTATTAAATCTGATTTGTGACATACTGTTAATTTCTCAACCATGAATATTAACTTACTGCTAATTTTTCACTGATAATTTTATGTTTTTTGAACTGAAATGTCTGTCAGCTAAATGTGATCAGTACTGATCCCAATTGTTTTCTCACTTGAAAACTATTACTCACTTGAAAACTATTTCTCACTTAAAACTATTTATCACCTGAACTTTTTGTATAGTTTCAGGTATTCGAATATAGTTTCATTCTATAATTTAATAGTGGATTATTTTAAAAATCAGCTCACAAAATTTCTAAAGAAATAACAATAAGCTGTGAACAGTTCTCTGAAAAAGAATTTGGAGGAAAGATACATTATTCCAATGAAAAGTTTGCAAACCAGGAAGATGCAGACTTTGGTGTAAAATAAAGGTGTGTTCCAGGGAACAAATGGAGGGTTTGGGTTTTAAAGCAAAAGTTCCTGCTCAGGTTTCCAGTCAGTTCATTTATTTAAATGAAGACAAAAACTTGCTTAGTTTGATTGATCACTGCAGCTGAGTTTTGATTGGTTAATGCATATGAACCCTGATTGGTTGATACAGCTAAACTTGGAAAAGTCTCAAATTTAAACAGAGGTTTGGGTTTTAAGAGAACTTATTCTAGGTGTGTGACCTTTAGTCAGCAAATGGCCATTTGACTCTATAGAAAATTTAGACCCAGATAGTCACATGGGATCATCTTGAAGGTTTGGCCCTCTCAGGTTCACATCTGTTAACAAGGCTTTCATAAATCAGTACCAATCAGCTCCATAATATACCTGATTCTCTGGTTCTGGCTTGAGCAACTCCATGTATAATGGCATCATTTCTTGATATCAGGAACATGGTAAAACAACAAGACTGGTGGGCAGTGGGTATTGAAAACTACACTGGGGCTTTTTAGTTACAAATGTCTATTACAGCTGTCCCCAATTTTTTGGCACCAGGGACCTGTTTCATGGAAGACAACTTTTCCACAGACCACAGGGAGTGGGGTATAGTTTCGGGATGATTCAAGTACATTACATTTATCATCAAATTTTCATAAGGAGCACACAACCTAGATCCCTCGCATGCACAGTTCACAATAGGGTTTGAGCTCCTATGAGAATCTAACGTCACCGTTGATCTGACAGGTGGTGGAGCTCAGGCGTAATGCTCAGTTGCCCACTGCTTACTTCCTGCTGTGTGGACGGGTCCCTAACAGACCTTGGACAGGTATCCGGTTGCAGACACAATAGGTAATTGTTTCTAATTAACAATTACATATATAAATTTGGAATTCAGGGGGAGGTCAGGACTAGAAACAATTTTGCATGTATTAAAAACAGTACATAAAAGTATTTAGAACCATCAGTGCAGATAGAATCACAAATAATACTGTTTTTCAGTATTAATGCAGAAGAAAAGAGGCTGTAGGCCTGAATCCTGGCATATTTTACTAACAGTAGAAATATCATTTGAAGATGCTTGAGAAGGAATATTGAGGAAACAGGAACATGACATAGTATGAAACCCAGGAAGATAAAAAAAGAGTGTTTCAAAAGGACAGAGTGAGAATATGTATTAAATGGAGGTGAGAGGACCGTAAAGGAGTACTAAGGCTTGACCATTGAACATGGTGACTTTGACAAGAATTATTTCCGTACGGTGGTGGGGAAGAAAGTGTAATTGTAATGCCATCATAGGAAGTAGAGGTAGTAAAAGATAATTATTGTAGTAATTCTGTAATAAAAAGAATTATAGAAAAAAGATGTAGCCTACAGGGAAATGTAAGGTCAAAGAAAGGGATAATTTTAAGAAGGGAAAACTGTAATAGGTTTGTATGTTATTAGCATAATAAAATCTGAAAATGTTGTGAGTAGTATTAATCTGCTCAGGCTGCAATAACAGAATGCCACAGGTTAAGTGACTTGAACAACAGAAATTTATTTTCTCAAAGTTCTGAAAATTGCAAGTTCAAGATGAAGGTACCAGCATATTTAGTTTCTGATGAGACCTCTCTTCCTAGCTGGCAGATAAGCGCTTTTATTCTGTGTCTTTACATGGCCTTCTCTCTGTGCCCTCACAGACAGAGAGGGATCTCTGGTGCCTTTTGATATTCTCATAAGGACACTAGTCCTTTTGGAGTAGGGCCCCAGTCTTATGACACCATTTAGCCATAATTACCTCCTTAAAGACCCTATCTTCAAACAAAGTTACACTGGGTGTTAGGACTTCAACATAAAAATCTGGTAAGGACAAAATTTTATCCATAACAAGCACATGTCTTTAATATTTTTCAACATTATTGTATATATACACTGTGCTTACTCTTTTAAAATAATATGGAATGGAAATTCTATATCCTACATATATAATATATAATTAGAATCTCTAAAATGAAAGAAATCTTGGCAATCATTTAGTCCAGGGTCAGCAAGCTATATTATGTAAGTCAAATCCAAATTTATTTGGTGAACAAAGTTTTTTCTTTTGAAAACAGTGTACATTCATTTGTGTAATTTACATCCTCTTTTGTGCTAAACCAAAGAGTTAAGTAGATGCAACAGGGATTATATGACCCACAGATCATAAAATATTTACTTTCTTGCTCTTTACTGAAAAAAAGTTCGCAGATTCTAATCTAGTCCATACCACTCATTTTACAGAAAAGAAAACTGAAGTTTAGATATGCTAATTAAAGTTATTAAGCTTAATGGTAGACACCCTTCAAGATAGCCTGGAATGAGTCTCAGCTCCTGGTATACAGGCTGTTCCTCCAATATTGAAGCAGGGCCCGCCAGTGTGAACAACAGAGTATGACAGAAGAGAGAGTATGTGACTTCTGACGTAAGGATAAGGGTATTAAATCTTTCTTGCTCTTGATCTGGTTCTGGGGAAGCCGGATGTTATGGAATCAGGACACTTAAGCAACCCTATTAAGGGGCCCATGTGGAGAAAAACTAAGGCTATATCACTATATAAAGTAGTAAGTACCAATTTGCTACTTTACATAAATTAACATTTTGCAAATGGCGCCTCCATCCCAGTAAGGCCTTCAGATGACCAGAGCCCCAGAATAACTCATTGGAACCTTAGGAAACAATCTGAACAAGAACTGCATAATCAAGTTATTCTGGATTTCCCAATTCTCTGAAATTATAAAGATGTAATAATTACAATTGTTTAAACTACTTAAGTTTTGGAGTGATATGTTACAAAACATGAGGTAGCTAATATAGTGTCAGAAAAAAAGTTGTTCTTAAATATATCCATAAAGTAAAAGAAGGAAAAAAATTGTTGGAGAGTTTGTTTTGTTATGTTTTATATTTGTTCTTACAACTTAAACTAGATATTTATAAACTGCATAATCCAAGTCGAAAATCTGCTTTTAGATTTAACTTAAAATGTGTTGAAATTTTTATTCACAGAATTTTTCACTTTATCTTAAAAATGTGAGAAATAAAGATAATTTTTGTTAATGAGTAATCATTAATTAAATTCTACATTAGTAATCTGAGTAATTAAAGGAGAACGTAAAATACTCTTTGAGTCAGGAGCCAGTGTGATACCAAGAAGTATATTAATGAATTTTGTAAGGATATATGTAATCCATATTCCTACTACCAATTTACAATAGATTTCCAAAAACATTCAATCTAAGTTAGTGAGCCTAATTGCAAAAACAGCACTAAGCATTAGTCTTTTAGACTTCTTACAAATCTGACTTTAAACATCTTTTCTATGTTTACCAAGATTTACAGAGACAGAATAAACTTATATTTCCTTGTACATATTTATTGCTTAAGAAAATAAATTTGGGAAAGAGAATGATTTATTAACTCCATACAAAAAGACAAAGCCAAGCACATTCTCTTGATCCAATTTTTTAATTTAATTTTTTAAGGGAGGATAGTCATAAATGTAAATTAGAATATATAAAAAGCATTTTCTCCAGACACTTATATATATTTCTTAAACTAGTCCAAAAACTTTTTCTTAAGATTTTTTTTCAAATTCAAAATTACTGCCAAATTCCAGAATTGGGAAATCCATGAATCAGTTATTTTTACTCTGCATAAGATATTAGATGAAGAAATATATGCACTTATTCTTAAAACTGTTTGTATAGATTTCCAAAATATCTTGCATCTGTAACTCTTAATTTCAGCTGTACATATTTTGCATAATTTATTAGTTCTCCCCCCTTCCCCTAAAGTATGATCAAGTTCCTACTCTTTGAAAGATGTGCCACCCTGCTCTGTGGGTGATTCAATGGTATATAAGTAATGTGACTTGATTTGTGTCTATCTGGAGAAGTAAAGCATGAATACAAATAAAAAAAAAGACAGTAGAAAATGATTAGAGCCTTTAGAGAGCAATAAATTAAACGCTATCATAGCATATATAAAAAAATAGTTCTAGTCCATGAAAGAAAAATTACAGAGGGGATGTGTCATTTCATTTTTAGCATATATCTGATTTAAAAATCTGGAGTTTGGGAAATGAGGAAGGATGGGACCATTTTTTCTCCACATTTTTTCTGCATTATAGAAAAGCATAACCAAAGGCATGTTACTGGAAGGAATCGCAGAATATAACATGAGGCTATCGGTATAGCCTTTTTGCTCTGATCATAGGGGTAGTATAGAGAAGCTGGTAATGTCAGCTGTAACAAAAGTTAAATGGCACGAATCACTCAAAATTAGAACAGAACAATGCTATTATTTGACCAGAGCTTCAGGGAGTTTACTAGGTATTACAATGAGATAAGACAACCCACAGGATGAGATAAAATATTCGTAAACTACCCATCTGACAAGAAATTGATAAGTAGAACAGATAAGGAATTCAAACAACTCAATAGGAAAAATATCTGATTTTAAAATGGGCAAAATACCTGAATAGACATTTCTCAAAGAAGACATACAAATGGCCAGCACATATATAGAAATTTACTCAGCACCGCGAATCATCAGAGAATTGGAAATCAAAACTACAGTGAGATATTATCACACTCAAGCTAACAGGACTTTAATCTAAAAGACAAGCAGTAATGAATGCTGGCAAGGGTACGGAGTGAAAGGAAATCTTACACACCGTTGTAGGTGGAAATGTCAATTAGTACAGCCACCATGGAGAACAGTATGGAGGTTCCTCAAAAAATTAAAAATAGAACTACCATATGATCCAGCAATCCCTTTGCTGGGTATATGTCCAGAAGAAAAGAAATCAGTATTTTGAAGAGATATTGGCACTGCCATGTTTATTGCAACGTTATTTACTATAGCCAAGATACCCAAGCAACCTAAATGCCTATCAGTGAATGAATGGATAAATAAAATATGGTACATATACACAACAAAATATTCTTCAGCCAAAAAAAAGAATGAAATCCTTCATGGATGGAACTGGAGGACATGATGTCAAGTGAAAATAAGCCTGGCACAGAGAGACAAATATTGCATGTTGCCACTCATATGTGGGAGCTAAAAAAATTTAAACTAATGGAAATAGAGAGTAGAATGATGGTTACCAGAATCTGAGAAGGGTAGCAGAGAGGGGAGGATAAAGCATGATGGTTAATGGGACAAACTTATAGTTAGATAGAATGAATAAATCTAGTATTCAGTAGCACAATGGAATGACTATAGTTACTAATAATTATAACAATAATTATTATACTTTATAACTTTTGGGGTATAATTGTAACATTCCTAATACAAAGAAATGATCAATGCTTGAGTTGTGGATATCTCAATGACCCTGATTTTATCATTACACATTTTCTACTTGTATCAAAATATCACCTGTACCCCGTAAGTATATACAACTCTTATGTACCCATAATAATTATTTTTTTTAAAAGAAAGTATAGCCAGTATGGGAACCAGTTAAAATCACGTTTATGATAAGCTGGCAAGAAGATACAAGTGCCTGAGCTAGGTGTTCCCAATAGAAATGAACAATAGAAAGGGCCAGATTTCGGAGATTATACTCTGTGGTAAAACATTTGTTTTTAATGACTGAGTTGTCATAGATATGAATACAGTATATAAAATAAGTAACTTTTTAATGAAAAGATACACTTTTTGCCTGTTAAATCTTGGCTTATATCAAGTAAAAGAAACTCCCAAAGCCCATTGTAATTGGAGTCATGTGCTGACAGTAAGATGGACATCTTATAAGAAATTCTCAAGTTACGCATGGAAGGAGAGCTGAGTCATCCACCAGGGAATGGAGCATTTTCAAACCCTAAACCAGCTAATCAGAAGATCTCACCCAGGAGAGTGAACTAAGAATTAAGTCAAAACAACACTGGTGAGCTGAAATATGTCGAGAGGATATGGTATGGAAGACTCACAATAACATGTTTTTAAATGCTTCATTTTACTATGATTGAACCTGTAGATGATGAATTACTTTTGCCATTTGTGTGATTTCCATAAATTCAAATTTGCATAAATGTCCACAAATTCAAATGCTGATCAATCATTCCTAACATGCATTTGAGATTAATGCAAAATTTGTTTCAATTTATTTTAAAAAATAATGGGATGGGGATAAGATAATTTAGAAAATAATCAATATATTCAATATGACTTTGGTTTCTCAGACTTGCCTTTATATATGGAAAAATAGCAATATGGAGGAATAGCATGAAATCTAACAAAATATTTTAAACAAGTTAAGAGTTAAAAAATATGTAAATAAAGTGAGACTTTGTCCAATAGTTTATTTATTTTACTCTGTTAAATACATGGCTTTTGATTACCTAAGGTAACCAAAAAAATATTATCAGCTTCTTACATTCTGGGAAAACAGTATATTCACGAAACTAACAGATGGAGGAAAGGGAAATGACAGTGAGAGAAGAAAGAGAGTGAAGGGAGTGAAGAAACAGAGAAAGTGAAAGGAGAGAATGAAGAAACAAAGCGAAGGGAAGGAGGGAAGAGACAGAGGGAAACAGACAGAGAGAGAGAGAAATTGTTTATTTTTCCTTGTATGCCCCTTCTCTGAAAGTTGCTAGCAGATGACTCAACTAAGGCCAAGTAAATATAAGCAAATAGATGTCTTCAAGGTATGTGAATGACTCACTGAATTATTCATTTCTGTTTCTATGTTTTGCATTTCAAAGATAAAATTTAAAAGTATTGAATCCATATTCTTCCTATAAAACTTCTGATGAATTCTTTTTTTAGCTCAGGAAGAGAAAAATACACAAAGATAAGACGAACAAAATAAACAAAAATGTTAATTAAAAGAGATACCTTAACATTAGGAATCTAACTTTCCAACTGTGTAGAATTGACAGTGTAATGTATTTTTAAAATAATAATGTGAAAGAAAAATATAATTTATAAACTGTACAAAATCTAGATCGATATTTTGTGAGGACAAACATAATATTTTATGCTTTCAAGGTTAATATATTCTTTCATGTAGGCTAAAAAGTATCAGCTAAGAGCCAATTACAAAATTTGAATCAAGATTGTGCCTTTTTAAAGCCTATTCCCAAGTCACCTCTGATCTTTCCTTTAAGCTATTTGTATTCTGTGGGTTGTGATGTTGATACTTACAATTTGCGATACATTATAATATCACACTTACATATTTTATTCCCTGCAGCTGCTGATTTTTGCATATGTGGAAAATGAGCAGGGCAAACACATAAGTTTACTTTTAAGAAGTTGTGGATAGAAATAAAAATAAAAAATTCCTTAACCTTTTTTTTCGTATATAAGAAAAAACAATAAAAAGTAGTCAGTAGGAACTTCTCCTCTCAATATTATTCTACTACTGGGACAAACGTTAATTTTTTCCTTATAATAATTTATATATTTCTAAATGTATTCCAAGTGTGAACATCTTTTCCTGAATAGCTGCATCATGAAAACTTTCTTTTTACTTGATATTTCTGTAAGCTCTTTATTTTTCCATGAATTACATTTCTATAAAAATTGCCAATAAAAATATGTCTGTCAAAATGCATCTTCAAATTTTATGTCACATTCATGAGATAGATGTTTCTAGAAATCTGTCAGTAATCTGATATTAGTGGTCAAGGTATGGATTTTAGAATTCAAATGTTAAATTTCAAATTCTGACACTGTGACCTTGAGCCTACTGCTAAGTCTCCCTCTGACTTAATTTCTTTGGTCTAAAATAAGAGTAATGCTGGTAGCAACCTCACAGGGTAATCTCCAGGAGTAAATGAGATGACACAAATATAGCACAGAGTGCTGTATAGGACACACTGCTGGTCTTCAATAAATCTGACCTATTTTTATTTTTAGCTTAGGCCAGGAGTTAGAAAATGACTCAAGGAATTTTCTTGATTTTTAAAGTATAAAAGTTCAAACTGCACCTATACTTACATATGGAAGAATCACCTATTTTATTGTTAGAAAACTTTAGGGAAAGAGTTAAAACACTTGCATCAAAATTTAAATGTACTTCCTTATTTCAGAAAAATGGTAATACATTCCTACAGATCAATTAATTAAAAAAACCTTCTCATAGTCTAAAATACAAAAAGCTACAAGCAGTTTTTATAATTTCTGTCATAGGTTTAAGTGCCATAAGAAAAGAGCATAGAAAGTGCTGTGCCAGGGCCCTTTTAAGTCGGAAAGCCAGGAAAGTTTTTCTAGGAGGCAGCATTATGCAGACTTAACTGACAAGAGGAAGGAGATGGGTAAGAAACTATATTATGAGTGGAGAAAAAACAAGTAATGCAGCTTGGAGGCATATGTATCATTCTATACATGACCCCAACCCCCTCAAAAAATAGGACGTGTTTGAAACATTCTGTTGCCAGAAAGTTTTAGTATTTCAAGTCGGAGGAATAAAACCCAAAGATATCTGTTATTGCTCAAAGACCAAAAGCACCTCCCCTTGGCCAAGTTGTGATCATTTGGGCATAAAAAGAGAATGATAAAGCTTGGGTTATAGAATATATTGATCCCATAAGAAGTCATGTGAATCTCATAATGTGAATATATAAAAACATCGATATCATCTATAATATAGAAAATCTAACATGTAACACACACTGAAACATTTGTTATTTCACTTTCAAAGTAGTAGGAATCCGGGAGTGGTTTTACGTGGTAGTTTGGCTCCAGGTCAGGTTGCAATCATCTCAAGGCTCCACTGCAGCTGAAGAATCTGCTACTGAGCTAACACACCTGGATGCTGGCAGGCCTCAGGTCCTCATGGGTCATTACTGAAGGCCTTTCAGGTGCTACTGGATCTTGGCTTTTCCCAGTAGAAAGAAAGAGACAGAGAAATTAAGATGGAAGCCACAGTGTTTCCATTTTATTTATTTATTTTAAAAATATATTTATTTTAAAAATAGATTTTTTGTTACAGTAATATATTGTATAGTGGTGAAATCTGGGCTTTTAGTGTGACCATCACCCAAATAGTGTAAATCATACCACATGGGTAATTTCTCCTCCCTCATCCTTCTCCCACCACCCCCATCCCCGCTTTTTGGAGTCTCCAATGTCTATTATTCCACTATGTATGTTCCTGTGCACTCATTCTTTAGCTCCCACCTGTAAGTGAAAATGTGGTATTTGACTTTCTGTTTCTAAGTTATTTCACTTAAGATAATGGCCTCCAGTTCCATCCATACTGCTGCGAAAGATATGATTTCCACCTTTATGACTGAGTAGAATTCCATGGTATATAAATATACCACCTTGTCTTTATTCATTCATCCATTAATGGGCACTTACGTTGATTCTATGACTTTGCTATTGTGAGTTGTGCTTTGATAAACATATGATTGCAGGTGTCTTTTTTTATATAATGATTCCTTTTTCTTTGGGTAGATACCCAGTAGTGAGATTGCTGGATTGAATGGTAATTCTAATTTTAGTTCTTTGAGAAACTTTCATGCCATTTTCTGTACAGATTGTCCTAATTGTCAGAGTGTGGTGGCACTGTAATCCCAGTGCTTTGGGAGGCCTAGGGTGGAGGATCGCTTGAGACCAAGAGTTTGAGCTACAGTGATACAGTGAGCTATGATTGCATCATTGCATTCCAGCCTGGGAGACAGAGCAGCACCCTGTCTCAACAAACAACCAAACAAACAACCACAAAAAAACCAGTGCCTTTTATTATAACCTACCCTCGAAAGTTGCTCATCATCACTTCTACTTCTTTTCTTTTTTTTTGGAGACAAAGTCTCATGCTGTCATCCAGGCTGGAGTGCAGTGGCATGATCTTGGCTCACTGCAACCTCCACCTCCTGGGTTCAAGCAATTCTCCTGTCTCAGCCCCTCGAGTAGCTGGGACTACAGGCGCCTGCCACCACAACCGGCTAATTTTTGTATTTTTAGTAGAGATGAAGTTTCATCTTATCGGTCAGGCTGGTCTCGAACTCCTGACCTCAGGTGATCCACCCACCTCGGCCTCCCAAAGTGCTGGGATTACTGGCATGAGCCACCGCACTCGGCCTTCTACTTCATTTTGTTACAAGGTAATCACTAAGTCCCAGCCACACTTAACAGAAGAAGAATTTGGGTTCAACTCTGGAAGATAGAAGTAGCAAATAATATGGATATATTTTTAAAACCTGTGAGTTATTACCTATGTGGCAAGGAAAAAATGGTGTCAAACTGTATTTTTGAAAGATAATGGCTTAATCAAATGTTGTAAATGGAAAAGGTGACTCAACTGACCTAATACATTGTGATCTGAAAATGAAAATTTCAGGATTACACTGTTAATCAGAATGAATTATTTACAAAGATTATTTTCAAAGATAGGCAAAATTTTTTGACAGTATTAACTGATGAAGTCAATATGAAACAAATGAAAGGCCAATTGACCAGGTAATGTCTGAAAAGCATAGCTAAAATAACACAAGGAGAAAGAACTGGCTTTCATGACAATTATATGTTTATAAAATTGATGAGCTTGAAAAGACTCATTGAAGTAAACATGGAACTTGACTATAGCAAGTTGGTCTGCTGATTCACGGAGGTTCAGCTATGCTAGCAAATCTACTTCTTTTCCAGGAATCAATTATTTAGCAACCCAGAACTTAAAACCTTGATTTTGGATGACGAAGTAGTCTTTTCCACTCATGTTTGATAAAGTTAATATAATTCCAGAGATATAGAAATTATCATGGGTTAGTGCACTGCAATTTTTAGAAGGTATGAGAACACATGGAAATAATTAAGAAATTAATTAAATCAGTGATATCATTTTATATAAATGTAAGTATTATAATGAGTATCATTATATTTTGCTTATGCTTTGCCTATGATTGAAGGTGTTTGCAATGTTCTAAAAACAACCATGTTAAGTTTATAAATAACAACTGAAATTCTGGATGGCTTTTATTTTTAGTCAACAATCTTTTTTTCAACAAATAGTTTATTTCAAAAAATATTTTTAATTTTACCATATTTTATCCATAACGACATAAGTATTTATTCATTAACAGGTTGATAATAATACAAAGAAATATAGAATATGTACTTAATAGTAAATACTATCTTGCACAAACCTAAGACTCATACATCAAGAACCTAATGAACAGTTTTGATGGAGACAGAATATATACAATAATTAAATAATTAATCTCTTCATTTAACACGAATATTGTGGTTGAAGCACTAGAAAAGGAGCAATGGAAACCCAAATGAAAAATGAAAAACTTTCTTTGATAATACTGCTCAAGTTGATTGTTAGGCTCTTTCTCAAACTATCACTTTTACCACCAGGTGACTGAATTATTTAAAGACTATGCTTTACAATAAATAAAAAATCACAATAAACCTATAATAATTTATATTGATCTTTAATGTAGTTGGTGTTTTTAGTATTTTCTTGCCATTGTGACTTTTACTTTCTTCTTATGGCTACAGCCTTAAGCCCTTTCCTATCAAAAAGCTTACAGATGCTAGTGCAAGCTTAAGCCTTCTCAGGAATATTGTGCACTTTTTTTCAACTTCATGAATTGATTTGTTTTTCGTGTTTCAACTAGATTTAATAGTGCAGATAAGATGAAATAAGCACACTCAGATCTTGAAATGTAATAAAATGATAATATTTTTCTGTAAAGACTGTTCTATGATTCAATTTTCTTTCCTCTTACTCTTAATGAGTTCAGTCATTTGATGTACCCAATGCATAGCTGAACATCCTGGTGCATTTCTAAAAGCTGAATAATTTGAAAATAATAATGCATTTATTATAATACAAGTAAACTTCTGACCATTCCTACTAAAAGAGGACTTTCTGAGAAAAATATCTGAATTAGAGTAAAGAAAGCTAGAAAAAAATAATAAATTCAATTTGATGATGAATTTAAATTCCCTAAAGGTAAGGATATGGTTGCCACTTAACTTCTATTCAGGGCTAAAAGTATAGTTTGATTATTTGCTTTTTCATTAAGAATCAGCAACAAGTTTTAAGCATTTTATAAAGTACATTGAAGTAGTGAGTTTAATATATTGAGCAAAATGTGGGGCTCATAGTAATATTAAAAGTGTTCATATTTTTAATCATAATCAAAGAAGATGTAGGTTGTAAATCATGATTAAAGGTTGTCATTTTCTTAGAGCTAACAAGTTAACTAAACAGAGACTGGGCTGAGGAACTGTCCACTGAATAAATGCTAAACAGAGTAGAGGCTAAATAATAGGTAGGAGACACAGAGAATTCCAAGCCTGGCAAAGTGACATTATGATTTTTTATTTATGTTTTCCATGTCTTCCCCTCACTTTGTAGCACAGAGTTAAGCATACATTAAATATAACAGAAAATTAGGAAAGGATTGGAAGACATAGGAGAATGCTAGCATATGCTCAGTTTGTGTTGTTCATATAAACTCCCAATTATGTTTTATTGCCTTCATTAAAAATTAGATTCAGTCCTCCAGAAGGTCAAGTTAGTGTAGGAATTTAGAATTGCTGTAGTGCTTCTATCAGAAAACTAAGATGAAAAACTCATATGCCATATTCAAATAAGAAGAGAGTTCAGGAAGACGGTCAAGTACAATATCAACTTACAAAATCAATAATGTTTCTTCATAAAAGCATTTACCAATTTAAAAATATAGCAGCCACAGATTGCTGGGTCTTACCCTTTGTATTTCTGACTCAGTAGGATTGGGGTGGGGCTGGATAACTTGCATTATTAGCAAGTTTCCAAGTGGTATTGATGTTACTGGTCCAGGGTTCACACTATGAGAGCTGCTGTGCAACAGAAGTCTGCACCTGTGTACCAAGAGACATGTATAGGGAAGCTTATAGCAGCATCAGTCATCATTATAAAGTATTGACAACAACTCATTATGTCAATCAACAACAGAAACTATAAATAACTCAGAGTATATTCAGACAATTGAACATTCTATAGTGGTATTAAAGAATGAACTACACTTATATACATTAACATAGCTCATTCTCGCTTTGAGCAAAAGAAAAATATCTCAGACAAATATACAAAGCATGTTTTAATGTATAAAATTCAATGTGAAACAAATTAAGATACTATATGAGAATAGCTTTATGATTAAACCATAAAGAAAAGGAAGAACATGAATAACCCAATAATAGAGAGAGTAGGTTTCCTCCGTAGGGTATGTGGGTAGTGGGGAGAATATTGTTCTGATTCTTAAGCTTGAGGTGAGTTATCGGATGTTTATTTTATTCTAAGTTGTACAGATACATGATGCATACCTTTTCTATTTAGGGTATGTGTCAGAATAAAAAAATTACAAGATAATGTGACCCCCACTCCAAAAAAAAAATAGAAAAACCTTAAGTCAAAGCAAAAAACAAACAAACAAACAAAAAACTATAACGTATGCAGAAAAAAATCCTACCAAAATGCAAAAGAATAAAAATCTAAACCAAAATAGATAAAAGAAGAATAAGGTTAAAGACAAAATTTGTCTTCTTTAAAAACATAATTGCACCCAGATTATTTATAAAACCACTGCAATGTCAAGATAAATTTCAGCAAGATGGTTCAAGGAGTAAAAATTTTATGAAAGATTAAATGTCAAAATATCTAAATCAATTTTGTTTAAAAGAGGAGGGGACTTATCCTGCCAGATTTTAAGAAATGCAACTAAACAATAGTTATCAAACTATGATGCTCTAGCCCCAAACAAATAAATGGAACAGAACAGAGGTTTCAGAAATAGATCCATGTGAATATCATATAGATGAAAGGAGACACCAGTGGGGAAACATTGTTTAGTGCGTACTGCTGTAAAAACAGATCCATGACATGGAGAAAAGTAAAGCAGAATAGCTAATTTGCAAGATACACAAAGCAGACTCATATATGGCAAGTAAAAAACATAAAGAAGGAAAGACAAGAAGATATGTTTGTTACCTTCTTTCAGGAAAGCTTTTCTTGGAATCGAGGGCGCAGGGTGGTGTCACAGGAGCCAGGAAATGTGAAGAGCTCTTGGTGGCAGCACCAGGGCCTGCACCGCGAATGATCTTCTGCCACAGCTGCAACACTGGCGGCAAGGACAAGAAACACATGGCTCTGGTGACCACGGTGGTCCGGTGGTCCGGGCCGCCATGTCTGCTTTCAGAGCCAAATCAACCACTGGGGCTGGAACTGCCCAGGAGGCCCAAAACAAAAAGCCGGTGTCCAGGCCTCCCTCCCGACACCGCTGCAAGCACCAGGGAGCCCTGAGTCAAGCAAGGCCCCAAAATTTATAGTTTTAATTCTACAAATGATTCTGGTTGTCCTGCAAGTCTGGGTAAATCTATGTTGAAAGTGGTAATTAATAACAAATTAGAGCAAGGAATTATGGGAGTGAGCAATGACAAGCAAAACAATGACAAGGGAGTGATTTCTGGAAGACTTAATGCCAAAAAATTGCAGGATTTTTACACAGCTTTACAAGCATTTTTATTTAAGACTAAGACATTGAAGATGTCACGACCAATGCTCTCTTACATGGAGGTGACCTTCATTCTGCCTTGGATTGGCTCTGTTTAAACCTTGCAAATGATGCACTGAAAGATTCAGTTAAGAATTTGAAGGGCAACAACCTAAAAGTAGGCTGAAATTGCAGTCTCCTATACAAAGCACTATTTCACCTCCATTGCAACCTAAAACAAAACAAACAAACAAAAGAATAAGACCCTAAGATGAAGCCAAAAAAGGAAGAAGGAAATATGGAAGCAAATATGAAAGAGTGGATTTCACAGTACACTAAACAACAAATGAAGAAGAAAAGAATGAGAATTCTAAAAGTTTAGAAGAATAGGAAAAAAAAAATTGACCCCAACGAAAGTTATTTACATCTTGCAGCAAAACTGCTAGATGCAAAGGAGCCAGCAGCTGCCTTTAAACTGGAAAAAAAAAAAAAACAAAAAAAAAAAAAAAAACCAAAAAAAAAAAAAAAAAAAACCAGGCAAGACCAAAAGGAGGCTCAGGAAAAAATAAGGAAATTTCAAAGAGAAATTGAAACTTTAGAAGATGATCCAGTATTTAATCCAGCCATAAAGATTTCACATCAACAAAATGAAAGAAAAAAAGCCTCCTGTGGCCATAGAAGGAGAAAGTGCATTGAACTTTTCAGTTATTTGAAAAATCTGCAGCTGCTACTGAAGAAGAGAAAGATAAAAAGAACCTCATGATGTAAGAAATTTTGACTGTACTGCTCAACGCTGAACTGGAAAATCTCCCAAACAATTTCTGATTGACTGGTTCAGGAAGACTCTTCCCAAAAGTCGAAATCCTTCCTTTGAAAAAGTTCCAGTAGGTAGATGCTGGAAATGTAGGGTTAGGGTAATCAAGTCTGAAGATGCTGTCCTGGTAGGTTGCCTACAATCTTAACAGAGGATGGCATGCAAGCTCAGCACCTGGGAGGCACTTTAGTTCTTTATCATTTAGTTAAAGGGCAGTCAGTTTATCAGTGACTTCATCCTACTTCCCAAGATGTTTGGCTGGAGTACAGTGATGAGGAAAAGAAAAGAGAAGAATTAAATAAAATGAAAACCAATAAACCATGTGATCTTTTTATTGCCCAACTTTTGAATATATTGAAACAGCAGCGACAACAACATTCTGAAAATAAGAGAGAAATCTCTAATAATCCTGAGGAATCTTGGGAAAATTTAGTTTCTGATGAGGATTTTTCTGCACTGTCCTTGGTATCAGCAAATGCGGAAGATTTGGAACATGTTAGAAACCTCTTTAGAAAGTTGCAAAGCACACCTAAGTCTTAGAGACTTCTAAAGGAAAGACAGCAGTTTCCTGTATTTAAACATCTGGATGCAGGTGTAGAAACTCTTAAAGGCACTGGGGAGTGGTTGTGGCAGGTAAAACCAGGAGTGATGAAAGTACTCAGGTACCACATTTTCTGTTGGAAGATTTGCTTCTAAATGAGTGGGGAGCAAGTAAATGTAACATTGCCTATACCTAACCTCAAAGGATCTCAGCAGTGAGTTTAGCCACCAGAGTGTGTGATGAATTGGGCTGTGAAAATGGAACTGGAGGAAGGAATTCTTTGTGTGGATATCAGATCTGGATGTTATCTGAAGCTTGTGAATCTACCAGTGTACTCTACTGTACAACAGGGGTTTTGTCAAGGAAACTTCAAGAAGATGGTCTTTTTACTAATGTGTCTCACATTATTGCAAATGAGGTTCGTACAAGAAGTGTCCAGTCAGACTTCCTACTAACTGTCTTAAAGGAAGTTTTACAAAAACATTCTGATCTCTACTTGATTCTATGAGTGCCGCTGTGGACAGTGAAAAATTTTCCACATATTTCACACACTGCCCCACTCTCAGGATTTCAGGAAGAAGTTATTCTGCTGAGGCTTTTCAACATGAAGATATAATAGAAGAAACAGACTTTGTACAGGAAAAAGAATCAGGATATTGTCAGAAATTTCTGGAGAAGGAAGAAGAAATAACCATTAATGTTACAAGCAAAGCAGGGGGATCAAAAAAAATCAAGAATATATTTCAGTTCAGACTAGAGCAAATGCTGATTTAAATCTATTCTACCAAAAGTACAGCAACTTCACTCAGCATGCTATTCTCTACACTTGAATCCTCATAAAATCAACCTGGATTTCATTTTAGAACTTCTTGCGTATTTAGATAAAAGTTCCCAAGTCGGAAATATTGAAGGAGCAGTATTAATCTTTTTACCAGGCCTTGCTCATATTCAGCAGTTGTATGATCTCCTATCAAATGATAAAAGGTTTTATTCTGAACGGTATAAATGGATAGCTCTGTATTCTGTTCTTTCAACCCAAGGTCAAGCTGCAGCACTCACACTTCCTCCTGCAGAAGTCAGAAAGATTGTTTTAGCAACAAATTTTGCAGAGACGGGTAGCGCTATTCCAGATATTGAGTTTGTAATTGATACTGGAAAAACAGAAGAAAATAAGAGCCATGAAAGCAGATAGATGAGTTCTTTGGTTGAGACATTTGTCAGTAAAGCCAGTGCTTTGCAGTGCGAGGGGAGAGCTGGGCAGGACAGAGATGGCTTCTGCTTCTGGGGGTACACAAGAGAAAAATATGAAGGCTTTATGGATTATTCTGTTCCTGAAATCTTACATGTACCTTTAGAGAAATTATGCCTTCATATTATGAGGTGTAATCATGATTCTCCTGAAGATATCCTTTTCAAAGCCTTAGATCCGCCTCAGCTCCCAGTGATCAGCCATTCAATGAATTTCCTCCAAAAAACTGGAGCTTGTAAGCTAAATGAGCCTCAGCTGACTCCGTTGGGCCAACACCTTGCAGCTTTACCTGTGTATGTCAAGACTGGCAAGACGCTTATTTTTGGTACAGTATTTGGCTGCCTTGACCCAGTGGCAACACTAGCTGCAGTTATAACAGAGAAGTCTCCTTTTACCACACCAATTGGTTGAAAAGATGATGCAGATCTTGCAAAATCAGCTTTGGCCATGGTGGATTCAGACCACCTGATCATCTACAATGCATATCTAGGATGGAAGAAAGCACGACAGGAAAGAGGTTATCATTCTGAAATCATATATTGCCAGAGGAATTTTCAAATAATAGAACGTTACTGTTCACCCTAGAGGTAATTCTTAGTATAGCTCACTCTCTCAGAGTCATGGATAACTGTAACAGGTTTATTTATTTTGGAAAAAAAGGATGCCTAGGATAATACTTGACACACAGTAAGTATTTAATAAACATTTGTTGAATTAGAACAAAAAAAGATTTTCTTAAAACAAGATCTCAAAAAAGGAAAATTTGGATAAAAAATACCTATTATTTTACTACATTAAGATCAAGGAGTTCAGCTTAACACAGGATACCAACAAAAAAGTTGAGAAGTAATAGATTGTGATAACATCTATCACTTGTTATTTATATTTAAAACAGTTTAAAATAATATAAGATTAAATAATTGATAGAAATATCTATCCTCAAATCAATGAGATGAAATACAAAATCCAATGGGGAAAAATGGACAAAGTATATAAAGAGGCAGTTCATACATGGAGCACATGAATGTCTGACAATTTCATTGGTAATCATACAAACATAAATGTAAATAATAACCATTTTATACTTGTATGGTTAGCAAAACATGAAGTTTGATTGTATAAATGATTTGGTGAATATGTAGAGACTTTGAAATGTGTATAATGCTGAAAACAGTTTAATCAGAAAAGTCATTATGGAAATAAATATGGAAACATAAAATAAAATTGAATATAAGTATATATTGTGATCTGCAGTTAAAATCCTTATACCCCAGAAATGCTTGCTCGGTTTAATTAGACTCGTGTACAGAAACATTCACGGAAGCAACATTTTTGCTAGCATTTAGATAAAGGCAACTTATACGTCTACTTACGGGAAATGGACAGTAAAACGTGGAGGAGGGCTGCATAAAAATATGGAACGTTTTGAAATAGGAAAATATGTGATTATATGCAACTGAAATCATTTTTGTTTAAAAGTTATATTAACAAAGAGTATAAGACTCACAACAGAATGCTATTTAACAGAAATAAGTAGGTATGACCATAGAAACATAAACATTCTTTGGCTTACCAAGGTGTAGGTGTGCACGCGTGAGCATGTGCATGCACGTGCACACACACACACACACAATTTAACCATAAGGGAAGGTGGTAGAGATTGTAAATGAGAAATAGAAATGATAGTTAAAAAAATTAATTTAAATAAAGGAAAGACCTTGCAAAACTGTTGATATGCCATGTACTGTGGGGTATAATAAACTCTCTTACATGTACCTAAATTCAAAACAGAAAGGAAGAAAAAAGTGATTTTAAGGAGAAAAAAAAAAAGGGAAGGAGGAGCCAAGAGGAGGGAGGAGATGAAAGTAAACAAGCAAACCTGTAAACCTCCCTTCTTTAAAAGATTTTTCCACAATTTATGTCTGAACATCGAAATTCCTTGTCTCTAGTTTGAGTATCCACGATAAATTTTATGTTTTTAACCTAAAGACTCCACCAAAAAGCTATTAAAACAGATAAATTCAATAAGCTGCAGGATAGAAAATCAACATACAAAAATCAGTAGCATTTTTATATGCCAAGAGCAAACAATCTGAAAGAGAAATCACAAAAATAATGTCATTTGCAACAGCAACAAATAAAATAAAACAAAATAAAATATCTAAGAATAACTTAACCAAAAAAGTAGAAGATCTCTACAATGAAAACTATAAAACATTAAACAAGAAATTGAAGAAGACACAAAAAATGAAGAAATATTCCATGTTCATGAAATAATCAATAATGTTAAGGTATCCAAAGCAAACTGCAAATGGAATCCAATCCCTATCAAAATACCAATGACATTCTTCACAGCAATAGAAATACAAAAAACAGTTGTACAGTATCTATGAAACCACAAAGGATCCAGAATAGCCAAAGCTATTCTGAGCAAAATGAACCTAACTAGAAGAATCACATTACCAATTTTCAAATTATACTACAGCTATAGTTACCAAAACAGCATGGTACTGGCATAAAAACATACACACAGGCCAGTGGAACAGAATACACGATCCAAATATAAATCCATATATTTACAGTAAGCTAATTTTCAAACGAGGTGCCAAGAACATACATTGGGGAAAGGACAGTCTTTTCAATAAATGCTGCTGGGGAAATAGGATATCGATATTTAGAAAATGAAACTAGAACCCTGTCTCTCACCATATTAAAAAAAGTCAAATAAAATTGATTGAAGACTTAAATCTAAAACCTAAACTTTGAAACTACTAAAAAAAATGGGGAAGTTCTCCAGGACATTGGTCTGCAGATTTCTCAAGGGCTATACCAAAAGTGCAGGCAACTGAAGCAAAAATGGTCACACAAAGCTTCTGTATGCAAAAGAAACAATTAACATTTTGATGAGACAGCACATAGAATGAGAGAAAATGTTCATTAACTATCCACCTTACAAGGTATTAATAACCAGAATATATAAGGAGCTCACACACCTCAATAAGAAAAAAATCTAATAATCTGAATTAAAAATGGGCAAAAGAACTGAATAAACATTTCTCAAAAGAAGACATACAAATGGAAAACAGGAATATGAAAAGATGCCCAACATTACTGACCATCAGAGAAATGCAAATCAAAACTACAATGAGATATCATAACACCCTTGTTAAAATGGCACTTATGCAAATGACAGGGGATAACAAATGCTGGTGAGGATGTGAAGAAAAGGGAATCCTCATACACTGTTGGTGGGAATGTAAATTAGTACAAATACTATGGGGAACAGTATGGAGGTTCCTCAACAACCTAAAAATGAAGCTACCATATGTTCCAGCAATCCTACTGTTTGTTAGGTACATATGCAAAAGAAAGGAAATCAGTATATTGAGCAGTTATCTGCACTCCTATTTTTATTGCAGCACTATTCACAATAGCCAAGATTCAGAAGCAATCTAAATGTCCATCAACATATGAATGGATAAAGAAAATGTGGTACATATACACAATGGGGTACTATTCAGTCATAAAACATGATGAAATTCTGTCATTTGAAACAACATGGGTTGAACTGGAGGACATTCTATTATGTGAAATAAGCCCAGCACAGAAAGACACACTTCACATTTTCTCACTAATTTGTTGGAGATAAAAATTAAAATCATTCAATACCTGGAGATAGAAAGTAAAATGATGGTTACCAGAGGATGGGAAGGGTAGCGGAGTAGGGGGAGGTGGAAGTGGGATTGTTTTAATGGATACAAAAATATAGTTAGACAGAATGAATAAAATCTAGTATTTGAGAGCGCAACAGGATACAGTCAACAACAATTTGTTTATTTTTAAATAAAAGAATATACTTGGAATGTTTGTAATACAAATAAATGATAAATGCTTGAGGTAATGGACACTGCATTTATCCGATGTGATTATTATGCATTGCATGCATGTATCAAAAAATCTCATGTATCCCATATATGTACACCTACTATGTACCCATAAAAATAAAAAAAAATATAAACAAAATTTGACGCATTTGCCATACGAGATAAAATGCATTTTGCAAATATGGGATGAATTTGTCTGAAAACTAAGAAATCCCTGCTGGTCTGAGAAATTACAGACTAATTGTTTTGAAATGTGTCACATATTATGAATTTGAGCTTGCTGGCTGTGCCTTTTAGAATGATAGCACCAAATTATGTAAGTTCTGATGTAGTTAATTTATTCTTGGATACCTCACTGTCATCTTGCTCAGTTTCTGTGTGTTACTATGGCATGGTTATCTCAAAGGTAAAGCATGCTCCTGGAAGATATGGATGATGTAAATCTAATGAGTGACACATCACATTTTCATTTACTAGGACGTAGCTGAGACAAAGGGGTGATTTTAAGAGCGTTAGTATTGTCTCAACAGGTCGGTGTAAATATTAACAGAAACAATCGGGTTCACAAAGAAATATGAAACTCCTTAGAAAGTGTAAAAATTGATTTAAAAAATGTCAGTAAGACTTTACATAGATATTTATTTCATGTGGTTCAAATTTTATTTTTACCAGCAATTCCATTTGAAATATTTATTGTTATTGTGGTATTTGATAATCTCTGATTTTCTAAAAATTTTAACCCATAAAAATGACATTTTGCTTGTAATTATATATCCGAGTATCTACATCCTTCCAAGCTTGGTATCATTTGCCCTGTGTTTATTGGCCCAGGCATACTGTATACCTAAGAAGCCTGCCAGGCCGGGCGCGGTGGCTCATGCCTGTAATCCCAGCACTTTGGGAGGCCAAGGTGGGTGGATTGCCTGAGCTCAGGAGTTGGAGACCAGCCTGGCCAATATGGCGAAACCCTGTCTCTACTAAAAATACAAAAGTTAGCCAAGCGTGGTAGCAGGTGCCTGTAGTCCCAGCTACTACTACTCGGGAGGCCGAGGCAGGAGAATCACTTGAACCCGGCAGGGAGAGGTTGCAGTGAGCCGAAATCGTGCCACAGAACTCCAGCCTCAGTGACAGAGTGAGACTCCATCTCAAAAAAAAGAAAAAAATAAAGGCACCTGCCTGCCAGACAGGTGCTAATAAGTTATCAGTTCGGTGCTGATTATGTCCTGTGCCTAGGTTTCTTCTACCTTCTATTTCAGTAATTCAAGGCTAAATTCTCATACCCAGATTAGTTGTATTTCAGGCCCAAATGAACTTCCTCTGCAGATGCTATCTCGGTAATAGCTGCTGCTGGACCTCTGTGGTGGTTATGCTTACCTGACAGGCCCCATAATAACCCTTCACTCTGCCTAGAAAAAAATGTCTTAAATTTTGAAACTCTTTATAAAACTCGACCAATGTTAATTACATCTCCTCTATTCTACCTTTATTCAACCGATCTACAATTTTAGTTCTAATTTCTGAACTCATAGCTTTGCAACTTTGCCTACAAATTAGAAAGTTGTGCTTCTGTCCATGTTTGCTATTGCAGCATTTACTTTGCCTAACACAATGTCTGGATCAAAGGCTACCACAGTCCATGCTAAGATGTTATAGATTGGAATGTAGGCAGGAATGACTTAATTTGCTGCAAAAGGAGCTAAATGAGAAGGATAATACTCGGGAACTGGTATTGATTGTTAAGTTGGAGCACTGCCAGAGGTGGTAAGATATGAAGACTCATAGGCATTTACTGGACTTGGCAAAATAATAAAGTAACAGTTGCTCTAATAGGGTGCAGCACAATTCTCTGGGTGGGCTTGTACTTACTCAGTTCTCCCCCCTTTCTTGCTTGTAGTTTTCAAGAATAACTGCAGAATATATTGGGAATGCTAGATCCTGAGATAGGTAGAAACTGCTTGAAAAAGCCTGGGCTTTGTTTTTCTTTCCTGTGAAATCAAGCGGAGATTCCAAGCTTTAGTTCAGTGAGTCAAGCTTCCCTGAACTATATAACCCATGGTGGGCTGCATTTTGGGGTCCTATGCAAGTGGGACACATGCAGTTAAGACTCTATCCTCCCCAGGCAGTTTTCTTGACACTTTGGGACCAGCTCACAAACCTTAGGCTTTTCTGGTCCGTCGTTGCCTATTTGCACATAATAAATTCATTTCATATAACTTGTTGCATGTGCACATGTTCCGTCTCACCAGACTCAGACATTGGTAGCCAGGACACTGTGACTCTGCTTCACTTTGGAGATTACTATAGATAATACAGTGGCAGATAAAATCTACAGATCTATCAAGGAGTAGGCAAACCACTGTTGCCAAATACGTTGGCAGTATGCATGTGCTGGTAGTTTGATCCTACTGTTTGATTATATAGAAAGTATTCCCATTCCCACAAACAACAACTTCAGTACTGGAGCAGCTAGGGTAGTAAGCAGTTTGCCCTAAGCAGGATAAAAAGCAGAGGCCACTAATGTGCTCTAGTTATGACAAATTGGCTATCATCTGTCAGGAGTTTGATCTCAGGGATAAAAGGCAAGGGCTCAGCTAGTGGAATTGTTGCATAAGTGTAGACTTAGACAAGAAGCAAGGGTCAGAAAGTGGGTCTAACTAAGAATTTTTAAGTTTCTCTGGTTAATACTATTTATAATTTTAAGGCCTTGAGTGTAGTGTTGGATAGCAAGTGATATTATACGTGGTATAGGTAGAGATATTTATTGCTTTATTCACTTCTGTTTCTCCCTCCCCCTAGAATAGTGTTTGGTTTAGAATAAGAATTCAATAAATACGTTCTTAATGTAGAACAGATAAACAAAGGAGTGGGAGGAAGAGTTCATAGTCTAAAGAATCAGGCAGGTCCTGACACAGCCCAGTTGTAAAATTGCTAATGATAAATGCTGTCAGTCAGAATAGTCCCATTGTGCATAAGAACACATAAAAATACAGGCTGAAAGACAATAAATCCATGTTTGACATAACTGAATAATTACTATTTTTGTATTTACAACATAGAGTGCAAAACTATTCAAGTATTCTGAACTACCAAATACATAGTTTAAAATATTTACAAGTTACATAACTCTATAGTATAAATAAATGTCATGTGTATTACTTTTTTGCTTGTTGTTTTATGTAAGTATCATCAAGAGAAAACAATTAGAAATCATAATAACCACAGGTCACATCTTTATTAGCATTCAATTAAGTTTCAATTACACTGTTAATCTTCTTTTCATGTCACCTAAACTCATAGGTGAAATAATTCGATCTGTAGAAACTGAAAGAATCTCTATTTAGAGTATTTAATGAATTACTTAGCAAGATGTTTTTCTCTTGAAAGAAAATTACTTTTTGAAAGTCTCTCACTTAGATATAGTGATTTTTAAAAAGTCATTTTTGAGAATTAGGAGACAGAGCAAGATGTCCGAATAGAACGCTTCAGCGATTGTTCCCCCACAGGGCCAACAAATTGCACAATTATCCATGCAAGAAAGCACTTCATAAGAACCAAAAAATCAAATTAGCAATCATAGTATCTGGTTTAACATAATGTCAAGGAAAAAGGCATTCAAGAGTGTGGAAAAGAAAGTCTTGCATTGCTTACACCATTATCCTCCAACTCCCATCATTGCTGCTTGAAGAGAGTATCGCTGCTTGGAGAGAGTACTCTGCTTGGAGAGAGTGTCTCTGCTTAGAGGAGAGAGAATGAAGTGAATGTAGTACTGTGCATTGGAACTCAGTACTGCCTTGTCACAGTGGAATACAATACAGGACAGATTTATGCCAGTGTCCGCAGAGGGAGAATTTAGACTAACCCTGGGTGACAGGAGAATTCTCAGCACCAAGATTAGGAATTTGAGCCCCTGTTGGTTCCACTACCAGCTGACTAAAGTGGCCTGGGACCCAGAATAAATTTGAGCGGCTGTCAGGCCACAAGGACTACAGTTTTTGGGCGAGCTCTGGAGCTTCAGTGGTCTCAGAGGCTGTGGAATTGAAGTGCAACACCAGCTGTGGTGCCCAGGAAATGCCTGTATCACATCTCCCTCAGCTGTAGGCAGTGTAGCTTAGGGAGATACTCCTTGGGGAATGAGAGAGAAAAGTACAGAGGACTTCATCTTGCAACTTCGATAACAACTCAGCCACAGTAAAATAAATCACCAAGCAAATTCCTGAAGCCCCCAGTTCTGGGCCTTAGCTTATGAATGATGTTTCTAGACTTACCCTGGGCCAGAAAAGAATTCACTGCCTTTGAGGGAGAACGCAGTGCTGTCAGGATTCACCGCGTGCTGACAAAAGAGCTTTTGGCCCTTGAATAAACTTAGTAGTAACCAGGCAGTATTCACCATGGGCCTTGGGTGAGACCCAGAACTGTGCTAGCTTCAGGTGTCACCCAGCACAGTCCCAGCTATGGTTGCCATGAAAGTGGTCATATCACTCATCCCCCAACTCCAGGTATACCTGGAGAGACTCCTTAAGATTGGGGGAAAGAGAAGAAATAGAGCATGAGATGTCACCTGATAACCCAAAGAATTCTCCTTGATCTTACCCAAGTCTACCAAGGTGATGCCTCTAGGAATCAGCAAGAGAGTGTTTCTATGCTTAGGGCACTTCCTAATGTTTATATGGCTGCATTGACCACAGGCTTAGATCATAACACCCAATTCCTTTGAATATGATGAAAGCCTTCTCAAGAAGGATGGGTTCAAACAAACCCATACTGTGAACATTGAAACAAATACCTAACTCTTTACTGCCCAGACATTAACAAAAATCCATAAGCATCAAGAATTTCCAAGAAAACACAACCTCGCCAAACAAGTTAAATAAGGCCCCAGTTACCAATCTTGCAGTGGCAGATGTATGTGAACTTACAGAGTAAGAATTTAAAATAGCTGTCTTGAGGAAGCTCTATGAACTTCAAGATAACAGAGAGAAGGAATTCAAATTTCTTTCAGAGAAATTTTTTAAATGATTAAAATAATAAAAAAGTCAAACAGAAAAACTAAAAATGAAATATTTAATTGACATTCTGAAAATACATCAGTACCTATCAACAGCAGAATTGATCAAGCAGAAGAAAGAATTAATGAGCTTGAAGCAGGCTATATGAAAATACAGTCAGAGGAGAAAAAAGAAAATACGAATTGAAAAAATGAAGAATGCCAACAAGATTTAGAAAACCACTTCAAAAGGGCAAATATAAGAGTTATTGGCCATAAAAAGGATGTAGAGACAGAGAGACCATAGTGGAAATTTTACTGAAAGAAATAACAATAAAGAACTTTCCAATTGTGGTGAAAGATATGAATATTGAGGTACAAGAAGGTCATAGAACACCAAGAAGACTAAATCCAATTAAGAGTAAAAGGCTTATGTTAATCAAAATCTCAAAGCTCAAGGATGAAAGAAAGGATTCTAAAATCAGCAAGCAAAAGAAGCAGAAAACATATAAAGGAGTTCCTATATGTCTGGCAGCAGACATCTCAGTGGAAACCTTACAGGCCAGGAGAGAGTGGGATGACATTTCAAAGTGGTGAATGAAAAAAAAAAAATCTTTCAATCTAGAATGTTATGTCCAGCAAAGTTGTCTTTCAAACATGAAGAAAAAATGAACACTTTCTCAGACAATCAAAGCTGGGAAATACTGTAAACACCAGACTTGTGTTATAAGAAATGCTAAAGGGAGTTTTTCAGTCTGGAAGAAAAGGACACTGATGAACAACAAGAAATCACCACTCACTTGGGAATAGTAAGTACACAGACAATACAGTATAAACCATATGTTAGGCCACACAAAAACATTTTTTAATTGAAACAATATCAAATACCTTTTCTGACCAAATGGAATAAAGCTAGAAATTAGTAAGAGGAATCTTGGAAACTATATAAACATATGTAAGTTAAACCATATGCTTCTGAATGACCACTGGGTTAGTGAAGAAAGTAGGAAGGCAAATAAATCTTTCTTGAAACAAATGAAAGTAGATACATAACACACCAAAAGCTATGGAATATAGCAAATGTAGCAGTAAGAGGGAAATTTTTAGCAATAAACACATAAATCTAAAAAGAGCAAAGCTTCAAATAAACAATTTATATTTGCATGTTAAAAAATTAAAAAGTAAGAGCAATCCAAACCCAGAGTTCATAGAAGAAAAGAAATGATAAAAATTATAGCAGAAATAAATAAAATTGAGACAAAAATACAAAATACCATTGAAATGGAAACTTGATTTATTGAAAATATCAAGAAAATTGCCAATTCTTTAGTTTGACTAAGAATGAAAGAGAGATTCCCAAAAATAAAATCAAAGATGAAAAATGAGACATTACTACTAATATTATAGAAATTCAAAGGATTCTCACAGACTATCATTATCAACTAAATATCAACATCTAGAATAAATGTAAAATCTGGAATAAACGTAAAAATTTCTAGACAAATACAACCTACAAAGATTAGACCACAAAAAAAAAATCCTAAACATGAATAGACCAATAACAAGTAATGATATAGAAGGAAGAACAAAAAATCTCTCATCAAATGAAAGCCCAGAACCTGCTGGCTTCATTGCTAAATTCTACCACTTAAATAAAAATTAATACCAATTCTACTCAAACTTATAAAAAAATCTAGAAGGAAGGAATACTTCCAAACTCATTCCATGAGTCCAGCATTACTCTGAAGCAAAAATCAGACAAAGCCACAAGAAATAAAATACAACTACAGGTTAATATTTCTGATATCATAGAGCAAAAATGTCAACAAAAAAACTAGCAAACCAATTCAACAATACAATTAAAAGGTCATCCATCATGATCAAGTGGGATTCCTCCTAGGGATACAAGGATAATTAAACACATGCAAATTAATGTGATACATCATATAGTCCGAATGAAGGATAAAGACCATATGATCATTTCAACTGATGTTTAAAAAGTATTCAATCAAATTCAACATACCTTTATAAAAACTCTCAAAAAGCTAGGTATTGAAGGAATATACCTCAATGTAATTAAAGCCATATATGACAAACCCACAACTAGTATTGTAATGAATGGGAAAAAACTGAAGTTCTTTCCTCTAAGATATGGAAAAAGACAAGGATTCCCTCTGTCACCATTTATTCAACTTGATACTAGAAGTCCTAGCCAGAGCAATCAGACAAGAGAAAGAAATAAAGAGCATCCAAATTAGAGAGGGCATAGACAAATTCTTTTTTTTTTGAAAATGTTATGATCTTAAATTTAGAAAAAAAAAACAATAAATCCACAAGCATATGATTAGAATTGATAAACACATTCAGTAAAGTTGCAGGGTGCAAAATCAACATACAAAAATCACTAGTATTTCTGTATGCCAACAGTGAACAATATGAAAGAAAAAAAAAACAAGAATTTAATCCCATTTACAATAGCTATAAATAAAATAAAATACCTGATATGGTTTGGCTGAGTATCCAACCAAATCTCATCTTGAATTCCCATGTGTTGTGAGAGGGACCCAGTGGGAGGTAATTGAATCATGGGGGCAGGTCTTTCCTGTGCTATTCTCATGATAATGAGTCTCATGAGATCTTAGGGTGTTATAAAGGGGGAGTTTCCCTGCCCAGTCTCTCTCATTGCCTGGTGACATCCATGTAAAACGTGACTTTCTGCTCCTTTCCTCCTGCCATGATTGTGAGGCTTCGCCAGCCACATGGAACTGTAAGTCAAATTAAACCTCTTTCTTTTGTAAATTGCCCAGTCTCAGGTGTGTCTTTATCAGCAGTGTGAAAGTGGACAAATACAGTAAATTGGTACCAGTAGAGTGAGGTGTTGCTGAAAGGCACCCCAAAAATGTGAGAGCAACTTTGAATTAGGTAACAGGCAGAGGTTGGAACAGTTAGGAGGGCTCAGACGAAGACAGGAAAATGTGAGAAAGTTTAGAACTTTCTAGAGACATTGAATGCCTTTGAGCAAAAGCCTAATAGCAATGTGGACAATAAGGTCCAGGATGAGGTGTTCTTAGACGGAGTTGAGGGACTTGTTGGGAAATGGAGTGAAGGTGACTCTTGTTATGTTTTAGCAAAGAGACTGGTGGCATTTGGCCCCTGCCCTAGAGATTTGTGGAACTTTGAACTTGAGGGAGATGATTTAGGGTATCTGGTGGAAGAAATTTCTAAGCAGCAAAGCATTCAAGAGGTGACTTGGGTGCTGTTAAAGACATTCAGTTTTATAAGAGAAGCAAGGCATAAAAGTTTGGAAAATTTGCATCCTGACAATGTGATAGAAAAGAAAAACCCGTTTTCTGGGGAGAAATTCAAGCCAGCTGCAGGAATTTGCATAAGTAACCAGGAGCCAAATGTTAACCCTCAAGACAATGGGGAAAATGTCTTCAGGACATATCAGAGGTCTTCATGGCATCCCCTCCCATCAAAGGCCCAGAGACCTAGGAGAAAATGGTTTTGTGGGCTGGGCCCAGGGTCCCCGTGCTGTGTGCAGCCTAGGCACTCAGTGCTTTGCATCTGAGATGCTCCAGCTGTGGCTGAAAGGGGCCAGCATAGAGCTTGGGCTGTGGCTTCAGAGGCTGCAAGCCTCAAGCCTTGGCAGCTTCCATGTAGTGTTGAGTCTGTGAGTGCACAGAAGTCAAGAATTGAGGTTTGGGAACCTCTGCCTAGATATCAGAGGATGTATGGAAACTTCTGCATATCCAGGAAGAAGTTTGCTGCAGGGGTGGGGCTGTCATGGAGAACCTCTGCTAGGGAAGTGCGAAAGAGAAATGTGGGGTCAGAGCCCCCACACAGACTCCCTACTGCAGCACCGCCTAGTGGAGCTGTGAGAAAAGGTCAACCATCTTCCAGACCCCAGAATGGTAGATCTACCAACAGCTTGCATTCTGTGCCTTGAAAAGCTGCAGACACTCAATGCCAGCCTGTGAAAGCAGCAGGCAGGGAGCCTGGATCCTGCAAAGCCACAAGGGCAGAGCTGCCCAAGATCATGAGAACACATATCTTGCATAAGTGTGAACTGGATGTGAGACACGCAGTCAAAGGAGATTATTTTGTAGCCTTCAGATTTGATTGCCCTGCTGGATTTTGGACTGGCATGAGGCTTGTAGCCCCTTCGTTTTGGCCAATTTCTCCCAAATGGAATTTCTGTATTTACTCAATTCCTGTAACCCCACTGTATCTAGGAGGTAACTAACTTGCTTTTGATTTTACAGGCTCATAGGCGGAAGGGACTTGCCTTGTCTCAGATCAGATATTAGACTGTGGACTTTTGAGTTAATGTTGAAATGAGTTAAGACTTTGGGGGACTGTTGGGAAGGCATTATTGGTTTTGAAATGTGAGGACATGAGATTTGGGATGGTCCAAGGGTGGAATAATATGGTTTGGCTGTGTTCCCACCCATACCACATCTTGAATTCCTATGTGTTGTGGGAGAGATCCAGTGGGAGGTAATTGAATCACAGAGGCAGGTCTATCCTGTGCTGTTCTTGTGATAGTGAATAAGTCTTATGATATTTTATGGTATTAAAAGCAGGTGTTTCCCTGCCAAATCTCTCTCTTTGCCTGCTGCCATCCACGTAAAATGTGACTTGCTCCTCTTTGCCTCTTGCCATGATTGTGAGGCTTCCACAGCCATGTGGAACTGTAAGTCAAATTAAACCTCTTTCTTTTGTAAATGCCCAGTCTTGGGTATGTCTTTATCAGCAGCAGGAAAATAGACTAATATGATACCTAAGAATAAAGTTAACCAAACAAGTGAAAGATTATAGAACATTGATGAAGGAAATCAAAAAGAATACTAAAAATTAGATATTCCATTTTCATGCATGGGAAAAATCAGTATTTTTGTATTGTTTTTACTACCCAAAGCAAATTCAAGATTGAACCCAATCTCTATCAAAATAACAATAACATTCTTCACAGAAATAGAAAAAATAATCTAATCCTAAAGTTTATATAGAACTAAAAAATACCCAAAATAGCTAAAGCCATCCTTAGCAAAATGAACAAAAATGGAGGAATTACATTACCTGACTTAAAATTATATTACAAAGCTATAATAACCAAAACAGCATGGTACTAGCATACAAACAAACACATAGACCAATGGAGAAAAATAGAAAATCCATAAATAAATAAATATATTATTAGTCAATCTTTTTTCAACAAAAGCACCAAGAACACACATTCGGGGAAGACAGTCTTTTCAGTAAATGGTGCTGGGACAATTAGATATCCACATGCAGAAAAATGAAACTAGACCCCTATCTCTCACCGTATAAAAATACAATCAAATTTGATTAAAGACTTACATTTAATACCTGATACTGTGAAACTCCCATAATAAAACATTGGGGAGACTCTCCAGGACATTGGTCTATTCAAGGATATCTTGAGTAACAACTCAAAAGCATAGGCAACCACAGCAAAAATGGGCACGAGTCACATCAAGCAAAGATACTTCTGCACAGCAAAGAAAACATAATACAAAGTGAAGACACAACACAAAACGTGAGAAAATATTTTGTAAACTATCCATCTGAGAAGGGATAAATATCAGAATATATAAAGAGCTCACACTTTACAGTAGAAAAGAAAAAAACAATCTGCTTTAATGATTGGCAAAATCTGAATAAATATTTCTCAAGACACGCAAATGTCCAAGATGTATAAAAAATGCTCAACATTAGTAATCAGAGAAACGCAAATCAAAACTATAATAAGATAGTTTTTTACCTCGGTTAAAATGGCTCACCTCCAAAAGACAAGCAGTAATGAATGCTGGCAAGGATGTGGAGAAACATGAGCCCTTTTACAGTTGGTGGGAATGTAAACTAGTATATAGCCATTATGAAGAATAGTGTGGAGGTTCCTCAAAAAACTAAAAATAGAACTATCATATCAAACAGCAATCTCACTGTTGGGTATATATCCAAAAGAAAGAAAATTAGTATATCAAAGAGATATCTGCACTCCTCTGTGTATTGCAACACGATTTACAGGAGCCAAGATAGGGAATCAACCTAAGTGCTCATCAATTGATGAATGAACTAAAAAAAGTGGTACAAATACACAATGGAATATTATTCAGCCACAAGAATAAAATCTTGCTATTTTCAACAATATGGATGGATCTGAAGGATATTATGCTACGTGAAATAAGTCAGGCACAGAAAGACAAATATCACGCCTTCTCACTCACATATGAGAGATAAAAACAATTTAACTCATGGATATAGAGCAGAATGATGGTTATCAGAAGCAGGAAAGAATAGCAAGCCGGGGAGGGGGTAAATTGGGGATGGTTAATGGGTAGAAAATATAGTTAGAATGAATAAGATCTGGTATTCAGTAGCACAATATGGTGACTATAGTTAATAATTTATTGTATATTTTAAAATAACTAAAAGAGTAGAATTGGAGTGTTCCTAATACAAGGAAATCATAAATGCTTAAGGTGATGGATACTCTAATACCCTGATTTGATTATTACACATTGTATGCCTACATCAAAACATCACATGTACCCTGCAAATATATACTATTATGTAACTATAATTTAAAAATTAAAAAATAATTTGTTCTCTAACATCCAGTATTTCATTACCAATTTTTGTTCTTAAATGGACAGTAGTAGCAATTCATTATTATCTATTACTTACCTGCCTGACATCAATCAACATAGAAACAAGGATACAACCTTAACAAAAGTAATCATTCAAGCAATCTTTTCAGTTACACGATTCTAATAAAATAAACTCAGTCCATTTGGTACAAAAAGTCTATTAGATCGGTTGATGTTCTATAATAAAATAAAGTAGTGCGTAGGATAACTAAATTTCTTTAGTTTTAATGGTTTTATGTTGTTTATCATGAAAGTGGCTCTACACCACCCATCACATCAAACAAAAACCTTATTTATGTCTCTAAAAGAGAACAGAAAAAAAAATCAAAAAAATTATGTCAAATGTTTCTCTGTCAGAAAATGTGGTTGTAAGGGACTTCTTTATTATCTAGTACAAAAAGTACATTTGCAGTTTTAGTACAATTAACATTTTAATTATTGGTCTGTAACAAATGACAGCTGCCTAACACACTTACTATTATGCCACTGGTTAAGCAGCAAACTAAGTGACAGGACAAGTGTAGAAATAAAGCTATAGGAATGTTACAGTACTGTCGGACTGATTTTTTACTCTGCCATGTAATGGCAGTGGAAATGTCAATGATTGGCATAGATTGTTGGAGATTCAGATTGAGATAAAATTTTTTTTTCTGGATTATGGTAAAGAAAAAAATGTAAATAGAAATAACTACTGTTGTTACTTTTGCTGCAGTACCCTTTATGCTATAACAATGCACTATTTCTTGTGCATACATTTTCTTTCCAGAACATCTTTTTCTCATTAATTTATTATTCTTTTATTTGCACATAAACCTTCCCGTTATCTGGGCTCAAATTCTCAGGTTAATATTTAATGCCTTTCTTGCTCTTTATGAATGAGCTGGCTGATAAATCATTGAACCTTACATTCATGTAAACTCCAATCTTTCTCATTCCATTTTCCAAGGTGCTGCCACCACCTTGTATTCAGTCACAGTTCAGTATTGTTGTCATTGTTTATTTGACTTTACCTGCCTCCTGAACATTTTTCACATGTTATTACAATTCTCTATATGTGGTGGCCTGTTTGAATTGTTCTAAAATGTGTATTCCTAATCATCTGATTATTCTAGTCCTAAACTTTCACTGGCTTGATACTAATAAATTAAATTTAAAATATTATTTCAGCATTTTAAATCTTATAGAAGATAGTCCCAAGCCATATTCGCAATGTATGCCAGTGTTCATGAAGTGCATTGTATGCACCAAAAATCAATTTGGTTCTTAAGTTTCATCTCAAATGTCACTCAGGAGAATAGTTTTAATCCTAGGTCCTTAAACTGATAATATTCTCATTATCTTTAATTTCAAAGGTCTTCGTGCATGATTGACTATTCTGTTTTATTTGACACAGAATTGCATAGCTGTCTAATTTGCTAGATTTTAAGCCCCTTGAAGTCAATGTATATGTGAACATCACCTATTTCCCTTAGCAAAAGTTTCTTGTAGGTATCAGGTACTCTCAGTTTTCATTTTATTCCAACAGAGAATTGTAATTCAACAGTGAGTTTTATTTACATGGCTACTTTCTCTTCTGTTTACCACATTGAAAAGTAGCCATAATGCTATTTCATAAAAATAAAGAGAGTACTACTAATGATGACATAGTCCATTTTATACACATTTTTGTGTCAGGGGTTGTTATGGGGATTGGAGATAGAAAAGTCTTTTGAAACATTCTCTCCTTGAGGCCTTAACCAAGTGAAAAGAAGCAGACACAGCAACAATCAATGCTAAAATATTTTATCTCCATGCTGTAGAATATGCAGAGAAAAGTAAAGATGCACATAAAGGGAAAGTAAAAATGCATATCAGGAAAAAGTAAGTCCTCTTTGCAGGATCAGGAGTTTCATCAGGAAGCTAGTGTGTGAGCTGAGCGCGAGAAGGACATGTATACTTATGGACTAGAAATATTTAGCAAAGGCACTGAGGTATTCTAGCATCTCCTGGCAATAGTAAACAGCTCAAAAGGTTAGGAGGTAAAGCCTAACACAGTTGTAGGACAGAGAGCTATCAGGCTGGAGAGATGCAACAGGAACACCATATAAGGGATATTAACGTGCTAGAGAGTCTGGAAAGTGTTTTTTCTGCGATGGGGTCCTCTGATTATAATCATTCTGTGATGGAGCAGGGTCGACTTGGATTCACATTTTAGGAAAAAACATGGTTACAAAGTATGATTATACTGGCTAACATATTTAATGTACAGTTAAAGAAATAGCTTTCAACTTGTAAGTATGTTGCAGTCATTTTACACTTCTGAAAGAGGCTTTAAGTATATCACTTCATTTATAGACTCATGTTGTATGAGGGCTAGAATCCAACCTTTCCAATGCCTCATTTACTTCTACTCAGCAGAGAAAAGAGTGGAGTGGTAAAGAAAATTACAAAAATATATTATTATTTCAACATTCAGAAGAGGTTGAAAACATTGCTAATTAACTGACTTTAGTAACACTGCCTTTACACTGGCCTTGTTAGTATTTTACATTCATATTTTCCTTGCTTTAATGTGAGTACTTTTGATGTAGGAGAATAAAATGAGTGTTAGACTGCTCCGATTTGATCATTTTCTCAGTTCGGTTCTGCTCCTCATGCTTTGCGCTGTTATATTTATGGGCTTGCTGGTATCTTGTCCCTGCTTGATCCATATCTCAAACCTAGGCTTAAAAAGTCAAAAATGATTTTTCACAGTTCATGGTTCAGACAAATATGTGCAAGATAAGTTTTCACAATGAGTCAAGGCACACACGTATCTTCAGAAGCTGTCTGGTATGCTCTGAGGACAAAATATGATGAAGAATGATGAACATTGATACAATGTGAGGTTTTTTTAAAAAAAATTTTCTTAATAGTAATACTGTTAAAATATGAAATAAGTCAATAATTATAAATAAATTGTATACCAGTACTCTAATTTACCCTTCTTATTTTCACAAATTATAGGTGGTTTTAAATTTGAGGGCATATGATTCTTTGTCATCTCATTAAAATTGGGGGACAATTTTTGACTTTTATACGTTTATACAGACATTAATGTAAGTTAGTTAAATCATAATAAATACACTATATACAAAAATGTTGTTTGTTGGTTCTTTACATATTGGACAAGGGGTTAAAGAATAATACCTTCTCTCTATTCACAGGTAATATAATTAGCATATTACCACAGCTCCTTTGCTAGCTTTGGAAATTGTGGCTGTGGGAAGCAAATGAGTACTAAATGCTTATCAAATATCTGTAAAAGAGTAAAATATTCTAGTGTAATGATTGCTAAGAATTTTCTAGAGAGTCCATGAAAACAGTTTTGAATTTTATTCTAGGATACATAAATTATTGCTCTAAGCTGTCACTTTCCTCTGTGTATGTTCACCTGAGCTCAGTTACTATTTGAGTTCTAGACACTCTTTAAAGCTGTCTGACCTGTCTGTCATATCACTTTAGTGGCTTAATTGGTGAGGTCATGCCTGAATACTTTTTTGGCCAGATCATGAGCCCTTATTCTGTAATACTTCAATTTGGCTTCTAATGTTAATTTATCATCTGAGATACAAAGCACAGCAGTGTTACTCTCTCTAGGTAAGCTTTTACAGAAATAATTGTGAGCTGACTAGTCATGACCTTGGCTTTATCTATGCTCAATTTTTGATCTAAAACTTCAGTGAACATCAATTTTGAAATCATTTCCAAGTACACTGAGAAATAGCATTTGAAGCTTGGGACCATAAATTCTCCTTTAGATATTTCCCTGTTCAGGGTAGATTGAGTAGGATTAAAGGGAGCAGTCATGCACTCAGGGTTAAATAAAAAAGGTATTACACTTGAATGGTAATTTAGGTAGGACGGATGTTTTTCACATTACAGACAGGGGTAAAGCACAGCAGGAAACTATTCGGTGGGGAAGATAAAGGGAAATGATGCTTTAAGCCTCCCTGACCCACAAACAGAAAGAAAAGCCATTATTAACTGAAACCAGGAGCAAGTATAAGGCAGGGAAAACAATCATGCTATGAATCACCCAGGTAAGTCAGTTGCAGTTTGCTTGCACCAGATACAAAAGTTCAATGATTAGGAATGTGATAAGCAAGGTTTAGCCATGTGGTTAGTGAGGAATATTAAGCTGTGATTTAAAATAATATGTTACAGTAGCAGATAATAGAGGAACATGTACTTTAAAACCAATATGATATATATTTTGCACATATTCTATTTTAAAAAATAAACTGAAAACTACCAAGTCTGAGTTATGAACCCAAAAAATCTGAGACAGGTCTCAGTCAATTTTGAAAGTTTATTTTGCCAAGGTTATGAAGGCGACCTTGACACAGCCCCAGGAGGTCCTGACGACATGTGCCCAAGGTGGACGGGCACGGCTTCGTTCTATACATTTTAGGGAGACATGAGAAATCAATCAGTACTTGTAAAATGTACATTGATTCGTTCTGAAAAGGCGGGAAAGCTTGAAACGGGGAAGGGGCTTCCAGGTCATAGGTAGATAAAAGACAAATGATTGCATTCTTTTGAGTTTCTGATTAGCCTTTCACTGAATATACAATTTACAGGAATAGTCATTTACGCCTTAATATGGCTCAGTGAAAAAATAGGGCAGAGGAAGCAATCAGATATATATTCGTCTCACATAAGAAGAGGGATGACTTTCAGTTCTATCTGTCTTTGTCCACAAGGAATTTCCTTTATAATACAGGAAGTTATCAAATGTTTGTTTTAAAATTTATACAAATGGTATTATGTTATATGGACATGTACTCCAGGAGAAAATTTTAAGAATGTTTACAATAATAGGGTTGTAATGGAAAAAAAGAAAATACCTCAAATATCTATGTGATGAATATTTGGTGACAGATGAATGGGAAATAGTAGTATATTTATATATTAAAATACAGCATGGACAATAAATCATCTACAGCTGCATGTATCAATATTGTTTAATCAGATATATGAATCTCAGGGAAAAGTTCAAAAACAAGCAAAATTTTGTAATATGTTATTTAAGGAAAAAATTATAAAGAAAGTCAAATAATGGTAAATGCAGTATTTTAGATAAAAGTTCCTGGGGATGGCCGGGCGCGGTGGCTCACGCCTGTAATCCCAGCACTTTGGGAGGCCGAAGCGGGCAGATCACGAGGTCAGGAGATCGAGACCATCCTGGCCAACATGGTGAAACCCTGTCTCTACTAAAAATACCAAAAATTAGCCGGGTGTGGTGGCAGGTGCCTGTAGTCCCAGCTACTCGGGAGGCTGAGGCAGGAGAATGGCGTGAACCCGGGAGGCGGAGCTTGCGGTGAGCCGAGATCACGCCACTGCACTCCAGCCTGGGCGACAGAGCAAGACTCCGTCTCAAAAAAAAAAAAAAAAAAAAAGTTCCTGGGGATGAAAATAGACTGGAAACAGGGTGCTTGCTTTTGATTAGGGGATAGGACTTAACAAAATAGTTCATAATTTGGGCAGTCTTAAGGATGGTGTGTTCATTCAAACAATTCTCTTTATAACTTACCTACCATTTTGTTATATCAAAATTTCATGATTAAAATGTTTTTAAAGCAACAAAGCCAACATATAGAGGGTTTTTTTTTTTTGTTATTAGAAGAAAATGAGAGCAGGGGAAAAATTTCAATCCTATTATCTTCTACTAATTACACTAAAATGAATGATCCTCAAATTTGCAAGTGTAGAAAAAAATAGGTTTTAGAAATTTTAAAAGAAAATTACAATGCAATAGGTAACTGCAGTCTTTGTTTATATCTGCACACACCTTGCAATCCAAAGAAATTACCTCATAAATACAAGTTTTTGATAAATTTATCTCAAGAAATATTGCACACGAAGGTTATACCATCAAAAAAAGAAAAAAGAGAGATACGCGGATTGAAGTTGTCAAGGCTCAAGCCTAGTTTCAGTAAGATTGTTTTTGAAAATATTGTACACGAATCATATATGGAATACACTGACTCAGGCTTTGGTTCCTTAGAAAGGCAGAGGATTATATTGCCCTGCCCACCTTGGCTGGCTGTGTCAGAGGGTTTTGATTCCGGATGGAATCCATGCAAACCCTAATGATGAGACCTCCTAGTTTTCTTCATATATATGAATATCTACAGAGTCATATATATAAGTTCAATGATGAATATATATATACACACACACATATATATGACTATATATATACTATATACAGACACTGTGTGTATGTGTATATATGTGTGTGTGTATATATATGTATATGACATGTCATATATATGGTACTGTAGATATTTTAGTATCTGGCCCAGTGTATTAGGAACAATTGAGTTGTGACTGTAGAATTAGACATGGTGGCAAATCCAACAAACAGAAAATCCAGGGATGTCTTTAAAATAACCTTGCTTGGGACTGTTTGTGGTGTGGCAAGGGGAAGCAAAGTTGGAGCATTCTGTATTTTCCCTAGTTACCTTCACTATTTCAGAAAGTGCCCATTAAACATAAGATAGAGTACAATTAAAAGAAAAGACAAAATAACATGCTTGTGACAAATTTTTGAAGTGGAAATACTATTGCATCTCTTTTCCATTTACTTTATCACCTTCTTAATGGGTCAGTTATACCAATATATTTGCTTTACTTCTAAAAATGTTCTCAGAGCTAGGGATTGGCTTTGGAACATTTTATGAGATTCTTCTCTACACACTTATTTTCTATAAAAAATGTTTTTTAAAGAACATCACTTCTAATTAAACATGTTCTATTTACAATTGGCCATAAAAATCCTATGAATTTTGAAGTGGTGGCATTGGTTCAACAGTATATATTTCTACACTAGTGAAATGATTTATGTTGCTTGAACTCTATGCTAGCAGATTACAAGGAAAAATTGGATAAAATACCAATAGCATTATTTCTTTAGGATATAAAATAGCAATATTCTTTTGCAGTTATTTAGAACCAGGTATGTTTACTTATAAGTTAATTTACTGAATCTAACAATTAAATACAATCAAAACAATATTTTCTGGAATATGTATTTTCCTAATTACTTATTCCACATAATCACACATTTTCTATACTTTCAATGACAGTTTGATAAGTTTTTTTTTTTAATCAACTTACTGTGAATTAACACTTTCAATTTTTTCTGGTGGATGGTTTTTAACTCTCTTAGGTTTATAACTTAATTTGCTTGACACATTAGTGTAGCTATTGGTATGGATAGGATTTACTGTTATCTCTAGCTAGTAATGTCACTGTTGTCTTAGTTCAGATTCTTCAAAGATATCCCTGATACAAGAATTTGAGATGATGTAGTTTATTTGGGAAGTATAAGAGACAAGAGGATGAGGATAGAAAAGTGATCAGAGGGAAGGAAAGTCAGCTATAAAGAGAGCTCTATTGCACCAGTGTCTTCTATTGTCTCCTGCAGCTTACTCTATGGTGAAACTCTGGAAAATGGCACACAACATATGCTTCAGTTTCAGCTGGTCCCAAGGATGAGAGGGATGAGGGGGCTGAGATATTTTTGCATCAGTTCTCAAGAGTCTTTGGTTTAAAACTATTCTTATAGGGTAGGGGTATTAATTCTTTGGTGCTTTCTGTCGACTTCATGCTGTCATTGTAGCTTTACACAAATTGTGATGAGGAGAGGAGCCATTGAACAGAGTGAAATTGACACTGGCCTATGGTAGTCTGTCAGAGCACTGAACAAGGAATCTAGGAAGTGTGAGACCTACAACTATGTTCTTTTATCAAGATTGTTTTGGCTATTCTGAGCCCCCTGAGTTTCCAAATACATTTTATGTTGGAATTTTCTATTCTTCCAAAATATGTTATTGGGATTTCGGTAGAGATTACACTGAATCTATAGAAACCTTTTGGTAGCATTAATTCTTACTGATATTAAGTTTCTTAATACAAAATATGGAATGTCTTTCCATTTATTGATGTCTTTAATTTCTCTCAGTAGTATTTTGCAGTTTTCAGTGCATATATATTTCACCTCCCTAGTTAAGTTTATGTCTAAATTTTTTGTTGTTTGATGCTATTATGAATGGAATGTTTTTCTTACTCTCCAGATTGTTCCTTATAATTGTACAAGAACACAACTAATTTTTTGTGTTTATTTTGTGTCATGCAACTTTGCTAGATTTATTTATTCTAACAATGCTTTGTGGAAACTTTAGGATTTCTATACACCATATTATGAGTTCTGTGAACATAAATAATCTTACTTTTTCCTTTCCAATTTGAATGCCATTTATTTCTTTTTCTTCTCTGGGTAAGAATTTGAGTACCATGTTAAATAGAACTGGTGACAATGATGTACAGTCATGTACAGTAAGTTTTTAGTTTAAATAGAAGTAAACTTGAAAATAACATAAAAGAAGAGTTATATGTAAGAATATTGTTAGATAAGATTCTTAACTGTACCTCAAAGTGTATAACAGTAAGTCAAGAAAAATATTTTAAATTTTAAACAGAAATGCAAGAGACATAAATTATCCCAACAATTTTGAAAGGCAACAAAATTGGAGGACTTTCATTATCTGAATTCAAATTTCAGTCTAAAATAAATGTTATCAAGACATTGTGGTATTGGCATAAGGAGAGAGAAATCAATGAAATAGAATAGCTTTCTATAATGGACCTATATTTATATGATCAAATAATTTTTGACAAAGCAACTTCATCCGTTCAATTCAGAATGAAGAGCATTTTCAAAAAATGGTACAAAAAAATTAGGTATCTGTATGAAAAATGATGAGCCTTGAACCTTCCTTTCACTATATACGAAATTTATTTTGAGATGGATTACTGACCTAAACTTAAAATCAAACACTATATAGTTTTAAAAGAAAATATGAGAAAACATATTTGTAATCTGGGATTAGCAAAAGCTGTCATTACATTACCCAAAAAATCTAATCATAAAAATATCTGATTAAAAGGATCTTAAAAACTTAAATATTTATTTATGAACTACATATATATAATTCAAAATACATTAAAATGAATAATAATACAAATTTGTGGAGAAAATATTTGCAATACAAATATTTGGCAAAGTAGTTAAATAAAGAACATATAAACAACTCCTTAAGCTCAATGATAGAGAAAAGTCATACCAGGAAAACTGGTAAAATATTCAAACAGATTTTATGCAAATAACTTGTAGGAATGACCAATAACAGATTATTTAAAAGAGTGGCATCATTGAGTTATCAGGATAATGCAAAAAAAAAAAAAAAAAAAAAAAACCCAGTGAGGTACAGATATATGTGCACCAAAGTGGCTCTAATTAAAAGGACTGATAAAACCAAATGTTGGGAACTATTGGTGTTCACAGAGTAAAATGATACAACCAATTTGGAAAACTGTTTGACATTTTCTTATACATTTAAATACACCTTTTGTAAGATACATTTTTATAAAAATTTTCAAAGCAACTTTATAATAGTCTCAAGCTACAAATATCCTAATGTCTACCATCAGAAATATGGATAAGTTATGATCTATTAAATAATGGATATGTACTCATCAATAAAGAGGGATGAACTATCAATATACACAATGACATGGATAAATCTCTCAAAAATGCTATCTGAAAGAAATCTTACCATAGGATTGTATAGAACATCATTCTGGTAGATATAATTTTGGACAATGGCCTTCCAAGAAGGAGAGAGTAATAGTGGAAGTGGTATCTCCTCTAGGTGGAGTATTTTAATACTGACTTTTTTGAAAATCACCAGTTTGTGGTGATATTGAAAAACTGACCAAGTTTTAGTTGGATTTTATTGTTTTAAATTCTCTACCAGCAATGCACCACATATTGCCAGCTCACAGATCAGATTTCTAGTGCCATTCCTCCACTTGCATACACTGTTTTCATAGAACAGAGAAACTTAAGCAGTGATGAAATAATTACAACAGTAGTTGTTTTCAGGGAATAGGTAGGGAATTGACTAGAAGTAGGCACTATTAGGCTTCTTTGAGTAATCAAAATGTTATCAGTCTTGACATTGGTGTGAGTGACCTAGCTTTATGCTTTTTTCAATAATGTTAGAACTGTACAGTTATGATCTGTGCACCTCACTGTATGCACAACATACCTCAATAGAAACACAGTGTAATAAAATGCATAAAATGAAATTTTAAAGTGTTTAAATTTCCCAACTCTTTCTAAATGTGTCATTTTTAAAAGGTGACTCTAAATTATAAAATATATAATTGTCATTTTATAAATTTTAAGAAAACATAATTAATAAACTTTCTATACGTTAAGAAAATGAATGACTCCAATGACTGGGCATTGCATATTTTTGCTAATCATTTTGTAGTCTGTTTTGCAAATGGATAATGGTAGGTATCACGTTACTATAATATTTAATTTTTGATTTATTTAAAAACATTTTATTGTAAAAAAATCTTTAAACATATCCATGGGGAATACTTTCCACGATCCCCAGTGGATGTCTGAAACCACAGATAATATCAAACACTGCATTTTTTTCCTTATTAAGTGGAGAACTTTCACCTTTTCAGTTGAAAGAAGCACTTTACAGCTTCTCTATGGCATATCCAAATTGCCAGCATCACTACTCTTGTGCTTTGAGGCAATTATTAAATACATTAAGGGTAACTGGAACATATGCAATGGGTGACCATGATAGATAACCAAAATGGCTAATAAATGGCTAATGGAAGGGTAGCATAGACACCTGAGTACACGCAACAAATGGAGAATTCACATTCCAGGCAGGTCAGTGTGTGATTTCATCATGCTACTCACATTGGCTCACAATTTTAAAATTATGAATTAGAATTCTCCATTTAATATTTTCAGACTGCAGTTGACTGCAGGTAACTGAAAGTGCAGAGAGTAAAACAGTGGGTAAAGGGAAAGTGCTGTGTATAAAAGCACCGAAAACAGGAAAATAAACCATCATATGCCCCTCAACAATTCTTTACCAATAGTTGGCCAATAACACATTATTATTCATCGATCTCTCTGTCTTCATTCATCAATCTCTCCATATAATACTCCCTGTCCAGTTATTTGGATGTATTTCAACACATGCCATTTAATTAATAATTATCTAATATGTTTTTAAAAAACAAGATTATTTTTTAAATTAATAGCAATAACATTCTCATAACTAAAAAGTTCTTCATAGTCATTTCTTAATATCATCAGCTATCTGATAAGTGATCAAATATCTATGATTGTCTCACATTTTTATAGAGTTTGAATGAAGAATTAAATGAAATAAATACAAACATACAAACTATGTTTATGTATATACTAAATCTCTTGATATATCTATTTCTTCCACTTGTGTTAAAAACAAAGGGAAACAATTTGTTTTCCTTTAGACACTTTCACTATCTGGAACTATACTTGGTTAGTTGCCAATAAATTTGTAGCTAAACATAAAAACTTTGTGACATTTACAAGCCATTTTAGGAAAAAAAAAGACTTTGTATACAGTGTTGCATACTTCTATTAATAGGTAAATAATGCCATAGTTAACAAGCATAAGTGATCGTTATTTTAGTGATTACAACATGGTACTACATTAAATTCAGCATTCTTTCTTTACCATGTCCTTTATAATGATAATTTTTCATTCAACAACTATTTTTCTACTCTGAGGTATTGTTCTCACAAAAAAGGTAAGACAAATGTTTGCTTCTTTACAGTTATTTATCAGCTTTCAAAATATTAAGGTGGTTTCTATAGCAGATTCTTATGTGACCCCAACTCCCAATGATTCCTCTACTCTGTTTCAATCCTTTGTGTAATCTTTTTGCCTTGAGTTATGTGGGACCTGTGACATGCTTCCAACCAACATAAGGTGGCAAAGGGAATAGAAGGCTGTCACTGATGTACTTATGTTATATAAGACTCCATCTGAGCAGACTAGAGGTAGAGATTCTCCTTGCAGATCCCATGAATTAGACATATTGGAGAAATCCACATGGCAAGGAACTGTGAGCAGCCTCTTGGATGTGAAGGTGGTATCCAGCTGATAGCCAGCAAAAAGCAAGGGCCCTCAGTTCAACAGCCACAAGGAAATGAAGTTCTAAAGCTATAATGAATTCTGCCAATTCTAAATTAGTTTAGAAACAGATTCTTTCCCAGCTGAATCACTAAATGGGAATATACCCAGGATAACACTCTGATTATAGTATTGTGCAACTCTTCCCTGAGCAGAGGCCTCATCTAAGCTGGGCTCAGACTCCTGACTCACAGAAGCTATAAGATGATAAGTGTGTGTTGTTTTAAGCCACTAAGTTTATGGTACTTTGTTATGCAGCAATAGAAAATTAACATTGTTTCCTAGAAAACCACTAAGTTAATGAATACTTTGTTGTTTTAAGTATCCTTATTCCATGGATTTAATTATATATATTTTCTTGTTCATTGTGCTTATTAGTCTTATTAATACTGAAAGTATCCTTCTAAAAAAGTATGAATGTCTTCAGTTTGGCTCTTGATTCTATTGACATATCATTAGTCTTAGATAGCTTTCTTGCTGTCTGTTATTTTTTGCTATGGCAAGATTTGTCTGTCTCATCTCTTACATTTTATTCTCAGATATAGTACTAATCATTTCCTGCCAAAGAGCTCTAGTTCCTTTTAATGTGAAATTGCATTGTTTGAAGATCATAATTTTGGTGCTATAGGTTGTCTGTAGATTGTTTATTTTTTGTTTTTAAACATTTTTAGAGGATACAAATAATAGATATATTTTTAAGAGAAAAAATGCATGATTAATGCATTGTAATACATCTGATTCTGTTTTGAAATTATATAATTTTTCTTATATAATCTTTCATCTATATGACCTTTCCCTCACATCAAAATCTAAGTTCTTAATGACATAAATATAGAATTAATTTCTTTATCACAAATTACACACACAACACTTTTGTTATAATAACAAAACACACTTCAACACTATCACTGTATAATGATGAACATAATTTTAAAATTTTTCACATTACTTTTTTATCTGTATCTATGAAAATGTGCAGTTGCATTCTTTGTTTAAAATCAGTTGAAACAGGAACACAACAGTTTCACTTTCCTCAAGTTGCCTCTGATTTTATGAACTGCTATTTTAAAATGTAATTTTGATTTATAATTATGTAAATATTTACATGGTTCTAAATTAAATCTTCACAAAAAGCTATATTTAGAAAAGTCCAGCACTTTTTGTCCCCCAACTCCAGCCTTCATCTTTTCTACCCTCTCTTCTCCTTCTACGTATATATTTTTTTTCTTTGCATGAGTCAAAAGCTGCTGCTCCATAGAGTTTAGGAAGCCAACAGCTACTGCACTGGCAGGGCATTGCCATGAATATCCATCACCCAGAATGACTAGAAGTTCTTGGATGCTACCTCTGAGTCTGGAGAGCCAGTGGCTGAGTCCTTGGAAATCAATTATTTATGTAACACCTTAGAGATCACCCCTGTATGCACTTTATGTAAAACCTCAGGGATTACTCCTGTATATTACCTGCTATTGCTGGCAATGAACCAGTCAAAAATGTAGTGACTTAAGCAACCTCCGTTTATTTCTCACAGCTGTGTGTGTTGGCTGAGCAGTTCTGTTCATCTGGAGCAGCCTTGCTCATGCATCCCAGTGGCAGTTTGGCTGGAGGCTGCCTGCTTTCCAAAGACCTCTCAGGCAGATGACACAGTACACCCTGCACACCTCTTCATTCTTCTAGCAGGCTATCCTGGGCAGTGACAGTGTCCAGGAAAGAACCTGAAAGTGCAGAAGCACCTTTTCAAACCTCTGGGTCATGTTTGCCACTGCTGAATTGAATAAAAAGTCACAAATCAAAAGCCATAGATGCAGGTAGGGTGTGAAAACTTGGGGCGACTATTGCAATTGATCTACCATAACTGCCTTTTCCAGGGATTGTTCTAACCATCTGTGATATGAAACTGAAGATAAAGTCTGAGAGGTTGAGTGGTGGATGAGGGAACATACAATAAGTGTGATGAGCTGACGTTGCTTCTGGGGATGACTGGTAGAGGACAGTCTCAAATGGAACTGATCATTTTTACCTAAGTGGCTGATTAACTTATTTTTCTCTGCTTCTCCTCATATAGTTTTCAATATTCTCACCAATCACTGTTTCATCACATTACCTAAAGTAATTGGAGCACATACTCAGAGGAACTGGTTACTTACTCTACTCACCCCTAATTATATTATTATCACTTTATCTCTTGTATATGAGATAAAAATATTTTGAAAGGGTAAACATTGGTGAAGACAGTTGGTAAAGGTGATTTGTGGAGAAGGATTTTTGTTTTCAATTTGAAATATGATTATCTCACAGTGTTTGTAATGTGTAGAAATACTTGAAATGATTTAATATGAATAAATACTTTAAAAAGTAAAAAATGTTAAATAGCTTTCTAATATTTCAATTATATCCTCTTAATAATCCTTAATATTTAATAAATTTTATTGTATGTTAAGAAGGAATTATATATATTCTTTATATATATAGTGAATAAAATGTGCATTAAAAGTTGAAATATGTTCCAAGATACTTACTTAGCAAGAGTCAAACAATTACTATAATTGTTGAAGTGATTATTCTAAACTCTGTAAGAAATCACAGAATTGTGATTTTACTAAAAGGTTCTTGATGATGTAACATTTACCGGTATTTGAAGCAAAGTAAGTGGCATATACTATTTGGATAAACTAATGCATCTGAAACATTTTAAAAGTAAAACGAGTTACTTATTTTTTTCTCATTCTATTCTAATAGTGAAAAGTTTGCCAAGCCACACTTAATTTTTTAAATTGTTGAACAGAGGCTTTTGAAAGAGATAGAAAACAATTTTATTTCTAACACTTAAAAATAATATAAATAGTCTTAGGAATTTATACAGATTTTCATTTTATTTGTAATAGTTTTCTGTTTTTATAAGAAACAAATGTGTAATGTATCTAAAATAGGCACATAACCATTGGAAATGGTCTTTAAAAATGTGTTATTCCACACATTAGCCAGTGACAAGCCTAATATTAATTGAATTAGAAAATTTTCTTAATATAAACATAAAGTTTGAAAGCATATCATTTCTCCATCAATAGTACAATGTCTCTTCTAAAACTGTTGTTTTCTGCACGTTAAACATTCTGGATTCTGGGAGATTTTTTTTCAATGAAGTAACTATAATGCAATATGTGTAGAATTTATAAAGTAGTTCTTATCAAGAGGATATAAGGTGTAGGATGAGGATTTTACATTAAAGTGTATATGAATAAATTCGGGGATACTGAGCAAGAATAAGAAGCTTTATTAATAGCAATGACACTTACTGCCTTACACTTATTCAACACATCCTCCAAATTGCCCTAAATTGTAGATCAGCCTTCTATTTCAGACCTGATAGTTGCTCATGATTACTTATATGGCAAGGTTTACATCTCTAAGCCCTTTATAATTTGACCTGCTTTCCTCTTATACTGTCATTTATCTTTGGCAGTCAGAATATACTACATATAATTCCTTTAAAATTGTATCATTCTTGAAGCCTTCCGACATTTTTCCATGCTACTCCTTCTGCCAAGAACTCTGTTTCAACTCTTGTGTAGCCAAATACTGCAAAGTAATTTTTCAAGATTTAGCTCAAATTTTAATTCCTCCTGATAATTACTTCTCCCTTGCCTCTCCATAGGATGGACTAAATATCTTTTACAGCTTTTTCACTTTCTACTAAGCTAACATGTGAATATCTCAGTGATAGCACATCTCATGTGAAAATAGATTATATTCTTATATATGTTCTCAATGACATTTACTTCTTTGAATGCTTTTTTTGCCCATAGATTTATATAGCCACGCTTTTTGAGGCATTTCAAAAAATTAAGTCCACTATCAAAGGATAAGTGTATATTGGCATTATAATATTTAATATAATGTTTGGATGGACCTAAAGATAATTCCAAATAAGGAAATCATAGACATGAAAGATGGTAAAGATCTTTGATTAAATGTATTATCTCTAAATTTCTTGCTATTCTCTACTCATGTCTTCTTTTAAATTTCAAATTAAATTATTTCTGTTTTATTTATTAGCAAATGCTTTTACAAATATGAGCTCTATGTTGTCATATTTGAAGTGAAACTTCACAAGTTTGATTTTGGTCTTTTTATTGTGCTTATTATTTTAGATGTTACTCACATTTTATATTTTATATATTTAAATTTACCTGTCTATATTTATGTTTTATACCAATTAATATTTTCTCTCACCTTTTCATTTTTTAAAAAAACTTAAATGTGAAGTTTTTTAATGCATAAAGAATGGGAAGATTTGAATTTATTCACTTTTCTCTTTCAAACTAGTTTTTAACAAGTACAATTTCAAAAAGAATAGGTAATTATAAACTAATTTCAGAGAAGAATACCATCCAATTACAATCCAATTAAAGACAACATATCTAATCAATAATGATGTAATATGACTGAGAATATAAAATGTACATAGGACTCATTAAGAGGCTAGACTAAAAAGTAAATTTAGTCATACGATATACTATATTAAATATCAAAATGGCATAATTCATAAAAAGTCATGATAATGCAATCAGAAAGATCAATGCAAGTATACCTGCATTTCTTGTACGAAAGAAAAACATAGAAATAAGTTCAATACATAAGAATGTTTATATGTTTTAAAATTAGGAAGTTTTCACGTTAAACATTATTCTCATATAAAAGCTTTATAAATTACTAAAAAAGTCATTTAAAAACCATGCTTGTCATAATATCCCCATTTACTAATTCACATAACATGAATCTGCATGTCATCTTTGACTCCTCTTTCCTTACCTTCCACATGGCACCCAAGAGTTTATTCTAACTCTTCTGTGTTTCTCACAACTAAATCTTGATTTCCATTCCCCAAAGACACTCCTCAAATTCTGATGATTATTGTCTCCTACAAAGACTATTAAAATAGTGTCAGCAGAGGTCCAATGGGGAAACTTAAATTTGACCCTGACTAGAAATAAGGAGGCAACTTTCCCTTCTGGACTGTCAAACAAGTCAAGTGGGGAACCTCAACTTCCACCCTCACCTGGGAATAATGATGCATTGCTTCCTTCCTCAACATGCATAGTATCACAGGAGGCCTGATAAAACAGAGGATTCAAATAAAACACAGGGACGCATAACATAATATCCAAAATGCCCAGGAAGAACCAGGAAAATGTCACCACTAGGAAAATATCCCAAAGCTGGGATAACACAAAGAAACAAAGACAAAAAGGAAATGTCTGCGACTGCAACAAAGCAGTAATAGTGAAAAATATTAATAGAACATTGTCATCTGCTATAGTCCATTGAAATTCAAAATCTTACTCCTGTTAGAATATTTGGCATTTAAGATTAAGCTCTGGTAATAATTATAATTTTATTTCAATAATCTATTGTTTGTCAATAATCCGAAAACTGAGAGGATATAATCACATAAAGAGTTACTTTGTAGAGTGTTTAGAAGCCTATGTGCTCCGAAATAATTTTTATAGGTTACTACCTCTAGCATCTGCAAACTAGCACCATTTTTGGGTCCACTAAAGACTACTTAAAATCTGTAAATATCTGATTAATATCAGAGACTTAAATGCATAATCAATATATTTGAATTAAGGAAAGGAGCTATTGAAAGGTAAAAACGTAGCATGTTCCTGAAAGATAACTTTTTATCCTATATCCAGGAACATAAGGAAGGCAATTAATGCTCATGAAAACTGGGAGATGGGGTGATCACTGAAAAGTAATATTGTCCTATATTTGTCATTTGACTTCCTTTCATATTTTACAAATGTTTTTATTTATATTATTCTGCTTGCTTTAAACCTCATACTCAGGGCAGATAAGAATACATATTGTGTACAAACTACAAATATCTATTTTAGGATTTTATTTAAAATTTGTATGATACCTTTGTTCAGACAGATTAGGAATGTGTGTATGTGTGTGTGTGTATAGATAGATAAAATAAGCCTGTGAATATTTGATAAGAGTTTTAATAATTATGTAACTCAATATAAAAATAAATTGATGTAGATAACTGGTTGATGTTCTTAGTATTTTAGCTATTAAATTTAACAAGTATACAAATGATGAAATATATTTTTAAAAATCACATGGAGCTTTCCCATTAATCTGATTTAAGATATAAAAAAGAAATAGATCTTTCAGATTCACCTCTAATAATAGTATACATAATATAGTATAACACATACCTCTTAAGGAGAATCTATCAAACATGACCAGCCAAATATCTTATTGTAAAATCAAATCATTAGATATTAGATGTATGTTTCCCATCAAGATGCATGAGGCAGTGTGAGCCAGGAAGAGTAAATATCATGTTTCTCTCTCAGCAAGCCCACTTCAGACCTTCAGGTCAATTTAACCTCAACCAAATGGTCTTGTTAAACATTTTTAAAAATATAAATCAGTGTTTCTGCATTCATCAAAGTAAAAAAATTACTATCAATATAGAAACAGTCCTTTTAAAGAATTCTGTAAATGCTATAAAATAGTTATCTTGGACCTTTTAAAATGAACGGCTTTTGAGAATTATTCAAATAAGTTATCTTTACTGGTAAAAACTCGAAAGTGGGATTGTTTACTTGATATGAATGACCCCATGAACTCTTGAAATGAAGGAATATAGATAATTATGTTTTATACTCACAGCCATAATCTGCATTGTGTACAATCTACTTAGAATTGCTATAATATTACAGTCTATTTTATGCCTAATGTTTTCATTCTAAGCATTTCTAAATTTCTCTGCTTAACAATTTTAAATTGAACTGTAAGGTAACAACATAATTTAGGTTACTGGAAGTCAATTAACCCTGCATGATACTTGAGAAAAATTGGCTTATACAATTCTAATTTCAGAAAATAAAAAGCTTCATTTTTGTTTTTAGAGTAGCTCACATCAAGGATGATTATTCTACAGGAATGTATTTTTAGCTGTAACCTAGCAAAGAATAAATACGTTTTTTAAATTATCTTTTACGTTGTTGACTCCACAGTAGCCCCATAACTAAAGAACTTTTTACTAAATATTGTAGCATATTCAATGCTTTGGGTCGCTTTAGGGAATGTTGTTTTAAAAATGATTAAACCACTGATGACTTTAGTTTTTAACCTCAGTCGTAAAATGCAAGCACTCTCCTATATCCCTACAATTTAAATGCAAATAATCTTTAAACAAAACTAATCTTGAGGGCTTTTAGATAGTGAATGATAAATGGAAGGGAATTTTATAAAGTGTGATAGTGAGCAACTCTGATTTCTTTTTCACATCAATCATCCCTCCACATAGATACACAATTAAAATGTTCCTGTCCTTTTGAGGGAGTCTGAGAAAGCAAGTTCATCATTTAGCTGCCGGTGGCATTACCTTGGGGAGAAGTAAGCTGATCCAAAGGGTAAGAGTTAATTGAAAAACATGTAAGGAAACTGAAGATCCTTTCTCTATGTTTGCTTACCTGCAGAACCAAACCTGAGTTGTGTCCGGAAAGCTTAATAGTCTTGTCTAAAATCGTGCATGCTTAATACAAGAAAGGATGCAATTATTATAGTTGAGCTCTTTTATAATAGTGAAATTAATTTATCTTTTCAAAAGATTACTTTCAGGAGAACTTTATAATGATAAAAATTTTATTTTATATATATCCAATAGAAAGAAAATTTACTCTTTATTTTTCACAATCTTGCTGTTTATATAATTTTAAATTTAAAAACACAAACTTTGTGTTCAGCTTTTTTTACTATGAATTATTTTTGAGACATAGAAAGTAGTGGCAAATATGGAAAAAATTAAAAATAGAAGAAAGTAATATATAGCCTTTAGTAAAAGGATCTAGAATTCTTAGTGAAGAAGTTGATTCTGAGTCTGGGGCAGGGAAGGTACACATTGAGCCTGGATTATTTTGTTGTACCAAAGGTAAGAAATAGCCAAAGAATAATTAAAATAGATGTAAAGAACAAGAAGTTATTTTGCAGGGCCAGTCACTGTCCAGATGTTAATAATAATCTGAATTCATAATGGCATAAAAATGAAGAAATTAATAAATAAGGGAGGAAGGAAATCTCTTCCTTACAGAGGATCAACTAATAAACATAAAAATAAGTATAGAGTCTGAAAAGTGTCAAAAGGTGGTAAACCCAACAGATCAAATTTTGATAAATAAAACCAGTTATTACTTACAAAAAATAATAATTTTATAGTAGGAATACTTTTTAGATTCCTTAACCATGTTATCAAATTAATATCACAATATTGGACAATTGAACATCAGGTGCTTCCAGATATAACACATTGAGAAAGGCAATCTTCACTTTTATAGTATTCCTACCAAAACATATGCAAAACTCAACCTGAAGAACAAGTCTAAAAAACAATTCACCAGTAATCTCCAAAAATGCCAAAGGGAAGAAACACAAAGAAAGTTCAAGGAAATGCTCTGTATCAAGAAAGGTGAGACAACAGAATGTAATTCATGATACCTTATTGGATTCTGAACCAGGAAAAGATATTTATAAAGCACATTATTGGAACAATTAATGACATCTGAATATGAAGTGTGGATTAGATAATAATATTGTATCAATATTTTTAAAATTGTACCATAGTTATGTAAGAGTATACCCTTTTCCGTAGGAAGCATACAATGACACACATGTCTAAAGGGACGTGACTCTATCACTTACTCTCAATGGGTTCGGGAAAATTTATACATCTACATACATACGTACATACATATGTGTGTGTATACTCATGGACACACAGAGAAAAAGAGATAACAAAAAGGTCAATGGGGAAAAGTATGAATAGTTTGTCAAACTATGTAAAAAGTCTATGGGAGTCCTTTGAACTATTTTTGCCTCTTTTAAACTAATTTGAATTATATCAAAATAAATAAAATTTTTGAAGGCAGAAATGAGAACTTTGTTGCACAACTAAGTTGATAGAGATAAAAATTTTCCTTTATCATAGAATCAAAGGCATCAGTTTACCGTCATATCACAAGAAACGCTAGAAATAAATACAACTAATGTGTAAATCAGATTGACTCTCAAATGTATATGAGGAATCAGAACTTCTTTAACCAAATTTTTGAAGTAATCTTGAATTGAACCAACAGAATAAACATTTTAAATAATTCCTTTCTGATTATTTTAAAAAATACTCTGCTGCACTGGCAACGTGTAGCACATACACACAGAAATAATTCTTGTTAGATTCTCATTCAGTAGATGACGTTCTTTCTTTCCTTGTTTAATCTACTTTTTTTGCATCAATATCTGGTTATAATAGTCATGTGTAATCTATAGACAAGACAGCTACCCAGAAAAACTGCTGGGGGTTCTTTATCTCAAGACTTGGAGACAAAGAAAGAATGAAAATAACAGAATAAACAAACTTTGGAAGGAAAACTAGTTATATATTACTGCTCATTTAACTATATATATTGTTGAAGCATTTCAGTTGGGTTCAAATATAAATTTCTAGTTTCTCTTTACAAAGAACTGGAGAAATGCCTTGGCTGATATTAACTGGGAAAATATTTTCTCATATAGTCTAGAATCCTTTATTTTCAAGTTATGACAATTTTTATATCGTTTTTCTTTCCCTTTTTTTGTATTTCACTTAGTAAATTATTCAACACGTAATTACTAGGTCATTTAGTATTCCAAGGGAGTAATAAAATAAATAATAATATGATTTCTGATCTTGGATTTGCAATTTCATAGGAGAGATAGATACATGGGCTATTTTTGTTACTGTGTAGCCGTGATTTTGTCAGAGATTTTAGTACTGTATGCAATGTATTCATAACCTGTGTACAGTTGTTAAAGTTAACTTTAAGTATAGTGCTACTGTTTTTTTTGTTTTTGTTTTGTTTTGTTTTGTTTTTTGAGACGGAGTCTTGCTCTGTCGCCCAGACTGGAGTGCAGTGGCGCAATCTCGGCTTACTGCAAGCTCCGCCTCCAGGGTTCATGCCATTCTCCTACCTCAGCCTCCCCAGTAGCTGGGACTACAGGCGCCCGCCACCACGCCAGGCTAATCTTTTTGTATTTTTAGTAGAGACGGGGTTTCACCGTGTTAGCCAGGATGGTCTCGATTTCCTGACCTCTTGATCCGCCTGCCTTGGCCTCCCAAAGTGCTGGGATTACAGGCGTGAGCCACTGTGCCCAGCCATATAGTGCTACTGTTATTAAACAGAGCTGCTTCTTTCAAATAGCTCTTTTAAACATCACTTTGTTAATTTATTTACTTTTTTAAGAAAGCATACTTATACTAGCCTTTTGTTATTATTTTAAAATAAATGTATAGGGTACAAGTGCAATTTTATTACAGACATATATTGCATAGTGGTAAAGTCAGAGCTTTTAGGATATCCACCAGTTGAATAATGTACATTGTACCCATTAGGTAATTTCTCATTATCCTCCCTCTCCCACACTCTCACCCTTCCGAGTCTCCATTATCCACCATTCCACTCTCTATGTCCATGTATACATATTTTTCAGCTCCCACTTATGAGTGAAAACATGGTATTTGACTGCGTCTGACTTGTTTCACTTCCGATAATGACCTCCAGTGCCATACATGTTTCTGCAAAATACATATTTTGATTATTTTATATGCCTGAATAGTATTTCATGGCCTTTTTAACTTTAAAATGATTGACCTAGATTTATATTTTATTTTTTCTCTAATTTGAGATTCTCCCACCTTCTGTCTATAAAATTGTCAATCTGTAACAATGGGGAGAGTTAAATCCTTTTTTTTTTTTTTTTCCCGAGGGTGGAAACTCTCTCATTAGGCAGAAATCTATATATGAACAGGCTGAAACCATTAAATATCTCTCATCAGTGTCAATCTCTACCCCACCAAAGAAGTTAACAGTTTTCCCTTTTAACCATTTCCTTTCTATCATTATGAGGGTGCTGTTAATATTTCTTCTATGTCCCAAATCCGCAACAGTTCCCCATCATGTACAGGATAATGTCCATAATATTTTGATCTGCTATTCATTCACTACCTTGACAACCTCTTCTCACCTTTGAAGTTGTTCAAATATAATTTCTTTCTAAGAAAGAAGACATTTCCCCCAAAATCCACTCCTGATACTTACTAACTTTTATTTCTATAGATAGCACTTATATTTATTGATAATTTGTTATATGTGTACTTTACCTGTTCCTTAAGACTATGGGAGGTGCACTAACTTTGTATACCTTCTCTATACCCTATCTCCACAGACCACACTCTATTCAACCCCTAGTATGATGCCTGGAACAGAGTAAGTTCTCTTTAGATTCACGTGGCTAATCAAGAGCTTCATGGAGCCTTTGGCTATGTCTTTACTAAGTAGAAAGAGTGTGGGCACACACACTTATTTGAATTCTACAGGCCCACATTTGAATTCTGACTACAGAATTTATGAACAGAGTGGTCTCAGGAATGTTGATTAGTCTCAGGAACATCACATTCCTGATAAGTAAACAGAAATACTGACGTTACCTTTCTTGAAGGACTGCTGTGAGAAATACATACAAAATAATGTGTATAAAGTTCTGAAATAAGATGTAGAATGAAATAGCACAGAAAATGTATTGGCTGTGCATACCTAGAACAACCATGCAACACACACACACAGACTAGAAAGGACTGATTTGAAGGCAGCTAAGAGCTGCTGAAGACACAGAACTACAGGGACTATGACTCCAGAGAGGAAGAACTTCGAAGAGTCAGAAGCAAAATGGCCTGAGAGGAAAACACAGAAATGAAGACAGTAACAAAGAACTAAGAGAAGGGCAATGAGGATAAACACAACTAAAAATTTACTGAGTAAGAACTGTACAAAACAATTAGACTTATGTTTTATGGGGTTCTGTTATATATGAAATTAAAATGTGTAAACAAAATTATACAAAAGATATAAGTATACATGCAATTAAAAAGTTCTAATGTTCTAGTTTCATTTTGGAAGTGGTAAAAGTCATAATTTGTGTTAGAATGAATTAATAATGCATAGTATAGACTTTAGGGTAACCAATTAAACAATAGCAAAAGAGTAGACAATACATTTACATAAAGGGAAAATAAAGCAATATAAAATAGTATATAATGTCTTAACCTCCCTCACCTTTCTGAACTCTTATCCCCTAGTTGTCCTCTTGGAGTCTGGCAGGGACATGCCTACCTCAAATTCTTTATTTTGGAAGTTTCTCCTGCCTGGCACAGCTTTCCCTTGATATATGCATGGTTCTGGCTCTCCTCTCATATGGGTTTTAAATTTCCTGTATTTCTTCCCTTCATGATTTTCTTCTTAGCTCTCACCACTAACATACAATGTATTTTACATATTTACCTTACTGATTTCTTTTCTTGCTCACTAAACATTAGCTCCATTTCTGTTTATCTTGTTCACCACTGTGTTCCCAGTGCCTACATTTCTGCTTCACCCATAGTAGGTAATTCATAAATAGTTTTGAATGAATTGACACTTTCCTATTGGAAGGAACAGAGATAACATTGCTATGGTCTGAATGTTTGTCACCCCCAAATTTATATGTGGAAATTCTAAGCCTCAAGATGAAGCCTCTGGGAGATGATTAACCATGAAGGCTGAGTGCGATGTGTGCCTTTATAAAAGAGGTTCACAGGGAGCCGGTTTTCCCCCTCCACCATGAGCAAACACGGGGAGAAGCCTTCATCTCTGAGGAGCAAGCCCTAACCAGACACTGAATTTGCCAGTGCCTTGATCTGGGACTTCCCAGACCCCAGAACTGGGAGAAATAAAACATTTTTATTCATATGCCACCCAGTTTTATGTTATTTTGTTATAGCAGCTCAAATGGACTAAGTCAAATATTGACTTCCAATTTGGGGCAAGATGAATTTGAAATAGTCAAGAGAAAACAAGACAATATGTTATTTGGAGAATTAAGATAATACTTCAAATAGCCAACTGTCTTTTTAAAAGTAGAAACTGTGTAACTGCAGTAATTTCATTTTTAAAACCAAATGGTCTCATTTTTTAAATGAAAGGTCAGATCACATGAGCACCCAAGTAAAATTTAAGATAACAGACAGACATTAAGACTAGACTTTGAAATCTGATGTTTTCTGGAAATTAGAGGATATAGGGAAACCATGTCTGCTCATTATTTTGTTCTATATTTGAAATATTACATATGATTGGTAAATACTATTATGTACTATTTAATAAATATTTATAGATTTGTTTTGGTGGCAACTTTTGTGCATTTAGCATTTTATGAATATGCTTATATAAAACTTTATATAAATAATACATAAAAAAATCAACAGCATAAAACTAGTAAGTAAAGAAAGAAATTAGAGCACTACAGTACCAAGTTTAAAGTGAATCTTTTATTATTACATTGGGTCCAATTAAGTTTGAAATGCCATAGTTTACTAATTCTCCATTGAAACCAATTACATAAGCCAGGAATATGTCAAGACCTTAACAGCTCTTCTACCTCAGTTATTTTATGAAAGATTAGCTAGAAAACTCCAAAAATACAGAAAGCTGATTCAAAGAGGTATCACATTTGCTATTGTTTATATTTCTACCTTCCAAATCCCATGTGGAAATTTAATCCCCACTAAGGCAGTATTGACAGGTGGAGATCATGAGAAGTAATTGAGTCATAAGGTCTCCACCCTCATAATGCATTGATACATTCATAAATTAATGGATTAATAGGTTATTATATGAATAACACTGATAGCTATGTAAGAAGAGGAAGAAAGACCTGAGCAAGCATGCCTCCTCATCATAGGATGTCCTGTGCTACTTCGAGACCCTGCAGAGAGGTCCCATCAGCAGGAAGGCTCTCCCTAGATGTACCTCCTTGGACTTGAATTTCCCAGTTCCAGAACTGTAAGAACTAAACCTTATCCCACCCCCATGTCTCTTAAAAAATAAATTACCTATTTTCAAGTATTCTGTTGTAAGCAACAAAAAACTAAGACAAAATTAGGGCTGCTTTCCATTGGTAATAAAACTTTTAGAGAGGATTGCTAATCTGAAGGGAGCACTGGAGGATAGCTTTAACTTAATACTCAGTAGAGAAGTTTCTGTCTTTGTGTTTTAAGTCTATGTTAATTTTATCAGTTAAAATTGGTAGAAAAAATTGTTTATAATCACAGGAAATACTGAATATTGCATTTACTTTTTAAAAAATGTTTGTTTTTTTCGTTTTCACTTAATTCTTTTGTTATACATTTATTAAAAGAAATATAAATAAAATTGTGGTCCTTATTTAGTTAGTACCTTATTGAATTGTAAACTACATATCATCTTCATTCTTTTGTACTATCTTCCTAAGTCATAAAATGTATATTTTGTTCTTTTTCGTACCAAATATTTATTGAGTACCTACTTATTTACCAAGGACTCTTCTGTGTGCTAAGGATATATTGGAGAATAAGACCAAAAACATTCCTGAATCCAAGAGAACTATGTATTAGTTGTGTGGAGTCATGTTAATAGCATAATTGTATAATATTTAAAAGGTGATAATTGTTATAGGAAAAATAAAGCAGGTAAGGGGAATAAATACAAATAAAAGAACGGGAAATTTTAATTACGATTGCCAATGTATGACTCATTTAAAAAGTGATTTGATTTGAGTTATTTTTTGACGTGTAATGCTGCTTTGAGAATAGAGTCTAAAGAATAAGCATTACAACTGGAAAAGTGCTAGTCTTCCAACTGTGCTAATAATTGAATTATTTGGAGAAAAAAATCCGGTAAAGTTAGTGAGAAGTGGTCAGATTCTACATTTTTTTCTTAAAAAATAGAATCAAGATATTTTCCTGACAGGTTAGCTATGGGCATTAAAAGAAAAGAAGTTAAAGAAGACATGAAGCAAATGGTAGAATGAAGTGCCATTAATGAGAAGAGAAGAAATTCAGATGAATGAGTTTGTGCACAATATGAGAAGTCCATATTAATGTTTAACTGAGTGTTACAGTTCAAAATGGGAACACTGAGTCCATTAGTTGTAGATAAGAGTCTAGATTTTATAAGCTAAATCAGAGATGGAGCTATAAATTGGGGATTTTCACTATATAAGTGGTCCGTAAAGTAACAATTGTGTGGAATTACTAAAATAACGTCATATAGAGATAAGAGTTTCACAGATTCAGCTCTAAACATTCCAATATTAAAAGGATGAAGAGAAGGCATACAAGTAGCAGAACTAAATGAGTTGTAGGAGTAAGATGGAGAAAAATAGGGAGTATCGTGCCTTGAAAATTACAAACAAAGTGTATAAAAAAGAAGGAGGTGCCTTGCCAGCTTAAAGGCTGCTGACAGGTCAAATACAATGAAAACTGATAATTTGTTATTGGATTTAACAATATGGAAGTACCTGGAGATTTTGATAAGAGTATTTTAGAAGAATGAAGGTACATGACCAGATCTTCTGTAAAAAGGGCAGAATTGACCTAATATGGATTCAGGGAGTACCCTTCAATAGTAGCAGGAGGCAAAGCAACGTATATGCAGGCAGGCTGGTAAATACACAGGTGGAAGTTTCTGAAAACTTTCTTCCAATTACTTCAATTTTATCAGTGAAATATGAAGCAAAATAATGAATTGAAAATGGGGATGGAACAAAAAAATCCTATTTTTAGGTGCATATATTTCTGCTCAATCTTTTATTATTTTTCTTTAAATTCCTACATTTTGCAGAGTTTTCAAATAAGTTTTTCCCCATCCTCTATCACGGATCCTTCACAAATAATTCTGGAAGTTCAATTTATTATTTTTTATAAAATTAAATAAATAAATAATTTATTTATTAATTTTAACTTTTGCTTCAGAGAAAAACTGGCATCTAGTTTCTGTCTGTTAATCAAAATTTTCATTTATATTTTGTATAGCACCATTTCCAGGTCTAAAGCTTTTTTTATTCACAAACTACATGGACTAAACAACGTTATTGAATAAAGAAATGCCTATATATTCATTAGACACCAAGACAGAAAACACTATTTAAGTAGGAAGTTAAAAAAAATAGAGAGAATCTATATATACATATATATGTGCACATATATGTATATATGTATATGTGTGTGAGAGAGAAAGAAAGAGGGAGAAATAAAGAATTTAGAGGTGAGACTTTCATTGGGACAAGAGAAAATTGCCAGATTTAATAATAGTACCCCTGACAATTACAAAACAGAAGAATTACAATGAAGGCAACACCTATACCAACTGCATTCTCTTTAACTTACACAAGAGGTTTCAAAATAAATGAGCTTCTTTAGTCCTCAAAAGTACTTTGTGAGGTAGATACTATTTTTATTCCTACTTTACAGATGAAAACTCTAAAACTGGTAGTATATTACTTGTCCAAATTCACACAGCAAGTAAGCAGTAAAGCTAGAATTTAAAGCCAAACAGTGCTAGGTTGCAAACTTAATCACTATTATACTAAATAATTCACCTACATGGGATAGTAATATAGTTTTATTGGAAGGCTGAAGAATTACCATAAATTTTAATGGAAAGTTCTTTTTAATGTATTAGATATTTTTTGACGATCCATTTTAGTAGAATGACTTTTGTTTTCAAAAGCATATATAAACCAAAACTTAAACTATGCTTTAGCTACTGATGTGGAGGAATGATGATGATGTCAGTCTGTAAAGAACAATTCCAGCAGCAAAACATTTAATAAAGTGTTTCTCCTTGAATGCTATGATGGTATCATGCCAGTGAAAATAGAAGATTGATGTAAAAACAATGTCACTCTTAACTTGCTTAAAAAAACTTTTTATGAACATATTTCTCCTATATAAACAAAAAAGTTTCTTATATCACTATATAAAGACCTTTAAGGGTGTGTATTAGAATCATAATACTAATAATTAACATTGACTAAATGCACATTATGAGTCTATACTTTCCTAAAGCACTTTACATTTATAATGTCACTTAATTCTTGCACTAGAACTGTACATTTGGTGTTTTAATAGCTCCAGTTTACAGATGAGGAAACTGAGGAACAGAAAAGTTAAGTAATTAGTCTAAACTGAATAGGTAATAAGTGAAGCAGTGAGATAATTATCTATTATCTTATTCAAAATAGATTTAAAATGTACATTATTCTATACCAAATACTCTGGTGAAGAGCTTCTGGAAATAATAAAACCTGCATATCATGTAAGTTAGCATCAAAAAACATTATTGACTCCATATTCAACTCTTAGAATTTTCTATCCATCCCAAAACCCTTGTTCTATGTTCGTTTCTTCAACTATTATTCTGCTTAACTGATGACTCCTGTGTTTTTTTTTTCTTTTAATCTCTTTACTTCCAAAAAGATATTTCACTGAAGGCTTTACAAGGAATTCCCATTAAAATCTGAATCAATTTGTCCATTATTTTTATGCTTTTAGATTACATCTTTGCTTCATTTCATTACTTAAAAAGATTGGTGACTGCTACATGCTCTTTAATTAGTACCAATTATAGGATCAATTAAAAGGTAGAAGTTATAGAGAAGAATACCCCTTACAAAACAGTCACTTTTCTTTACAATTGGAAAGGTAGATTAACAATAGGAGAACATACTGTATTACACAAATTTTCCTCGTGTATTTTTCATATCCTATTATTTATGTGTGTAGACAGTATTCAAAAAGTGTGCTCAATCCATTCAGCTATGGAACCAAACTACATTTCTAGCCTTGAATTATTGTGCCCTTGGAAGAGATGGGACACTTTTGTTTTGCAAGGTAATCATTTAGGGATAAACTGTGTTTTTCAACTATCATATTCTATAATCATGAATCATTTTATATTGAAAAATTGATGAACTAGTTTTTTAGTGATTTATGTAGGACTGCCTGGAGATGACAAATAAGCCAATCAAACATAATTGCAGGTAAATTACTTAAATCTAAATTTTAGATATATGCATGACTTTACCATGAACATTAGAAATAGTCTAGGTTCTTTATGTTCAGGTAGCTTTAACTGCCTCAATTACTATCTGCCTTATTACGAACAAAGACATCAAATGAAAAACTTCATAATTAAAATGCCTAGCTATCCAAATGCTTTCAGCATTCCACTCAAGGCATTGCTTTTTTCCCTGCAAATTTGCTGAAAGAGAAGCTGGAATAATGGAATTAAATGAAGAACTGAAAAAATATCCAGTCTCAGCTTTAAGAAATCAATGAAACCACATTAAAATCAAGTAGTAATTTGTCAAAAATGTTTCTACATATTAATCGTTAGAAAGTTTTGCCAAGCACATGTAATCCTGAAAAAAACTGCTTCAATTGGCACAATATCCTCAGGATCAAATAATATAGCATATCATGGATATCTTTCAGGGCTATTTCTATGATATTTCAATGTAGACATTCCTTCAGAGAATACATGTAAATGCTACTATGTTTGTAAAATTGCTGATTGTAAGAGATATTTGTATTCAGAATAGAAACTATAAAAAATAGTATTAATAGCTTATAGAGATACATACAGAGTATCTTTAAAGGATCAGAAGGTAATAAAGAAAAACTATATGATTTCAGAAAGATTTATGATTATCAAAAATATAACTTTAATATTGATTTAGATTGTAATCATAACTGGACACACATATGAAATGAATTAACAGCAACATTAATTATTCAAAAAAACTGGTAAAATATTTTTAAATGGAGAACAATACATCATACATAATAAATCAGTATGTAAAAGCTGAATTAGAAAATTGTTTCTATAATACTTGGAATATTTTTGGAAACACAGGAATTACAGAATGTTAGATGTGGCATTATTATTTATATTGTGATTCACACATAATTACTATGTTTAAATACAAAATTGTATGCCATTATTTAACTGCATTAACAAAATTATGGTCATTCGTTGCCGATAAATAAACTGAATACATGATTAAATACCTTGATAAATACTTTCACACAGTATTTTTTTCTTTTGGTTGATGTTTTTCATCTTAGTTTTTTGAAAAATATGGTATTTCAAATTACTAATTTGTTTCATGAAATAATGGTCTAGTATCTCTCTGTCTGTATTTGATCTCTAGTTTTTACCACAACTATATTTTATGTACTCCCATAATTTTATTTAGAGACCTATAACCAGACTATGATTAATATTTTGCATAACCTCTTCTCCTTAACTGAATGAGATCCACAAATTTAAATTTGATTATGTGAATATCTACTATGTATAAGCTTCCATGATAAGATATTGGGCTCTGTACTCCTAATTGTGGGAGTTTTGTTTTGCTTTTGTGTATTATGATTTTCCAAAATGATAAGGTTTAATAAAGTACTATTGAAGCAAATAATTGGAGACATTTCTCCTCAGAGTTTGTATTCAAAGTAACCAAAATATATGAGGGCCATCCTCTTTTGTTCACCTGAATAGTGTCCGTTGTCTAGTTTTATTCTCTAATAAAGTAAAGCATTACCTTTTCTTCCTGGTGTCCAGTTTCCCTATATGGCTTGCCACTGAAAGCAGGTGTCAAACATTACTTTAGTCTCTTCATTTTCATTTGTCAATAAAGGGTATTCAATCTATAAAATAACTGGTATTGTATTTCACTATATGGTGAAAGTTAATATCATATTAATTCATTATGTTAGGTTGAAGCATATAGAACAGGTTCACCTTGATAAAGTAATTATATCTTGTTCTAGAACAACAGTTGCCAGAATGGATAAAAAGAATATCAAAGCCTCAATTAGTAACCATATAACTGCCCATGGGTTAACCACAAGTCTTAAACAAACAGAAAAAAAACGTGAAAAAGAGTATCATTTTGTATTTTTAAATCTCAAAATTATGCAAAACTTCTAAAGATATGTTCACTAGAAGAGATCTCTAGTAATAACAGCAGAGAGCTCTACGTTGAGTACCATTTATGTCATCTCATTTGATTGTTCCAAAAAATACTCTAAAGTAGGATTAATTTTTAGAAATAGAAAGGTTAAGTGATTTATTTGAGGGCCCTACCTTAGAAAATGATTAAGCCTGGAGTAGAAACAAAGTCCTCTAACTTAAAATCAAAATACAGTGTCCAACTGTTAAATGCATGATGAGAAGAGTTGGGTGTAAGTTGCTTTTAACTCCAAGTTTCTTTCATTTATACAACCATATATTTTTCATCTATTCTTTTCTTCCTATGTAAAAACATAATTTAGCTCCTATGACAACCAGTCACAGTCTCCCTTGGATTTGTGCACTAATGTATATTCAGAGACACTAAAGATATCTCCAATGCCACTGCATTTTCCCTAGATTCTGCCTTGGCACACAGTAGTTGCACAACAAATATTTATTTTGTGACTAAAAGAATGAACCTTCTGTGACTGTGTTTGAGAGTAATTATTTCATCTACCAGCATCGATCCAATGTTAAATGTTAAATGTGGTATGAACATTTGTGATGAACAAAGTTTCTCTTGAAGAGGTGCAACATATGTGTGATACATGCTATCTATAACATTTACATATCTATCTACTTAAAGATAAATCTGTTAATTATAAAATGTGTTATGTCTAAAGTTGTCTAAGGAGTTGGAATGTGTAAGTTTCTGGAAGCTTAAACTTTTATTTAACATATACCCACAAGAAAATAACATGCCAATATTACTAAATGACTTTTTATGATCCTCAGACAGCAAGGCCAAAATTTAGTATTGTTTGTGAAATATCTTCAACAGCTTCTTGTTGAGACCTGCATATAAAACTCAGACCTCTTTTTGAGTGTCTCTTACTATGTTATCCTTTCAGTATGTGAAATAAACAAAATCAAGAGAGTATCCAAAGTAATGTTTGATAGTAACCATGTGTTACTATCAAGCTATAGCTCTCCTTTCTTTTCACTAATTTTTCTTTAGCTTCTCTACCTCCTATTTCTATACCTCTTTAGTACTGAGCCAAACAGAAAAAGAAACTACTATTAGCGTATCTGCTATTCTTCCAGGCCAGACTGAATGTGTCTGTGGGAGTTGGCAGTGAAGGACTATAAAAAGGTGTTGGAAATAACTGTCAAAAGTCAGAAATTTGTTGAATCTGCCTTCAGCATGCAAAATTTTGAACACATGCAAACATTTCTCTAAAATGATGTTTGGAGACATGGGGGATTGGTGGCATCTCTACTAGATATGGGTCACAAACTTCAGATAATTCTATAGATCACTTCAAAAATGTTGTCTTTAACTCCTCTCTCTGGCTTCTTCCCTCTGTGGTGTTACATTGTAGCAATACTAAAAGCAGCAACTATTTTTGCCAACATCTCTGAATTGCCATTATTTCTATTGTCTACTCAAGGTAATGTGCATTTCTGATGATTGACAGCAAGGAGTACATAGTCTGCACCAAAAGAACACCTCCCCATTGTTGCAGAAACCTCCTATGATCATGCACTGGAAAATCAAATTGTGGAAGTTTATGGAAAGAACATAGGACATATTTTAACAGAGGTGAGACAATTGGAGAATTATTTTTACATTTTTTATTGGTAAATAAAATCTCCAACATGGTTATTTAAATACAGTTTGAGGTATCAATTGATTTAAGTATAGAAAGAACATTAAAAAAATGAATGGAGAGAGATTTTCCTTACAGTAGTTTACACAAACTATTAACTCAAAACAAATATAAAAGATTATATCTGTGTGTTGAAAGCAGTAGTAATCAATTGCAAGCTAAGTTGTCATTTTAATTGAAAAATCAGTAAATATAAATTGAAATAGTAATTTTTGCTTTTCTTACAAACTGGTAAGCAGAAGGAGGATTTAATTAGGAGGATATTACAAACTATACAGGAATTATCTTAGACATTTTGGAGAAATTTATGAGGACTATAAAGTTTATAAATGTGGTAGTGTAAGTGTTTCACTGTGCTAAATTAAATTGAGAAATGTATTATTCATTCACATTTTTTTCACAGTTATATTGTTAATGTGTTTTTAGCATTCATTATTAAAAGTTTTATTAGCATAATAGCCAGCCTCCAAGATGGCCCTCAATGATCCCTACCTTCAGATATTCATACCCCATAATTCTCTCCCATGTTATATCAGAGTTGTCTTGTGTGACCTGTAGAATATGGCAAAGTGATGGTATATTACTCCTGAGGTTGTGTATTGTCTTAATTGCTCTCTCTTGGATCACTAGGTCTACAGGAAGGGAAATCATTAGTATCTCTATTGAAAGGCCCACGTGATTAAGAGCTGAGGTATCTGAGCAACAGCCAGCAAGGAACTGAGGCCTCCTGCCAAAAGCCTTGTGAGTGAATCTGGAACATTAAGGAGCCAAGTCAAGTCTTCAGATGACTACAGCCTCTGCCTATGTCCTGACTGCAATTTCATGAGCTCCTGAGTCAAAATTAACCAGCTAAGATATAGCCAGTTTCCTGATTTTTGGAAACACTGTGATAAAGTACACATTTGTTGGTTTGTGCTGCTCAGTTTGAGAATAAGTTTGTATCCCCAAATAAATAATACAAAAAGAAAAATAATGGTAGTCATGTGAGGAAGAAAAGGGATAAAAAAAAGGAAAATATAAAATGTATAATCTTATAATTCATATTGTAGGTGAATGCACAAATATATTCCAATTTTGCTGAACAAGTCAGCATGAATTGAAGGAAAGAATAGTACTTCTTAAAAAATAAATAATCATAAATCATTACCCAAGCACTAAAACATCTGTGAATGACACATATCTGACTCTGATCTCTTCTTGCCTCCTGTACAAATACTGTCCTTACAATTTCATGTTGTTTTTTATGCTTACATATAATTTTATCACTTTATATAGTGATTAATATATGTGTGTATATAGAAATTCATATTGATATATTATTCTATTGGTTCTGGAATTGTATAAAACAAGTATCATACTCTGTGTAGTTTTCCTGGGTTTGATCTTTTCATTCAACATTATGTTTTTACGATTCATCCATGTTATTATATGTATCTTAATATTTATTTACCCTCTTAAATAATATTCTATAATGCTATAGATTAAATGTTTATGTCCCCCCAAAGTTCATATGTTGAAGCCTAATTCCCAAGGTGATGGTGCTTAGAAGTGGGACTTTCAGAGAGAGAGAGAGTTAAGTTGTGAGTATAGAGCTGTCATGAATGGAATCAGTACCCTTAGAAGAAAAGAGACTACAGTTATCTCTTTGTGTGTGTCTTTGTCTCTTTCCCTCTCTTCAGGCCATGTAAGGATAAAATGAGAAGGCAATTGTCTCCAGACACAGGATCTGCCAGTGTTTTGAAGTTGGAATTCCCAGCTTCTAAAATTTTGAGAAATAAATATTTGTCTTCTAAGTCTTCCAGTCTATGTTATTCTTACTCTAGCAGCCCATAATTACTAAGACATATTGTGTGAAGATACCAATATTTTATTTATCCATTTTTGTTATCAGTGGACATCAGGTTTGATTCTAAGTTTTGTTGTTAAAATCAACGCTGCTATGAACATTCTTATACGTGCCTTTTGGTCGACTTCTGAAACATTTTGTCATGCATATGAATACAGAGTAATTTTTAGGTCATAGCGTATGGGGTGCTCAACTTTAGAAGACAATGCTGAATTTTGTACCAGAAAGTTGTGTCAGTTGGCACTTTCATTGCCAAAAATAGGAGAGGTCAGTGGTGCAATACTTCTCAAGTATTTGATGTTGTCTGATTTTTTTTTTTTTTTTTTTGCTACTCCAAGGAGTGTAAAATGAAATTTCATTGTTGTCAAACATTGCTCTCACTAATCATGAAAGTGATGAGACTGAGAATCTCTTTTTATGGTGATCTTTTCTTTCCTGCTGGGGAATGACTGCATATATTTGCTAACTTTTCTACAGGGTTTCATGGTAGATTGTTTTAGAAATGACCCCAGTCGTTTGTCTCATCCCAAAGGTCTGATATCAATTTTACCCTCAAGAGTTAGGGTCTGTATTTCCTCCCATTGACTTTGAACTGACCCTTGACTTGATTTGACAAATAGAATGAGACAGAAGCAATGCTGTGTGACTTTGGGGCCCAGACTTAGAAAGCTCTTAGTACTTCTGTTTTCACTTTTCCAAAGCCTGAGCCATTAGTTAAAGAAGCCTGACTAACAAGCTAGATGAAGAAGTCACATGGAGATAAGACCTGAAAGATGTGACTACATGTTCTCACTTATAAGTGGGGGCTAAATAATAATAACTCATTAACAGAAAGAAGGAAACAACAGATATTGGGGTCTACTTGAGCGGGAGGGTGGCGGGTGAGGAGCAGAAAAGGTAACTATTGGCTACTGGGCTTAATACCTGGATGATGAAATAATGTTTACAACAACCCCTGTGACATGTGTTTACCTATGTAAAAAACCTTCACATGTACCCTCAAACATAAAATAAAAGTTAAAAAAAAAAAAAGGAGTCCCGGCCCGTTCTCAAGCATTTGGCTACTCCAGAGCAGTTGCTGGAAATGTCTCAGTCATGTCATCTTTGACTTGTCCGTTCTTGTTTGTCTGTCATGTCGATACAATGGAGCCCAGAGACAAGTTATTTCCATAGAGCATTGCCTAAATTGCAGAGTAATTTAAAAAAAAAAAAAAGGTTCCCGGCCGGGCGCGGTGGCTCACGCCTGTAATCTCAGCACTTTGGGAGGCCGAGGTGGGTGGATCACGAGGTCAGGAGATCGAGACCATCTTGGCTAACACGGTGAAAACCCGTCTCTACTAAAAATGCAAAAAATTAGCCGGGCATGGTGGCGGGCGCCTGTAGTCCCAGCTACTCGGGAGGCTGAGGCAGGCGAATGGCGTGAACCTGGGAGGCGGAGCTTGCAGTGAGCCGAGACCACGCCACTGCACTCCAGCCTAGGCGACAAAGCGAGACTCTGTATCAAAAAAAAAAAAAAAAAAAAAGGTTCCTGCTTTAATCCAATAAATGGTGGGTTGGTTTGTTATATAGCAACAGATTATTAAAACACTGTTTTCTTATTAAACATTCTTTATATTTTTCATGCCAGTGTTTGAGTTATATGAACTACAAATATTTTTCCCAGTTTATAGCTTGATTTTTAACTTTTTAACCTATCTTTGGGTGAATAGAAGTTTTTGAACTTAATATATCCACATTTAAAATGCTCACACTTTAATAGTGAACACTTTTGCAAATTTTCAAAAATCTACCACTTCTGAATAACAAAAATATATTCATCTGTATTTTCTTTCAAACATTTTAAGCTTTGTCTATGGTATTTCAAGTTTTAAGCCATCTGGGTTTCAATTATGGATGTGTTTTGATGGAGGAATTCAATTTCATCTTTCTTTCCATATGGATAACAAATTTTTGCTGCTCATTTCGCCACCTCAGCCTTAAATCAAAGTGGCATATTTGTGTGGATCCATTTTTGGATACACTATTTTGTTCTATATGTCAATTTGCCTAACTTTGTACACTTTTTACACTGTCTGAATTACTGTAACTTAAAATAAGCCTTGGGTTGTAGCAAAGCCATTTCTTCCATATTTTTCTTCTTGAGAGAGGGTTAAACTATTTATAGTCGTTTGCTACTTTTAAATTTTAGAATCATTGAATCTGTAGCTAAGTTTGGATCTGTAGAAAAGGAATGATATATTTATGATATTTATTCATTCTACCTATTGATATTGGATATATCTCATTATTTTAGAGTTTTAATTTTTTTAGTTAAATTATATAATTTTCTGTGCGCAGGTCTTGCACATTTATTATGGTAATTTCTTTCTTTCTTTTTTCTTTTTTTTTTTGTGATGGAGTTTTGATCTTGTTGCCCAGGCTGGAGTACAATAGTGCAATCTCAGCTCACTGCAACCTCTGCCTCCTGGGTTCAAGCAATTCTCCTGCCTCAGCCTCCCAAGTAGCTGGGATTACAGGCATGCACCACCACGCCAGCTATTACAGTAATTTATAGATGCTTTTAATTTTTCTTGCTATTTAAATTTCTAAATACTGCTTGTATGCATTTTAATTTGCTTATTGATCTATCTCATTATTCTTGCTTTAGTCTGCATTATTATTTATCTTATTGCTAATACTGATATGCCTGTAGCATCTTTTTCCCAATCCTACTTTTAAACAATCATGTCAATGGCAAGTGATGATTACTTGCTGTCTTTATAATCCTCATGCTTGTATATTTTTCTTTGTTCTAGCTATTGCCTCCTACAATGTTGAATATACATACTGATAATGGGCCTCCCCCTGATTATGAAGGAGATACGTCTCTCAATACTCATTCAGAGTTACGTTTATTGAAAACATTTTTACTTTATGATTATTAGGTTAAATAATTTTTGGCATATTCCAAATATCCTAAGGACTTCTGTCTAAGCATTTTTTAAAAGTAACAGGCATCAAATTATATCATTTTTAACAGAGTGAGACAATTCTTTTTTCCCATAATTTAGCAATTGATTCAACCATCCATTGATTTTTTTAGTGTAACAAAGTTATTTTTTATTTCTAGAGGCTTCCATTTCAGTTTTATTTCCAAGTGTTTTTCTCACACCTTGTGGAATGCTTTATTTAGAAACTGCATAAATTGTTTTTTTAAAGATTTTTTATGTAGATATTCTGTATTCTGTGATTGACGCTCAAAATATAAATAATCCACAGGATTAAAATCAGTTGCATATTGTTTCTTCAGAACTTCACTAAATATTGATGGGATTCTTGAGTGTTTAATAATCTCTGACCCTGAATTTATTGCTTCATCTAATTCTATATCGGTTCTAGGTTCTGTATTGAAGCTTTTCTCCAGAGATGTTTGCTTCAAATACTGACTTTTTTTTTTTTTTCAGACGGAGTCTCGCTCTTTCGCCCAGGCCGGACTGCAATGTTGCTATCTATCGCCCAGGCTGGAGTGGAGTGGCACGATCTCGGCTCACTGCAAACTCCGCCTCCCGGGTTCACGCCATTCTCCTGCCTCAGCCTCCTGAGTAGCTGGGATTACAGGAGCCCACCACCGCGACCAGCTAATTTTTTGTATTTTTAGTAGAGACGGGGTTTCACCGTGTTAGCCAAGATGGTCTGGATCTCCTGACCTCGTGATCCGCCCGCCTCGGCCTCCCAAAGTGCTGGGATTACAGGCGTGAGCCACCGCGCCAGGCCACTGACTCTTAAGCAGTTATCGCAGGTCCAGGTTTTTTACCATGTTGTCTTTCCTAAGGTTAGTAGCCCCACTCAAATTATCAGATATTCTGCTAGGAGCAACCACACTCTTCCTGGCTGCTTATGGGTCCTAAAGGCTTCTGATAGTTCTCTGCACCTTCATTAGTCAGGCCTGAGTCCCCAAAGTATTTTTTTCTTTCCTAACTGCCTTGTCTCTATTTGTACTACCCTAGGGTCTGTGATGCTTCCAACCCAGATCACTTTTGTATAATTGGAGACATTCTTTAATTTTATACTTAAAATAGATTTATAAAGGCCAATGAGTTTTCTTAATTAAAGAGAATTGAATGGGTAGTATTTATGAGAAGAACTGCCAGTATAGTCTGAAAATACACAATTGTAGCAAGTTGTTATGTATCTTATATTTAAAGCTTGAAAGAAGATTTTTTTTCCCCCACTAATGCTGTAAGGCCAGTGAGGGCAATCAAGGGGTCAAGGGGGCTCAGGCCTTAGTAGTTACTTCATGGATCTTAACTGACAGAAGCTCCATTGTGATAAATTGCATATGCAACTTTGGAGGTAGGGAGGAAAAGAAAAGATGGTTGGCCACACAATGATATTAACATTTTGTCTAGAAGTACTATATAACATTTCAGCTCACATTTTATTGGCCATACAAAATCACATAGGGATAGTTTAGTTAAAGTAGGAGGAATGTTTCTCCCTTATGAATGATAATACTACATATTTGTGAATAGTTGTAATGGGTAGAATATTCTCCCTTTCTATTATAAAAACTTGTTTCCCGCTCAGGTATAATATGCTTACGCCTCCCAAAGTAGGCAACCCAAAAGTCCAGCACAATAGCCATCAAGTCCTATGTTTAGGCCTTTATGATAATCTTAGACCTGGTCTCAGCCTTGAGATATATGTACCAAGAAGACAAGTAATATACTCTCCACAAATTCACGAAAGGAGGTAGTTTTGGGACAGAGGGAAGGATTGGAACCATACAGCAGCCCCTTTTCATAGCACTATTGAAATACCACAAGAAAAATATTGGGAGGAGTTTCTATATCTCACATCCTGGGAATGGAGAATGTTCTTAGATTAGGCTGAGATTTTGCTCCCGGAGAGTAGTTTCAGCCTGTCATCATCCAGTTTCTTTGTTTTCGTTTTAATTATCTTCTGTTATCTTCTTGCAGGCTGAGCAGTCTTCTCAAGACTTTTCCTACACATAGAAGACAGGGAAGTCACGGGGGGGCGGCTTTAAGTACTGAACAATTGTTTATTTTAACTTATGATTATAATTTCTCATCTAGCAGTACAACTGTTTCAGGGACTTGATGGGCTGCTTTTTTATTTGACTCCCCTTCATTGCATGTGCTAAAAACCACAGCCACAATTCTTTGGAGACATGACTAAGTATGATGGACTGAATGTGTCCCTCCCGCAAAATGTGTATGTTGAGATCCTAAACTTGAACATGATGGTATTTGGAAGTGGGTCCTTTGGAAGGTAATTAGGTTATGAGGTTGGAGCACTCATGAATGGGATTAGCATCCTTATAAGAGATACCAAGGGGGGCTTTTGCCCTCTTTTAGCCATGTAAGGATGTAATGAGAAACAAGAGTCTGAAACAAAGAAGAGGACCGTCACCTGAACCCAGCCTCGTCAGCATCTTGATCTCTGACTTCCAGCCTCTAGAGCTGTGAGAAATAAATTTTTGTTGCTTAAAAGCCACCCAATGTATGACACTTGGTTGCCAAAGTCTAAACTAAGATACTGAGTAACTACGTTTTGTGTAAGATGAGCGTATCAGTTTTCCACAGAAAATACATGCTTTATTGAAGTTGCCTCTTTCCAACCTCTAAGTCTCTGATGTCTGTTTTCATGATGGCTAAAAATTTTCTGAACTTGTTTCCTTATAATATCTTGTCTAATGCAGCCAACAGTTTACTACCTTTGCTCTTAAATTCCCTTTTCCAACCTTTGCATTCAGTAGGTCATTTGTTTTGGTAAATAAAATCTTAATAGTATGCATCTATATCCATTTGTTTATATATTGTCTCTAGCTATTTTCCTGCTATGACAGCAGCATTGAATAGTTGCAATAGAGAACATATGGCCCCCAAAACCTAGAATATTTACTATCTGCCCCTTTATAAAAAATATTTGCCAACCCTTGATCTAGAGCCAAAAGCTTATTATATGCAAGTGCTTTACCAAATTTCTGCTACTACATAACAAAAATAGATCCAATAGCATGTAACTCTAATAACTTCCAACCTCAAATAACATTTATCTCACAGTATCCTGACTTGCTTCAAAGGCTATGCCATATATTTGATGCTATTCATGAACTTCTTTTGGTTCCATTTTACCTGTCATTTCGAAGATGTTGGTTATATAATGGAAATAGCCAATCTCAAACATTGTAGCAGCTTAAAACATTGAAGTTTATACTTCTCTTATGCTACATGATGCATAGGGGTTATCCTGAGGAGTCTCCTCATTGTATTTACTTAGAGACACAGTCAAATGAAGGTCCATCTTGGTATTATATGCATTCAGGATAAGAGTGAAGAGATGGCAAAGAGCTACTGAAATCAGACGTAAGTTGGCTTTTACTGATAAAATTACTCCACTATATGACACTCTATCTTCTGTTCATATTTCATTTATCAGAGAAATCCATGTCCATGTCTGAGTAAAAATGTTTGAGTAGTATGATCCTATTATGTGCCTGAATAAACATGCTCAACTTGAGAGATGATATTTTAGGATTTCCACAACCAGGTGGTAGAATGCAGTGCAGTAACAATATTATTGCCAAGTGCAATCTAGGAATAGACTCGTATATTAAAAAAGGGTCATAATGTTATATGGAATTCTCAATCAGAACCACAAAAAGGCATTAAAATGTGTAGTAAAATAGGAAGAAAGAACAAGGGCAGCAAATAAAATATCATAACAAATATGGTAGGTATTAATCCAACAATATCAGTAATTACTTTAAATTTCAATGGCCCAAATACAAAAATTAAAATATGGAGGTTGTTATTGTATTTTTAAAAACCAAACTATATTTCGTCTACAAGAAACCCATTTTAAATACAAAGAGACATAGAGATTAAAAGTTAAGGAATATAGAAAGATATATTATGCTAACACAAATCAAAAGAAAGCATGAGTAGTTTTATTAATTTCAGATAGAGCAGAATTCAGAGCAAGGTGAGTTCTTAGCAATAAAGAGAGGCATTATATAGTTGTAAAAGGGTCAATACTACAGGGAGACATAACAATCTTTAATGTGTTTCGGCCTAAAGGCAGATCACCAAATTACATGATGGCAAAACTGATACAACTGCCTAAAGAAACAGGTGAATCCACTATTTAGTAGGAGACTTTAGTACCTGTTCAGGAGAAATATAAAATGCTAACAATCAGAAAAACAGTAAGGACATAATTGAACTCAGCAATACCGTCAATCAACTGGATATGATTGAAATCTATAGACTACACCATCCAGCAACAGCAGGTTACACATTTTTCTCAAGCTCACATGGAACATTCACCCAGATAGACCATAGTCTAGGCCATAAAACACACCTTAACTAATATCAAACAATGAAAATCAAACAGTGTCTGCTCTCATATTACAATGGAATTGGAATAGAGATCAATAACAGAAAAGGTAGCTAGGAAATTACAAGACACTTAAAGATTAAATGACACATCTCAATAAAACATGGATCAAAATGGCAATTACTTTATTTCTTTTTTTTTGAGATGGAGTCTTGCTCTGTTGCCCAGGCTGGAGTGCAGTGGTGTGATCTCGGCTCACTGCAACCTCTGCCTCCTGGGTTCAAGTGATTCTCCTGCCTCAGTCTCCTTAGTAGCTGAGATTACAGGCACGTGCCACCATGCCCAGCTAATTTTTTGTATTTTTAGTAGAGACGGGGTGTGTCACCATGTTGGTTAAGCTGGTCTCAAACTCCTGACCTAGTTATCCGCCTGCCTTACCCTCCCAAAGTGCTGGAATTACAGGCATGAGCCACTGCACCCAGCCTAAAAAAGCCAAATTTCTAAAATATTTAACTAACTAGAAATAAAAGTACAACTTATGAAATTTGTGGGATGTAATAAAAGCCATGCTTACAGTGAAATCTATAACATTGGATGCATACATTAGAAAATAAGAAAGATCTAAAAGCAACCATTTAAACTTCTGCTTTAAGAAACTAGAAAAAGTAAGCTAAATTAAATATGAAGTGAGGAAAGGAAAATAAATAAACAAGGAAAATAAAGAAATAAACTAGTGTCAGAAAAAAAGACAGAAATTGCTAATATCAGAAATGAATGATGAGACATCACTATGGATCTTACAGACATTCAATGGATAATACAGGAATTTATGTACAATTCTATGCCCACAAATTTGACTACGTAGAAAAAATAGACTAATTACTTGAAATACACAATCTGCTAAAATTCACAGAAAAAGAAATAGACAATTTGAATAGATCTTTATTATTAAAGAAATTGCATGAGTAATTAATAACCTTGCAAAAGAGAATGTACATTGTCCAAATAGTTTCACTGGTTAATCCTACCACAAATTAAAAAAAATAAATTATAACATTTTATACAAACTCCTTCAGGACATAGAAGCAGAGGAATACTTTCTAACTCATTCTATGAGGCCAGCATTGTGAAAAAGCAAAAGCAGACAAAATCATTATAAGAAATTAAAACTATGTTTTAATGTTTCTAAGGAGCATAGATGCAAAACTCTTCAACAAAATATTAGCAAATCAAATTTAACAATGTACAAAAAGAGTTACAATAACAAATGAGATTTATCTCAGCTATGCAAGGCTTATTTAACACTTGAATATCAATTAATGCAATTCATCATATCAGCAAGCTAAAGAATAAAAATTACAGGATCATATTAATAAATGCAAAAAAGCAATTGACAAAATCTAAATCTCATTTTAAACAAAAACTTTTAGCAAACTAGAAAGAGAAAGATACTTACTCAACTTGATAAATATCATCTAAAAACCACTTCCAACATCATACTCAAAGGTGAGGAGCCAGAAGCTTTCTTGCTAAGATGGGACCAAGCAAGGATGTGCCCACTCACCACTGCTTTTTAATATTATACCGAAAGTCCTACTTAATGTAATAATAATACAGGAGGTGGAAATAAATTATTTAGCCAGATAGGGCAATAAAGTCCTCAGCAGAATTTCTTTACTACCAAAAGGCATCCCCCAAAATCATTTCTTTTCTAACAAGGAGCAGCCTGAAAAACTGAGCTGCAAACATAGATAAGGAAGCTGGAGCTTGCACGTGGGAATGCCGGCAGCTGTGCCAATAGAAAGGGCTAAATCAAATTAGCAGAAATCAGTGGGGGCCAGTCATGCCCAACATGAAGGCTCCATCTTCCCTTTTTTGTTACCACATGTACAGTAAGAAAGAAATGGACAACAGCATGGTGCAGCTAGCACAGAGAATCCACCTGCATAATAAAAGATTAGGTCAGAGGCTACCAGAGATTCATGCTCTATGTAAATGGCACACCTGGTCCAACCAGTTTTTTGCACCTTGTATAATCAGGCACCACCTCCTCACCAGCTCATGTATAAAATGCCCTGCATTTCACTGCGGATCCAGCAACCTATTTTTCCGGGACCCCTCTCTGCAGCAGAGAGCTAGTCTCTTTCTTTTGCCTATTAAACTACTACTCCTCGTCTCACTCTTGCGTGTCCATGTCCTTGATCTTCATGGCCATGAGAAAATGAACCTCAGGTATCATCCCAGACAATGACACTATTACAATAAGACAAGGAAAGGAAATAAAAGGAATGCAGGTTGGGAAGAAAAAATAGATTTGTCTTTTTTTCTGTAATGACATGATCATCGGTATAAAAAATCTGAAAGAATCAGCATAAAAACTCTCAGATTAATAAGCAATTATACTGTTTGCAGGCTGCAATGATAATATGCAAATGTCAATAACTTTCCTATATACCAACAATAATGAAGTAGAATTTTAACTTAAAAATACATCATAATTTATTTGAACACCTCAAAAATAAAATACATTGACATAAGTCTAATAATATGTGCACAAGATCTGTATGAAGAAAACTACACATCTCTGATGAAAAAAATCAAAGAAGAACTGAATTAATAGATTGTTTATTGATAACAAGAGTTAATATTTGATCAATTCTTTCTAACTGATGTATCAATTCAACGCAATCCTAATAAAAATTCCGCCAACTTATTTTGTAGATGTTGAAAGACTGATTGATTCTAATGTTTATATGGAGAAGTACATGACCCAGAAAAGTCCATTCAATATTGAAGGAGAATAACAAAGCCAAGGACTAACACTACCCTAATTCAAGACTTACTATAAAACACAATAATTAAGACAGTGAGCTATTGGCAAAGGAATAAACAAATATATAAATGATACAGAGTAAAATGTCTAGAAATATATGCACATAAATTTGATATCTTGACAAAAAATGGGAAAACACTGAAGACAAGATAATCTTATCAACACATTTTGCTAGAACTGGACATCTACATGAAAAAAAGTGAAGCTAGACACAGATCTTAAGCCCTTCACAAATATTAACTTGAAATGCATCATAGGCCTATATGTAATCTCAAAAAATATAAAACACCTAGAAGATAGTACAGGAGAAAACCTACATGACTCTGGGTATGGCAATGACTTTAGATATAACACCAAACAAATTATCTATGAAAGAAGTTTTATTGATAACTTATACTTAAGGAAAATTAGAAACTTCTTCTCTATGAAAGACAATAACAAGATAATGAAAAGACAAGCCACAGACTTGGGGAGAGGATTTGCAAAATACATATCTGATAAAAAAATGCTTTCCAAAATATAAAACTTTCTTAAAACTTAACAATAAGAAAATTAACAACCCCATTAAAATAAGTCCAAAACCTTTAAGAGACACTGTACTGAAGAAGATACACACAGAGTGAACAAGAAACTGACTATTTGGTACTATGCTTATTATCTGGGTGACTAAATAATCTGTATACCAAAACTCTGCAACACAAAATTTATCTATATAACAAATCTGCATGTGTACTCCTGAACCTAAAATAAGTTTTATTTTTTTAAAGTTGTTCAACACCATATGTAATTAGGTAATTACAAATTTAAATAATAATGAGATACTACTCTATATCCATTAGAATGGCCAAAACCTAAAAAGAAGACAACACTAAATGCTGGCTAGGATGTGGAGCAACAGAAGGTCTCATTCATTGCTGATGGGAATGCAAAGTGGACACTTTGAAAGACAATTTGGCAATTTCTTACAAAACTAAACATACTTCTACCATATGATGTAGCAAATGCACTTCTTGGTATTTACCCAAAGAAGTTGATAATAATGTCTACACAAAAACCTGCACACATATGTGCATAGCAAATTTAATCATAATTGCTAAAACTTGGAAGCAACTGAAATGCTCTTCAGTGGGTGAATGGATAAACAAACTGTGGTGCACGCAGACATTGGAATATTTTTTAGTGCTTAAAAACGTATTATCAAGCCATGAAAACACATGGAGGGACTTTAAATTTATATTACTGTATGATAGAAGACAATCTGGAAAGGCTGCATTTGTTCAATTTCAACTATCTGACATTCTGCAAAAGGCAAAACTATGGAAACAGTAAACAGATCAGTGATTGCCAGGGATTAGAGAAAATAATGAGATGAATAGGCAAAGCACAATTTTTAGGCAGTGAAACTATTCAGTATGATACTGAAATGGTGGATACGTGTCATTCATTGTACATTTCTCCAAATGCCAATCACGTTCCTATATACCAACAATAAAAAAGTGGCATTTTAAGCTAAAAATGCACTACTATTTATATTAACATCCCCAAAATGAAACACATTGATATAAATCTAACAAAATACGTACAAAAGCTCTTAGCGCTGTATTGTACAACACCAAGAGGTAACCCTAAGGTAAACTATAAACTCTGGATCATAATATTGTCTCAATGTAGGTTCAATGATTGTAATAAATGTACCCTTTCGTTATAAGATGTTGATAGTTAGGGAAGTTGTGTGTGGGGGAATAGGGATGGTAAGAAACTCACCGCACCTTTTGCTTAATTTTTGGCTGTAATTCTAAAACTGCTCTAAAAACAAATTTTATTAATTTTAAAAAGATTTTTAAAAAGGCAGACACAAACAAACATACATATGATAAGTATAATAAAGTGTAAATATTGACTCTAGATGTTCTAATAAATGCTATTTTTTATTAGCTGCTGTCATTTATGGAGGATGGGATACAGGGAAAGTATTACTAGAACTAGAATTAAATTGTCAATATAATCCAAAATAGAATCAATCTAAATCCGGATTACTACTGAGGTTAGAGAAAACATCCTATTGAATTTAAAGTTTACTATTGTGTAAATTATAAAACAGTGGGAGTACTTAAGAAACAAAATAAAATTGTGTTTCTTTAATGTTCTTTATAAAAGAATGAATATTTTATTACAAACTTTTGTTTTGTTTTCCCACTTTATTTTAGGTTCAGGGGTCTATGAGCAAGTTTGTTATATAGGTAAATTGTTGTGTCGGGGGGTTTAGTTGACAGGTGTTTGTTTGTTTGTTTGTTTGTTTGTTTGTTTGAGATGGAGTCTCTCTCTGTCCCCCTGGCTGGACTGCAGCGGGGCGATCTCCGCTCACTGCAAGCTCCGCCTCCCGGGTTCACGCCATTCTCCTACCGCAGCCTCCAGAGTAGCTGGGACTACAGACGCCCGCCACCACGCCCGGCTAAATTTTGTATTTTAAGTACAGACGGGGTTTCACCGTGTTAGCCAGAATGATCTCGATCTCCTGACCTCGTGATCCACCTGCCTCAGCCTCCCAAAGTGCTGGGATTACAGGCAGTTTACAGATTTTTTTTTTTTTGTCATCGGGTAATAAGCATAGTAGCTAATAGGTAGTTTTTACCATCTCCCTCCTCTGTTCCCCCCTCAAGTAGGCCTCAGTGTCAGCTGTTTCCTTTTTTGAATTCATGTACTCAATATTTAGCTCATATTTTTTAATAAAAACGTGTGGTATTTGGTCTTCCTTTCCTGCACTAATCTGCTTAGGATAATGGCCTCCATTTCCATACATGTTGCTACAAAGGACATGATCTTGTCGTTTTGTATGGCTGTGTAATATTCCGTGTTGCATATGTACAGACTTTATACAGTCTACTGTTGATAGGCATTAGGTTGGTTCTAGGTCTTTCTATTTTTTATGGTGCTGCAATGAACATGCAAGTGTATGTGTCTTTAGGACAGAGCAATTTATATATATATATATATACACATATATATATACATATACATATATATATATTTTTTTTAGACAGTGTCTCACTTTGTCACTCATTGTAGACTGCAGTGGTGCAATCTCGACTCACTGCAGTCTCAACCTCCTGGGCTTGAGTGATCCTCCTGCCTCAGCCCCCCAAGTAGCTGGGACTACAGGACAGGCATATGTCACCATGCCTAGCTAATTTTTGTATTTTTTGTAGAGATGGGGTTTTGCCATGTTGCCCAGGTTGGTCTCAAACTCCTGAGCTCAAGGGATCCTCCAACCCCAGCCTCCCAAAGTGCTAGGATTCCAGGTGTGAGCCACCCTGCCTGGCCAATTTATATTCCTTTGGATATATACCCAATAATGGGATTGCTGGGTCAAATGGTAATTCTGTTTTAAGTTCTTTGAGAAATCTCATCTTTTTTTTTTTTAAACTTTTTAAATAATAGCCATTCTGTGTAGTGGGAGATGAGATGGTTATCTCATTGTGGTTTTGATTTACATTTCTCTAATGATTAGTGGTATTGAGCTTTTTTTCATATCTTTGTTGGCCTTATGTATTTCTTCTTTGAAAAGTGTTTGTTCAAGTTCTTTGCCCACTTTTTAATAGGGTTGCTTCTTTTTTGCTTGAACATTTGTTTATGTTCATTGGAGATGCTGGATAATAGACCTTTGTCAGAGGCATAGGTTACAAATACTTTCTCCCATTCTGTAGGTTGTCTGTTTACTCTGTTGACAGAGTTTTTTTTTTCCCTTTTTTCTTTCCTTTTCCTTATTTTTCTTTTGCTGTACGTAAGCTCTTTAGTTTAATTAGGCCCAATTTGACAATATTTGTTTCGTTGCATTTGCTTTGGTGTCTTCATCATGAAATCTTTGCCAGGGTTGATGTCCAGAATGGTATTTCCTAGATTATCTTCCAGGGTTTGTATAGTTTTAGGTTTTACATTTAAGTCTTTAATCTATCTTCCATTGACTTTTGTATATGGTGTAAGGAAAGGTTCCAGTTTCAATCTTCTGCATATGGCTGGCCAGTTATCCCAGCATCATTTATTGAATAAAGAGTTATTTCCCCATTGCTTGTTTTTGTTGACATTGTCAAAGATCAGATGTTTGTACACACATCTTCCATTTGTCTATGTGTCTCTTTTTGTACCTGTACCATGCTGTTTTGATTACTGTAGACTTGTAGTATGGTTTGAAGTCTGGTAATGTGATTCCTCCATCTTTGTTTTTTTTGCTTAAGATTGCCTTGGCTATTTAGGCTTTTTTTGTTTGTTTCCATGTGAAATTTAAAGTAGTTGTTTTCTAATTCTGTAAAGAATGTTATTGGTAATTTGATAGAAATAGCATTGAATCTGTATACTGCTTTGTGCAGTATGGTCATTTTAGCAATGTTGAGTCTTCCTTTCCATGTGCATGGAATGTTTTTCCATTTGTTTTTTTCATATCTAACTCATTCTATGAGGCCAGCATCATCCTGATACCAAAATCTGGCAGAGACACAACAATAACAACAAAAAGAAAACTTCAGGCCAATAGCCTTGATAAACATAGATGCAAAAATCCTCAACAAAATACTAGTAAACTGAATCCCGCAGCACATCACAAAGCTATACCACCACAATCATGTATGCTTTATTCCTGGAATGCAAGATTGTTTCAACATACCCAAATCAACAAATGTGATTCACCACATAAACAGAACTAGAAACAAAAATGACACGATCATCTCAATAGATGCGAAAAAGGCTTTTGATAAAATACAACATCACTTCATGTTAAAAATCCTCGACAAACTAGGCATCTAAGGAACATAACTCAAAATAATAAGAGCCATCAATGACAAACCCAAAGCCAACATCACACTGAATAGGCAACAGCTTGAAGCATTCCCCTTGAGAACTAGAAGAAGACAAGGTTACCTACTCTCATCACTCCTATTCAACATAGTACTGGAAGTCATAGTCAGAGCAATCAGACAAGAGAAAGAAATACAAGGCATTCAAATAGGAAAAGAGGAAGTCAAACTACCTTTATTTGCAGATGATATGCTTCTACACATAGAAAACCCCATAGTCTCTGCCCAAAACCTCCTAAATATACAAACAACTTCAGAAAAGTTTTAGGATACAAGATCAATGTACAAAAATTAGTAGCATTTCTATAAACCAACAATATCCAAGCTGAGAGCCAAATAAAAAATCCAGTCATGTTCACAATGGCCACAGAAAGAATAAAATACCTAGGAATACAGCTAACCACAGAGGTGAAAAGTCTCTACAATGAGAATTACAAAATAAGGTTTAAAGAAATCAGAGCTAACAAACTGTTGAAAGATAAAATATTTTAAAACTCCTGACTTATTTACATTGATACAATCCTTTTTAGAGCTCAGTTGCAACCTGTTTAGCAATACTTCACAAATTATATCTCATGCTAATGATAACTCATTTATTTTCACATCATGAACCTTATGTGGTTTTCTTTTTTAAAAAGTGTTTTATATTTTCTTTTAAAATCTTTGAAGCCAATTATGAATTGCTATGAAATGTTTTCTCATTTATAAATTTTGGCCCATAGGCATTTTAAAAAATAACTGAGCATGGATCAGTAGTTCCTCAGAAAATGTACTGCTATTATTAAATTATGAAATAGTCAAGCATATATTTTAGTATGTTATTTTTACACATTCTTTCTTAAAATTTGAACATGTAATCAAAACTATATTATATACAGTAGACTTCAAATGCAGTTGCACATCATCCACATATCAGAAATGGTTTATATTAAATTAGAACTAAGAATAAGAAGGTTTATTCTACAGATCTCAAATATGAAGCAGTAGGCTTTGGTATCTGAAAACCTGGTAAAATGTTCTAAAATGCATAGATGTTTTAAAAATCTGGGATAATGCAAAAAACCCTGTTTATTTAACCATTATGTATTTAACAAATATTTATTTATAACCATGCTCTAAGCAAAGTTCTAAGTGCTTGGAATGCGTTATTAAAAATGAAAAGACTCCTACCCTTTATATTCTAAATCCAGTATTATAATTACAGGAGATTGACAATAAGCAATAAAGATAAAAAATAAATTATATAGTCATTTAAATGTGGCATATGCTATGGCATGTGAACTGTATATCAAATAAAGAGAATTGGCAGTGCTGGAAAAACAATTATAATTTTAGTTATGTGTTGAGAAGAGTTCAAATTGAGATGGTGACATTTTAGGAAAGACTCAAAGAAGGGAGAAAGTTATCCATATAGACTTTCTTAATTAGTTTATACTGCTATTAAAAAAAACAGACTGGGTGACATAAACAACAGATATTTATTTCACACAGTCCAGAGACTGGAAAATCCAACATCAAGGTCAACAGATTCAGTTCCTGATGAGGATTCTCTTCTTGGCTTTCGGAAGGCAATCTCCTTGCCATGTTTTCATGCGGTGGAGAGGGAGAGTGTGCTAGTTTAATTTTCTCTTCTTATAAGAATACTAATTCTATCCCATGATCTTATCTAAACCTAAATACTTCCCAAATACAATCACATTGTAGGCTAGGGCTTCACCATATGAAGTTTGAATCTGGGTAAGTAGCAAAGTCATTATACTGGATGAGATTGACAAGGGAATGGAAAAAGAAAGAAGGATCAAAGACTTCTTAAAATGTTTCAATATTAACAGGTTGGAAAGAAGAGGAGGAACCAGAGAATTAGTCTGATTTCTTTACAAACATTTTTAATAGAAAGAAAACAAAGAGAAAGTGATGTTCAAGAAACTAAATGAAGAAAGTATATCAAGGAAAAAGCATTACTCAATTTTAAATTTCTTCTAATAGGTTAAATAAGATGAAAACAGTATTGATCATTTATTTTACTTATATTAAAGTTTTTTTAAAAATTATTTTCAAGATGGCTGAGTAGGTATATTGTTTAACAATTCTCTTCAGAAAGAAGATCAAAGTTACAGACTAATGGTTGTTATGTAAATGGAGAACTGAGGAAAGACAACAAAGACCTGTTGGAGAGTCTATAGGAAGTATCTGGGGCAAAGAAAAGGAAAGCAGCAAGAATCTGGCAGTGATTGATCCCAAGGTTCCACTGAAGGGTTAGGAGGGTCTGCTTCTCTGCTCCACTTACTCCTGCAAAAAACCGTTGACCGCCAAATTTTGGAGGAGTCCCTCTGCCACTGTGACTCTAAGCAACACTGTTGAGAGCTATTTAGGAAGTTTTTGGGGACACAGCACTATGTGGCTAGCTCATGTTGGTATACCCACACTCTCCTTAGGTATGAACTGAGACAATGGGCACCACACTGGTTGTGTGCACATGGTACAACACTGCCTTGTCTGGGGGAATTTCTGCCGTTGTGCTGCTGCATGTACCACATTCCCTGTGAACACACCCTAGAATAAACTCTGATTTTGGCAACCACAAAATACTGGTGGGTTCCTGGAGAGCTGAAGGATATCTGAAAATCTAGCCCTTGGTGTGGGTCACTGCTAGAGAATGAGGCAGTGCAGTCTGCTAAAGTTCCTTTAGGACAAAGAAAATATGGGCATGGTGCTGACCACTGAAGGGGGCCACACCTGTACCTGGGAATGGAATGTGGAAAGGTCATCTCCTGCTCTCCAAGTTCACTGTTATGGACACAACAGAGGCTTTCCCTGCTTGGGACTGGTATAAGTGCATTTCGGGACAGCCTTTCCAGTAGTTTTCACAAGAACTGCACCCCTGTTGAAATTAAGCCCATGCTCTTCATGCTAGCAAGAAGGGCAGGGAACATCTCTCCCTCCCTACACAGAGTGTCAGCATCCTACAAGAGAGGGCAAACAAGCTTCAGAGCTATCTGCAATGAACTGGGGGAAGAAGTTCTGCCCTAGGGCCATTTTGGGGGTAGCCACTAGAGAGACATTTTCACAGACCTAAGTCACACTGTAACCAGGAGCCAAAGGATAATGTCTTTATGAACTGAAGGTCATGAGCCCTGTAGCCCCCTCCACCTCTACGACTGAAGCCTCAGCACATCCCAACACAAGCTCCTCTTGAAGCTCCTCTTCAGGGAAAGCTCCTCAACACAGCATCAGGAAATTGGAAGGCAAGGTAACTCATACTTTTAACCACTGCCTACTGAACTGAAGACTGAACTACCCCACTAAATTTTTAAAAACTGTTGTCAGAACAGCTTAAGGCTAGTATATATGATAAACTTCCTGAGACTTCTGTTCTTCATGCCCCACAGAAGATAGTGTGTCAGCTTATATGCCCAATATACCTCTACAACAAGCAGCATTAGAGAAAGCCACCACATAAAAACTGTGTATAACCAAGGAACCAATACAGAGCCTTAACCCTGTGAAGGCACTCAGAAATGAAGCCAAATAATCATACACAACACACACTACGGTCATACTATCAAGGAATAAAATAATACAAAATAAAAAAAAATGTCATCCACATGGTAGCAAATTCAAAAATAAGAAGCAACAGCTCCTTCACATGAGAAGGAATCAAAGCAAGAAATCTGGCAGTACAATGAGACAGAGTGTTTTGACACCTCAAAAGGATTGCACTAGCTTTCTAGCAATGGATGCTAACCAAAATTAAATTTCTGAAGTCACAGAAAAATATTCCAAAATGTGGATTGTCAGGATGTTCAATGAGACCTGAAGAAAAATATTAAGTCAACATAAACAAGAAAAAAAATCAGAGTACGAATGATAAGATAGCTATAATTTAAAAAATTCCAAACAGAACTTCCAGAAATGAAAAATTCAATAAGAAGTTTCAAAATACAGTTGACAGCTTTAACATAGATGAGCCCAAACATAAGAAAGAATTCAGACCTTGAAGGTCATTCTTTTCAATTAACCCAGTCAGATAAAAATAAAAAAAAAAGAACTTAAAAAACACACAAAGCCTCAGAAATATGGGATTATATAAACTGATCAGACCTACAGATTATAGGCATTCTTCACAAGGAAAATGAAAAAAAATCAACTTTGAAAAGTTTTTGAGGGATTAATTCAGAAAAAATATCTTAGATCTTACAAAAATGGTAAGTATCCACATACAAAATAACCCATTGAACAAATGCAAGATAATATACAACATGAGCATCACCAAGACATATAGTAATCAGACTATCCAAGATCAATGCAAAAAAAAAAAAACTTAAAGGCGTCTGAAGAAAACTGTCAAATCACCTATAAAAGAAAACCATCTGACTAACAGAAGACTTCTCAGCAGAAACCTTACAAGACAGAAGAGATTAAGGGCCTATTTTTAACATTTTTAAAGAATACAAAGTGTCAGCCAGGAATTTCATATCCTGTCAAACTAAACTTCATAAACAGGAGAAATTAAGTCTTTCCCAGATAGGCAAATGCACAGAAAAAGTGTCACCACTAGACCAGACCTACAAAAAATGTCCAAAGAAGTTTTCAATCTGGAAATGAAAGAACAATATTCACTACCATGAAAGTACATACCACAAAGTTCACAGATCCTCCAAATCAGTTACACCATTGAGACCACAAATAAACTAGCTAACAACACTATGACGGGAACAAAACCTCACATATCAATATTGATCTTGAACATAAACTGTCTAAATGCTTCACTTAGAAGATATATATTAAAAATTGGATGAAAAAAAAGACCCAAGAATCCGCTGCCTTCTAGAGACCAATTTTATATGTAAAGACACCCACAGGCTGAAGGTAAATGGGCAGAAAAAGATATATCACATATATTAGTCCATTTAGCAATCTTACTAAAAGTGTTTCAAAATATCAAGGAGTAGGGAATCTTCTCTAACTCACTTAATGAAACCAGTATCATCTTGATAACAAAAGCTAGCAAGGACACAACAAAAAGAAAACTAAAGGTCAATATTCCTGATGAACTTACAAGTAAAACTTCTCACCAAAAGCCTAGCAAACTGAAACCAGCAGCACATCAAGAAGATAATTCATCAAAATCGAGTGTGTATTGTTTCAAAGATTCAAGGATGCATTAATATGTGTAAATCAACCAATGAGGCTCACTACATAAGCATAATTAAAAGGAAATCCATATGATCATATCAATAGATGTAGAAAAAAGTGTTCAATAAAATCCAACATCATAATAAAACCCTCAACAAACTAGTCATCAAAGGAACATGTCTCAAAATGAGAGACATCTATGACAAACCCACAGCCAACAACATAACGAATAGGGAAAAATTTAGCCATTCTACCTAAGAACTCAAACAAGACAAAGATGCTCAACCTCATCACTCCTATTCAAGATAGTACCAGAAGTCCAAGCTAGAGTAATTAGGCAAGAGAAAGAAATAAAATGCATCCAAATTAGAGATGAGAAAGTCGATTTATCTCTGTTTGCTAATGAAATGATCTGATAGCTAGAAAACCCTAAAGAGTAAACAAAATATCCTTAGACTTGATAAACAACTTTCATAAAGTTTCAGGATACAAAATTAACATAGAAAAATCAATTGAATTTCTATACTCCAACAACACTCAAGCTGAGAAGCAAATCAAGAATTTAATTTTATTTATAATAACCACACACAAAAAAATCTAAGAATACATTTAAACAAGGAGGTATACTATTTTTGTATTATATCTACAAAGATAATTATAAAACATTATTGAAAGAAATCATAGATGACACAAACTAATGGAAAATCATCCTATGCCCATGGATTGGATGAATCAATATTGTTAAAATGACCATACTGCTCAAAGCAGTTTACAGATTCAGTGAAATATCTATCAAATTACCAACATCATTTTTCACAGGATTAGAAAAACAAAATTTTAAAATTCTTATAGAACCAAAAAAGAGCCAGGATAGCCAAACAAATTATAAGCAAGAAGAACTCCAGAAGCATCACATTACCAGACTTCAAACTATACTACAAAGCTACAGCAAACAAAAGAGCATGGTGCAGTACAAAAATAAACATGTAGATCAATGGAACAGAATAAAGAACCCAGAAATAAGGGCACAAACCTACCACCAACTGATCGTTGATGAAGTCAATACAAATAAACAACAGGAAAAGGACACTCTCTATTCAATAAATGGTTCTTGGAAAATTGGTTAGTCACATTCAGAAGAATAAAACTGGACCCTTATCTCTCAGCATATACAAATTAACTCAAGATGGGTTACAAACTTTAATGTAAGACCTGAAACTATAAAAATCCTAGAAGGAAATCTAAAGAATTTTCTTCTGGACATTAGTCTAAGCAAAGAATTAATAACTACGACATCAAAAGCAAATGCCATAAAGACAGAGATAGACAAATGGGACTTAAGTAACTAAAGAGCTTCCACACAACAAAAGAAACCAGAGTATACAGACAAAACTAATGGAATGGGAGAAAATATTTGCAAACTATATATCTGACAAAGGACTAATATCCAGGCTCTATAAAACACTTAAACAAAGAAGTGAAAAAAATTAATCCCTTTAAAAAGTGAGCAAAGGATGTGAACACACACTTCTCAAATAAAGGCATAGAAGCAGTCAACAAACATGAAAAATGAGTTAACATCACTAATCACCAGTGAAATGAAAATTAAAACCACATTGAGATACCATCTCACATTAGTCAGATTGGCTATGATGAAAGAGTCAAGAATCAACAGATATTAATGAGGAGGTGGGAAAAAAGGGAAAACTTATACACTGTGTATGGGAAGGTAAATTTGTACAACCACTATGGCAAACATTATGGAGATTTCTCAAAGAACTAAAAATAGTGCTACCATATGACTTAGCACACTCACTACTGGATACTTACCAAAAGGAAAAGAAATTGTTATATGAAAAAGATGTCTACATTCATATTCTTATCACAGCTCTATTCATTACTCGCAAGGGCAAAATCATGGAATCAATGTAAGTGTACATCAAAGGATGATTGGATAAACAAAATGTGGTTTATGTACACTATGGAATACTATACAGCTATAAAAAGGTATAAAAGCCTGCCCTAAAAAGCAACACAGATGGAACAGGAGACTATTATCCCAAATGAAATAACTCAGAATCAGAAAATCAAGTACTGCATTTTCTCACTTATAAGTGGGATCTAAACAATGGGTACACAAAGGGGCAGAGGAAAATAATAGACACTGGTGACTCCAAAAAGGGAGAAGGTGGGAGGGTGATGAGGGTTGAAATATTACCTATTGTGTTCAGTGTTCACCATTTTGGTTGATGAGACTTAAGTAACTAAACAGCTTCCACACAACGAAAGAAACCAGAGAGTATGCAGACAAACTAGAATGCACTAGAATTCCAAACCTTACCATCCCATAATATACCCATATAACGAACATGCCCCGGGACCCCCCCGCATCTAAAATTTAAAAAAATGAAAAAATACAATTACTGGTGATTTTGAAAATAGCAGATATATTTGAAGAATTAAGTGAAGACAGTGTATCAAAAAGAAATAATTTGGAAGTGAGAATGAAAGAGAAGTTGCAGGCTACTTGAGAAAAGGAAAGAGCATGTAAAATAGCTGTTCAGAATAATAAGAGGGTAAATAAAAAAAGAGAACTATAATTTCCCCAAAGCATTAAGGTACATTTGAGTTTCACAGTGATAAATTTAAAGTGAAAACAGTCAATATGGCTTTATGTTTTTCCTCAGCTACATTTAACAATAATGTATCATTATAGTATAAGCAAATAGTTGCATTTAATTAACATCGTGAGTTAAATAAGTGGCCAGTTGTTATGCTTAATTGAAAGGTTTGTTGAGTTCAAGATATTTGAAGGAATAAGCTAGAATGTAAAAAGCTGTTGACCATTGTTAGAAAAAAATAATATTATTCTTATTAGACAGGTTACCTACCCAGCTTGTCTGGTAATGAGGATGTAGAATCTCCTAAAATACATTAGACTTATATGTTATAATGCTTTTTATCTCAGTGCTGAGATCTATATTCTGGGTATGTTAGATGCTCAATATTTCTTTGTTAGTATTTATATTAAAATGAAACAATGTAAGCAAGTAAAACCTAAAATTAGATTACATTTTAACTAGAGAAATTAAGGTAATGTTGCATTTCAAATTTAACACCTTACTGACAGCAAGTAGAGCAAAGAATTACAGAGACTAGAGACTTTTGATGACAGGTGCCCTGAATTTAATTTATCTACTACTTTATCCTTGAAAAAATACACTTGAAGGGTTTGGGTAATGCTCCAATTAATCTGAACTATATAATATTTTAAGGGACCTCTCTAAGTTTAATAAGTTATCTTTTTATTACACTCATGATTAATTTTGGGGAAAATCAAAAATAGCATCCCATCAACTAAATTGAACCACTCTAAATTAATTATACCTTAAATTCCCTCTCCCTAAGAGATTTCACTTATCAAAACAGATGTTTTTGTATCTATTGAAATGGCTTGCACAAATTTTGTATTTGAAAAAGAAAGGCATCTGCATAAAGACAATTAAAAATTTATCCCTAGAATCTATTAATTTGTCTATTTTTTCTGATTTACATTCAAATTACATGTTTAATAATGAATTTGTCATTATGAATTTTAAGTTAATAAATATGAGTCTATTCAGGATTTAGGTGTCAAGTGCTCCACAGATCGGATTATGATTCATATGTGATGCATTCATTTGTGATAAATCCAAAGACTGGAAAATCAAGAGAGAAAAAGTATGAAGATGTTATGCAGTTTAATTATGTAAATTGAATTTTGTGAAATGTGTCTACTTCTGTTTTCTTTTTCTCTTGATGGTTAGCCTTAGTTTTTTTACTTCACATGCTTTGCATTTTTTAAAAGATACGCTAGACATCGCAAATCAAAGAAACAGAGTTTTCAGAAAAGGTTGTGCTGGCACGGTGTCCTCTCCTCTGTTTATGCTTTATTCAAATCCTTTTTCTTCTGCAAGCAGACAGGAGGAGGCGATCCAGTCATGTTAGTTCAGTCTTACATTGATCTGGTCTCTGGTGCCCTTGCATTTTGGGTAGGACTTTCTATATATCATCTATATCTGATGTACTCCTGAGTGTGGCTTCTCAATTTCTGTTTGAAAGACTGGCACATCCTTAACTCCATAGCACTAAAAGACTGAAGGAGGTCCATCTCTGTCCTTTAGTGATCTCCAGCTCAGCTCATCAGCCACCTTTTTTATTCAGCCCCAAAATCTGGCAAAGGTCTTGAAGGAGAAAGGAGCAGAATGCTTGGGGACAGACCTACTCCTCCTGGCAGGCATGAGTTTTCTAACCATGATAAAAAAACAGGGAACTTTTACTCTGTGTTTTAGAAGCTATTGGCTTAGCTCTCCATGCTCCTGTAGAGCCCTCAAACTTACCAAATGGTGTATAGAAGAAAATGGCTATATGTTTGAGGCCTCTCAAGTTTTCAATGTTGTCCTCTAGATCCGTACATCTGCTAAAATATCTGCTGTTCCCTCCTTCCCATTGAAACTTTTGTATGGGCTGAACCTTAGCACAGGCCTGAAATAGACATATGCTCTTTGGGAAAAAAACCTGAATGAAAATTTCTCCTCATTTGGTAATCTTTCCTTTCTGAAATTTCAGTTTAAAATATTTTTTGGCATCTACTTTTCTCTGATGCCTTTAAAACGAGTGTTTATGCTTTATTCAAATCCTTTTTCTTCTGCAAGTAACACTAGCATGACCTATTAATTCCTACCTAAAATTAAAAATTTTACAACATATTTTGTTATTATTTCATATGGTTATTTTTCCTTTATTTACTATAATTTGCACTCAGGGAAATTAATATTTTTAAACTTGTAATAATAACAGAATAGTTATTATTAAAGTTCTCAATGAAGGGTAGACTGCAGATTTTACTTTTGGTCATAATACAACTTGTATTCAGCTAGATTTTTCTCTGATAAATCATAAAAAGTGGTCCACTTTACTTTTTGTTTTTGTTTGATTTTTCAACTCAGTATCCACTAGCAAAAAAAAATTAAAAGAGACTAATACATAAGAAAGAAAGCAAGAAAAAAAGGGAAGGAAGAAAGAAGGAAGGAAGGAAAGAAGGAAGGAAGGGAAAAAGAGGGAAAGAAGGCAAAGGAGGAAGAAGAGAAGAGAAAATGAGGAGAGGGAGGAGAGAGGGCGAGAAAGGAAGAAAAAAGGAGGAGAGAAAGGCAATAACATTTCTTCTAATAAGTCTATCAATAATCATTAGAGAAAATAAGTGGAATGAATGTGTAAATAGGTCTATTTATCAAGATGCTTAACTGTACATAATGTAGATTAAGTTGAACACATTTCAAAACATGTTTTTTTAAATTCAAAAATTCCATGCAAAATAAAGATGATTTTTGGTTCTTAAATATAGATTTTGTTTTTGTTGTTTTATAAAATAAAATCAAACTCTAGTAAGTGTTCTTTGCATTGAGCTTCTTCCTTTCATATTTTATGAGTTCATTTATTTTAGTTTTTTTTTTCCTTTTTAACACTTAATTCACTGTTTTCAGTAAATTATATACCATCACAAGGTGAATCTTGAGGCTTCAGAAATAAAATCTAAGTATAGATTCAAGTCCTTTTACAGATGTTATACAAATAGATGGAAAGTGTTCGTTCCAATCAGTTAAAACTCTAGCTAGACTGCTATGAGTAGAAGTGGTCAAAAGATCTTCTATAAATGTTTAATTAGATAAACTGCAATTTAAGTATTATGCAAAACCGACAATTCATTTCAAAATGTACTTTGTATTTCTGCTTCTCATATGTACTTTTCTTATGTTGTCTCAGACAACAAGGGAATCAAATTAGAAATCAAGACTAAGGAATTAACCCAAAACCATACAGTTACATGGAAACTGAATAACCTGCTCCTGAATGATGTTTGGGTAAATAATGAAATTAAGAAAGAAATCAAAAAGTTATTTGAAGCTAATAATACCAAAGATACAACATACCAGAATATCTGGAACACAGCTAATGCAGTGTTAAGAGGAAAACTTATAGCATATGTTCACATCAAAAAGTTAGAAAGATCTCAAGTTAACAACCTAACATCACAACTAAAAGAATTGGAGAGCCAAGAACAAACCAACGCTAAAGTTAGCAAATACAAGTGTTAACTAAAATCAGAGCTGAAATGAAGGAGATTGAGATATAAAGTAAACATTCAAAGATCAATGAAACCAGGAGCAGTTTTTTCAATAAAATTTTAATAAAATGAATAGACAGCTAGTTAGACTAATAAAGAAAAAAGATTCAAAGAAACATAATCAGAAACAACAATACAAATAACCATCAGAGAATGTTATGAACACCTCTATGTATAAAATTAGAAAATCTAGAAGAAATGGATGAATTTCTGGACACACACACCCTCCCAAGAGTGAACCACAAAGAAATTGAGTCCCTAAACTGACCAATAATGAGATCTGAAATTTAGTCACTAATAAATAGCCTACCAACCACAAAAAGTTTGGGACCAGAAAAATTCACAGCTGAATTCTATCAGATGTACAAAAATGAGCTGGTACTGTACCTAATAAAACTATTCCAAAAAATTAAGGAGGAGGGACTCCTCCCTAACTCATTTTATAAAGCCAGAATCATGCTGATATTTTATATTGTTATAATCACACAATTTCTGAAAACTTGCCATGACATATTCCACTTCCTTTAGGGGTAGAGTGGTGTATATGACAGAAGATGTAAGGTTAATTAATAATTCAAAGAGTCATTTTATAATATGTTAATTAGAAAGGGTATTCATTTATTGTAAAATTTTAAAAAAAATCTGTGCTCAATATTTAGGTGGCATTCAAAATGTAATATATATATCTCTTGTATTTTGCATAAGAACATTCTGCTATTCACATATAAGTGAGATATAGTTTGTAGGTATTTATAATTGCACCTTTGCATTTTAAATTAAGAATTATTTTAATAGAATGTAAAGAAAAGAGTGTAACAAAAAGAGCCAGATGTTGGCCTTTCAATTAAGAAAACAATAAGCCTCAACAAAATAACAACCAATACCCCCGTCTCAACAAAGCAGCAAACAAAGCAAAAGCTGTAACAGATGCTGTTTTCAATATTATCAAACACTTTACATAGAAGAAACTCCCTTGAAAGTTTACCCATTAGAACATGCCAATGTTTGATTAATTCAGTTTTTTTCTCAGTGCTCAAGAGCTCAAGCAGAACACCTACTTGCCCCTGCAGTGTTAGAGGTAGAAGCAATGATCAAGTAATTTAAAAGAAATAAAATTCTGAGTCCAGATGGCTACAGGGCAAACTATAAAAGTTTTAAAGAAAGTTTAGTGTACTCATTAAAAAAGCTTTCCCTTACATATGATAGAACGTTTTACAACCTCCAGAGCAAAGAGTAACTTTCAACATAATCTCTAACACTTTCTGATTTTTGCCTATATAGTGGCTCAACATGATTCTATTACAATTCTGGTGGAATGATCCACAGATATTGCCTGTTCATCCAAGTCAAGTGCCTGTCAATGTATCACACTGTGTGTGTCTCTGTGTGTGTGCACATGTGTATACGTGTGCATGTAGCTGTTTAAGGGTCTAATTAAAGTTATGGTTACTCTCTGAAAGAAATGCACATTTAAACTCACAAAGCTGTAAAATGATGGGGAATTCTGTGAACCTTAATATTTATATGCTGTTCTCTAAAGAAGCAAGGACCCTAAAGCTAAAATGAAATACATATGAAAACTTACTACGAAATAAAAGTTACCTTTCAAATCAGAGAGGAAAGAATACTCAATAAATGATGTTGGGAAGTGTTTAGAAAAGTATATACATTAAATCCCTATCTCACGCTATTTTACAGAGAATTAATAGGGTATTAAAACCATAAATATTTTTAAATTTTTTTTAATTAGAGAAAAAAATAGGACAGCAAAAGTGTGCTCTTGGACTAGGAGAGGATTTTTTCAAAAAGACATGAAAAATAAAAGCTATAATGGGCAATGAGATAAATTTCAGCAAGTTAAAACTATAAACCTCCTCATTAGAAAAATTACTATTAACAGATTTTAAAGACTATTGGCTCTCAATTAGAAAATATTTTAATATAATAGCTGAATAATAATAAAAATCTAAAGACAGTGATATCATTATAAAGGAAAATATAAGCCCAGATTTAAACAGACATTTACAGAAACAGAAACACAAATGAGTATTAAATATATGAGAATATATTTGATTCTATTAGTTACTGGTCAAATCAAATTAAAACAGTAGTGAAACTTTATTTGACCATCAGATTGTCAAAAATTAGGAGGTAAAAATAATGATTATTGATACATATTGTGTCAAACTCCTGTCGACTCCAGTGAAGATGGTACCTGGTTCAAGAGGTGAAAAAAAAAAAAAAAAGGCCTAGAGGAAGCAGATGAGACGTGAAGTTTTATAGGGAGCTTACATACAGGGCAGACAATCCAGTGTTTGTGGGTTGAGCAGTATTATTGCATGGCCCAGTGGTGGTGGCAAAGCAAAAGAACTGCAACCACTTGCAGAAGGCATGCCATTTATATAACATTTTCAATTAGGACCATTTCCCTAACAATCTCCTTTGACAAATGTATTTGGCCACTCTTGCATTGCTATGGACGAATACCTGAGACTGGGTAATTTATAAGAAAAGAAGTATAAATGGTTCATGGTTCCACAGGCTGTACAGAAAGCACAGCGGAATCTGTTTCTGTTGAGGTAGCTTCCAATCAGGACAGAAGACAAAGGGGGAGCAGTAGATCATATGGCAAAAGCAGGAGCAAAAAAGATTTGGGGGGACAGGAAGGTGTCATGCACTTTTAAACAACCAGACCTCCTGAGAACTCCTTCACTGTGGTGAAGACAACACCAACCCATGAGAGATCCACCCCACGACCAAAATACCTCCCACAAGCCACACCTCCAGCTTTGGGGATTACAATTCGACTTGTATATATAAACTTGATATAGTTTATATCTAAACTGTATCAGCAAGCTTTATTCAACCCAACACTTGGGGCCCCAATCCACTCGGGTTCCATGGGACAGACCAGGGCTCAGAACTTCCTCACAGACAAGGAACATATCTCCAGATTGGCCACTCCCAATTCTCAAGCTTCGAACACACATTCAGGTGCATCTGCTATACAAGGTCATTCTCAGGGTATGCTGAAGGCATTGCTATCAGATACATTTATCATATAGTATATATATTGGAACAAGAGGAAATTTTACATGCAACCTATGGACTTATACATTGTTATAGCTATTTTTGAGGGTTTATATTATTTGCATAAAACTGAGAAAAATGCACACATTATGGCTTAGAAATTCTATTAGTGGGATCTACACTGGAGAAAATGAATACTCACACAATATTTGTACAAAGTTGCTCATTGCAGTACATTTCCTAATCATGACAAACCTGGAAACAATCTAAATGCCCCTAAATTGAGGAAATGTGGTATAAACTATTGTTCAGTTTATGCTTCAGTTAAAAAAAAGGGATAGTTTTGTATTGCTGGACATAGATCTTATTAAAACAATTAATTACTGAACATTAGATAGAACATAATACCATTTAGGTAAGAAAAAGGCAAACAAACATTCAATAATACTCTGCATATCTGCAGTTGCACAGAATATGTACTGTACAGAAATATTGTATAAAATTACCTCCAGGCAAAGTGTATGAGGGGCCTATGAAATATACATTAGTTTTGTGTTTATACTTAGAGTCTAAACACAAGATATCCCCAAGGTATCTCATTGTGTGTATGTAAACATTCCAAAATCTGAAACACCTCTGGTCCCAAACATTTTAAATAAAGGATACTCACTTGTATATATAACTCTCCCAACAGACTGAAAACAGTTTTATGATATATGTATAACAAGAAATATATGAGACATTCATTACAGAAAATAAACTAGTAACAAAATTTTGATGTAAACATCTACAAAAATAAATGGAATATATTAGATATGTAAAATTTCCATTTATGCCCATCAGAAACAGTTGACTATCAGTCATTTTATACAGTTGAACCTAATATTTTAGGAACTACTCACAGTCTGTTTTGAAATTATACTCTTCTCTTTTGTATGAGGTACATTATTGTGATTGATCAGTGGTCATTTACTATCAATCATTTAAAGTTACATTTAAAATTATCTATACAATTATACAAATAACTTTACTCTTGAAAAGAAAGTTTCTCAACAACACTAAAACAAAACTAGAGTCTATTTGAAAAAGGCAAACTAAAGTAAATAAAAAGATATAAAATGTACAAAATAGGTACAAAAATTCTTCAATATGATGATCAAATCATGGAATTTCAGATTGTAAAATGATAGTTTCTACTAGAAAATAGTTATATTAAATAGTATTACCCATATATAGAATTGTTAAGGATGTTTTTAGAATATCCAGAAGAGTATGGTACTTACAGAAAATATATCAGTGTTTCCTAGGCAAGCATTGGTCTATTGAAATTACATACCTAAGCACTTCATACATATTTATTGAACATTTATCATACATTAAAAACTGCTGATCACTACAAAATAGCTGTAAGACAAAAATACATGTTTAATGAAGCTTATGGTCCCTTTTATCAAAAGAAGAGATCACAAAACTTCAATCTCTGTAATAGGCCAAACTTAATTAACAAGCTACCTTGAAATCAGAACTGATCAACTAATCATTAATTGATTGATCAGTTTAATTGATCAGTTCTGATTTCAAGGAAGCTTGTTAATTGACAATTACCCACCCTGACTCTGTAACCAGAATGACTATTATTCACTGAATCACAATGACTGATATTAATCCAGTAATACCAGTTTAACTTCTGACCTCAGTGTGTGCCTACATCCATATACCTTTTCAATAATCATCAATAATTATTTTCTGAAGCCATATGTTTCATATGAAAAATGAACTCTTATCAGAGAGAGGGAAGTACAGACCACCATCTTTGTTGTTTTGCATCCTTCACTGTTGATACCTTCAGGTGCTAGAAAATCTGAGATGGTGACTAAGAATCAGAGTAGAGCTGCAGCATATGGCAGAGGCATTTGGAAAAGTGGCCAGACTATTTGTGATGTGGGTCCCTGATCCCATATCTCCTCACTGCATATGTCCTCCTGGCCTGAGTCTGCAGCCATCCTCCCCACAGAAGTATGGAGCCAGTAGCAGGTCTGCAACTTCCTGGGACAGAGATCCTAGTGGGAGGGGCGGATTGCCGTTTTTCCTGCCTACAGCCATTGCTTTTTTCTCCAGGCTCTGGAGAGTCAACAGGGACCAGAGGCTATTCCAGATCCCCAGCACAGAGCACCCATCTCAAAAAAAAGTGGCCAAACTCTTCTCCAGGTAGGTCCCAGTTTCACTTATCCTCACTGGGCAGGGACACTCGACCTAGGACTCCAGCAAAACCACACTGCTCCTGCCTGAGCACTTCAATCAGAGGCAACCCAAAAGTTAAAGAATACCCATACACAGAGATGAAAAAGAACCAACACAAAAATTCTGGCAACTCAAATGACCAGAGTGTCTTATGTTCTCCAAAAAACTGCACTAGTTATCTCACAAAGGTTCTTAACCAGACTGAGTTGGCTGAAATGACAGAAAGAGAAATCATAATATGGATAGAAATGAAGATCAGAAAACAAACACTGACAATATAATGACATAGAAGATGACAGATGAAACACCCAGTATAAAAACAACCCTAACTGAGAGAGGTAAAAAACACTATAAGAATTTCAGAATGCAACCAAAAGTATTAACAGCAGAATAGACCAAGCTGAGGAAATAATGTCGGAACTTAAAGACTGGCTCTCTGAAATAAGACAGTCAGACAAAAATTAAAAAAAAAGAAGGAAAAGGAATGAATAAAACCTCTGAGAAATATGAAATTATGTAAAGAGCCAAACATAAGAATCACTGGCATCCCTGAAAGGGATGTAAAAAAAGCAAACAACTTTGAAAATATATTTTAGGAGGCCATTCATGAAAAATTCTCCAGCCTTGCTAGAGAGACCAACCATCAAATTTGGGAAATACAGAGAAGCCCTGCAATATCCTACACAAGAAGATGATCCTCAAGACATATAATAATCAGATTTTTCCAAGGTCAAAATGAAAGCAAAAATGTTAAAGGAAGCTAAACAGAAAGGGCAGATTATCTACAAAGGGAACCCCATCAGTCTAACAGCAGACCTCTCAGATTAAATCCTATAAACCAGAAGATATCGAAGGACTGATATGTTTTAGCTGTGTCCCCACCGAAAATCTCATCTGGAATTATAATTCCCGCATGTCAAGGGCAGGACCAAGTAGAGGTAATCTGATCATGGGGGTGGTTTCCTCCATGCTGTTCTTGTGATAGTGAGTGAGTCTCATGAGATATGATGGTTTCATAAGCATCTGGCATTTCCCCTGCTTGCACTCACTCCTTCCTGCTACCCTGTGAAGAAGGAGCCTGCTTTTCCCTTGCCTTCCACCACAATTGTAAGTTTCCTGAGGCCTCCTCAGCAATGCAGAACTGTGAGTCAAATAAACCTCTTTCCTTTATGAATTATCCAGTCTTAGGTATTTCTTCATAGCAGCATGAGAACAGACTAATAAAGTTAATTGGTACTGGGAGTAGGGTGCTGTTATAAAGATGCCTGAAAATATGGAAGCAACTTTAGAACTGGGTAACAAGCAGAGGTTGGGACAATTTGGAGGGCTCAGAAGAAGATAGAAAAATGTGGGAAAGTTTGGAACTTCCCAGAGACTTGGAGGGCTCAGAAGACAGGTAAGATGTGGGAATGTTTGGAACTTCCTAGAGACTTGTTGAATGGCTTTGACCAAAATGCTGACAGTGATATGGACAATGAAGTCTGGGCTGAGTTGGTCTCATGGAGATGAGGAACTTGTTGAGAACTGGAGTAAAGGTCACTCTTGCTATGCAAAGAGACTGGCAGCATTTTGCCCCTGCTCTAGAGATCTGTGGAAATTTGAACTTGTAAGAGATGATTTAAGGTATCTGGCAGAAGAAATTTCTAAGTAGCAAAGCATTCAAGAGGAAGCGGACCATCCCCCCTTTGTATCTAGGAAGTAACAAACTTGCTTTTAATTTTACAGGCTCACAGACAGAAGAGATTTGTCTTGTCTCAGATAAGACTTTGGACTTGGACTTTTGGTTTAATCTGGAGTGAGTTAAGACTTTGAGGGACTGCTGGAAGGGCATGATTGTGTTTAGAAATGTAAGGACATGAGATATTGGAGTGGGCAGGGGCACTTCACAATTATTCTTGAATTGTAATCCCCACATGTCAAGGGTAGGACCAGGAGGAGGTAACTGGATCATGGGGGTGGTCTCCCCCATGCTGTTCTCGTGATAGTGAGTCTCAAAAGATCTGATGGTTTTATAAGTGTCTCTTTATAAATGCTTTATAAGTGCTTGCACTCACTCCATCCTGCTACCCTGTGAAGAAGGTGCCTGCTTCTTTGTCTTTCACCATGATTGTATGTTTCCTGAGGCCTCCCCAGAAATGAGAAACTATGAGTTGATTAAAACTCTTTATTTTATAAGTTACCCACTCTCAGGTATTTCTTTATAGCAGCATGAGAATGGACTATACAGGGCCTATATTCAATATTCTTAAACAAAAAAATCCTCAACCAAGAATTTCATACCCATCCAAACTAAACTTCCTTGGTGAAGGAGAAATAAGATACTCTTCAGATACACAAATGCTGAGGGAGATTTTTTTTTTTTTTTTTTTTTTACCATCAGACTTGCCTTACAAGAGATCTTGAAAAAAGAAGTAAATATGTAAAGGAAAGACCATTACCAGTCAATATGAAAACATACTTAAGTACACAGACCAGAGACACTATAAAGCAATGACACAAACAAGCTGGTATAATAACCAGCTCACAACACAATGACAGAATCAAATCAACACACAACGATACTAACCTTGAATGTAAACAGGCTAAATGTCCCATTTAAAAGACACAGTATGGCAAGCTAGATCAAAAAGCAAGATCCAATGATATGCTGGCTTCAAAATACTCATCTCACAATAATGACACACATAGGCTAAAAATAAAGGGATGGAGGAAAATCAACACACAAACATAAAAGAGAAAAACGCTGGGGTTGCAATTCTAGGTTCTGACAAAACAGGCTTCAAGTCTACAAAGATAAAAAAGACAAAGACAGGCATTACATAATGGTAAAGGGTTCAATTAAACTAGAAGACTTAATGATCCTAAATATATATGCACTCAATACAGGAGCAGCCAGATTCATAAAGCAAGTTCTTAGAGATCTACAAAGTAACATAGACACCCACACAATAATAGTGGGAGACTTCAACACTCCACTGGCAGTATTAGACAAATCATCAAGGCAGAAAATTAACAAAGATATTCAGGACCAAGTGGATATGATAGACCTTATAGAACTCTCCATTCAAAATGACAGAATATACATTCTTCTCATTGCCAATGGCACAGACTCTAAAATTGACAACGTATTTGGACATAAACAATCCTCTGCAAATGCAAAATAAGTGAAATCACACCAAACACACTCTCAGACCACAGCACAATAGAAAGAGAAGTCAAGACTAAGAAGGTTTCTCAAAACCATGCAATTACATGAAAACTAAACAACAACATGCTTGTTAATGACCTTTGGGTAAATAATGAAGTTAAGGCAGAAACCAAAACGTTATTTGAAAATAATGAGAACAAGGCCGGGCATGGTGGCTCACGTCTGTAATCCCAGCACTTTGGGAGACTGAGGTGGGTGGACCACGAGGTCAGGAGTTCGGGACCAGCCTGGCCAACATGGTGAAACCCCATCTCTACTAAAAATACAAAAATTAGCCAGGTGTGGTGGCCTGCGCCTGTAACCCCAGCTACTCAGGAGGCTGAGGCAGGAGAATCATTTGAACCTGGGAGGTGGAGGTTTCAGTGAGCTGAGATGATGCCATTGCACTCTGGCCTGGGTGACAGAGCGAGAATCCAGCTCAATAAATAAATAAATAAGAAAATAATTAATGAGAACAAAGATACAACACACCAGAATCTCTGGGACACAACAGCTAAGATACTATGAAGAGGGAAATTTATAGCACTAAATGTCCACATCATAAAGCTAGAAAGATCTCAAGTTAACAACCTATCACACAACTAAAAGAACTAGAGAACCAACAACAAAGCAATTCCAAAGCTAGCAGAAAACAAGGTATAACAAAAATCTGAGTTGAACTGAAGGAGACAGAGAAAGGAAGAAAACCATTCAAAAGATCAACGAATCCAGGATTTGGTTTTGTGAAGACTGATAAGAGAGATAGGCCACTAGCAAGACTAATAAACAAGAAAAGAGAATATCCAAATAAACACATTTAGAAATGACAAAGGGGATGTCACCACTGATCACAAAGAAATACAAACAACCATCAAAGACTAGTATGAACACCTCTATGCACATAAACTAGAAAACCTAGAAGGTAAAGCTAAATTACTGGATACATACAACCACCCAAGACTGAACCAGAAAGAAACTGATTCCTTGAACAGACAAGAAAAGCAAATACCGCATGTTCTCACTTATTAGTTGGAGCTGAATTATGAGAATACATGGACACAAAGGGTAGAACAACAGAGACTATTTGAGGGTGAAGGGTGGGAGGAGGGAGAGAATCAGAAAAAATAACTATTGGCTACTAGGCTTAGTTCCTGGTGATGAAATAATCTATACAACTATCCTCTGTGACATAAATTGACCTATATAACAAACCAGGACATGTACTCCTGAACATAAAATAAAAGTTTAAAAAAAGTGTAATCTCACTTTTGATTAAATAAATGTAAATAAATATTAATAAACACAAGAGCTGCAAAACAGTCCTTCTATAATATTAGCTAGCACTGATTTTGTCCAAGTGTGTCCTAGGTACTTTATAAAGCGCTTTCAGTAGATTATCTGATTTAGTCTTCACAAAGCAAAATTAATGCCTTAATTGTTCTCAAGTGTCTTGTCAATTCTCAAAGGAGAGTTTGGCCTAAAAAGGTTGCTCAGTATATTTTGGATTGTTGAGTAAATGAATGAGGTGCAGAAATTAAAGAATGGAGAGGTTAACTTCCCAGGGTCACATAACTAGAAACAGATTCAACTGGGATTTCAATTTGGGATTTAAACTTGAGTCTTTTGACACCAATTACTGCCTAATTAAACATCATGAAATATTGTCTTTGTAGAGGTTTATAATTTGGGCAAAATTATGAGACAATTGGTAATACCTAGTTTTCTTACTCAGTATGATTTAGTAAAAAAATATGGGAAGTATTTGTCAATTTGCATCTTAAATATAACTGCCAGGCTGGGCATGGTGGCTCATGCCTGTAATCCCAGCACTTTCGGAGGCACAAGTGGGAGGTTCCCTTGAGCCCAGGGATTGAAGAACAACCTAGACAACATACAGAGACCCTGTATCTACAGGTTTTTTTTGTTTGTTTTCTTTTGTTTTTTTTTTGTTTTTTCAATTAGCTATGCATTGTGGTGTGCACCTCTGGGCACAGCTACTTGCAAAGCTGAGGCAGGCAGATCGCTTGAGCCTGGAAGGTTAAGGCTGCAGTAAGCCATGATAGCGCCACTGCACCAACCTGGATGACAGTGTGATACTCTGTCTCTAGAAATAAATAAATAAAAATAAAGTAAAACTGCACACTCCTTCACTTCTCAACTCACCTTTACAATTTATACTGAAGTTACTCAAAGTAATATTTTAAAATCTTTATTGGCAAATTGTCTGTAATTAGAAAAAAAAGGCCTCTCTCTATAAAGCAATAATACATTTAAAAATAAATTCCATTGTACCCTATGAATATATACAATTATTTGTTAATTAAAAAGGAAATAAAATGATCATAAAAATTATGTATCTATAAAATAATATTAAGCAATGAAATATATTAGATTTATGTGTATTTACATTAACCAAAGTCCATGCAATCTATGTAACTTTGACTGCAAATGAGAGAGAACACAACAAATACTTCTCCTACCTAAAGGCAGAGAATGCACAAGTAGTACTGAAGTCCCATAACCAAGAGATCTTACTGTTCTGCCATCCTCAAAATGTGGGTTTCATCACATGTAGCACAATGGCTGCTTGTGCTTACACAGTAACATCTGCATTATAGATATTAGGAAAAGCAAAGGGAAAGAGAAGTATACATCTTCTTCCTCTAAGTCACTGGCTCTCACAGCCTTTGAACCATTAAGTCAGCATCATCTGGTTACTTGTCTAAAATGTAAATATTCAGTCCTCAACCCAGGCTTTTTGAATCAGAAACTCCGGGGTTGGGGCCTATTACTTTGTTTCAACAAGCCTTCCAGATTATTCTGATACAGGTAATTTTTCAGTGTTCTAAAGATAGTTCTGGGAAATTTTATAAACACTTAGAATGCCTTCCAATTGTTCAGAATTTGTCATATGACCATGACAAACCGCAAATCAGAATTAAAAAAATAAAATCTACTCTGGGTAGCCACAAGAAAAGCTAAACTCTTACAGGTATATTAAAAAATAGAGAATGAATAAAGGGGGCAATAGACAGTTTGCTATATCCACAACAGAATGTTAACATTTATAAAATATAATTTCTATAAGATTACATAATATTCATAATACATAATAATCATGTATAATTGACTAAAAATCAATATATGCTATTATATTTTTGAATGTATGTTTCCATATGAGTAGTAGTATATATTGACATGTCTCCAGAGTAAGAAGATGCAGTTTGTGGAAGAGGAGACTTTTACATTTTTCTTCACACTTCTGTGCATTTCTTATTTAAGTATCATATGCTACTTTGATAATTTAAAACAAAAAAAGAGAAAATATTCCTTCAAGAGACTTAATTGGTAAATTAGCAGTTTGAGATTGAAAACAATATGTCCCAATAGAATGAAAATGAAAGCAAATATCTAAATATTGCATGTTTTGCCAATATATTTTAGGATGTGATTGTAGAAGTTGAATGGCAACTCAGTGTTCTTTTTGTATGTATAATTCAGGATAAGTCCAAAAATGATGGTATAGCTGCCAGAATTCTTGCAAGAAGTCACATAATGATTCATAAATCCTATGAGAAGGCAAAATTAAAATCAGTCAATTATATTGCTTGTTAGCAACTGTGTAACGTTTTCTGAATTATGTAGATCACTGGTCTTTGAAATATAGTCCTTGGATCAGCAGCAGCAGAATCACCAAGAAACTTGTTAGAAATTCATATTCTTGGGCACTAACGCACACCTATTCAATCAGAAACTCTATGGGTGGAGCCCAATAATCTGCCTTGAAAAAAAAAGCTCTGCAGGTAATTCTGATGGAAGCTCAAGTTTGAGAACCACTGACCTAGATAATTACATTACCCTCTTGCTTTGTTTCCCTTCTGCAAACATGTCAGTAATTGCTATGGAAATGTATTATAATACAGTCAACATGCAATTATCTCTGATATTCAGGGAGCAGAATGATTTGGACAAGAGAATACCATGGATAATCCCCACATCTCTCTTTAGCTATTAGATTCAGACTCCACCCATCCGTAGATTTTTGCCAGAGCCCCTAATGAGAACTGCAATTGACTGACTCCTGTTTCAGCTCTTTTATTTCCTGGCCCACTCTCTGGTGAAGGTGCTAATGAGCAGTGAAATAGCCTGAAGGCAAACAGCAGGAGGGAAGAGGAGAGAGCTTTGTCCCTCTGAATATTTGAGAATATACTATGATATCAGAAACAATTTTTAAAAACCCTCTCCTTCCTGTCCTAAAACTTCTAAACATGACCATATTAAATTCATTTTTAAACACTTGATAGTCAAACTTTGAGCCATTATAATGGTAGTCATATATTCTCAAGATTACTGTCTCTCCTTTCAACTCCAGGCTGATTGTTTCTCTTTTCTTTAGTTCTGTTTGACTAGTTGTTTCAATCTGTTGTCTTCTATAACTGCAGTCAACAAAGCTTTTCTTTCCTTCCCTCTATATCTCTGTAAACTTTCATCTTCTTGTTCAATTGGCTTTGAATGCTAGTCTGAAAACCTACTTAAAAACAGATGAGAAAGAAAGGAAAAGTAAAATAACATTAAATACCAAGACATTATTATACATTTAATTCAAAAGGAGTGTCAGGGTTTACAACATCAAATAAACCTCAGTTTGAAGGGCATTATTTGGCTTCTCTTTCTGTATTGTTTTCTGAAAAGTGGTAGCAAGAAAAAAAATCTTCTTAGAAATTCTTTTGTGATTTTTGTTTGAAAAGAAAAACAAAAACTCGTATTATCAACATAGTCATAATAATACTAAACTCTTCTTTTTCTGTATTTTTGTTTGATTCAAAAGATAACCCCTCCAAAAAACCAATATTATATCATTATCTCCTAAATCTTAAAAGTAATTTTATGAGGTTTCTCAGGCATATAATTGTATTGTAAGTTATCTATTACTTAGTACAGTAAAAAGGACTGGTAGTATAACTGGCATGTTTACCCAAATGATACTGATGAGACCGTTACTACCAGCATTGATGCTGAGGCCATCTCCATTGCCAGCTTGGATAGTACTATATTAATTCTAATTCTCTTCCTGTGAGGCTGAGTCATGTGCCATATTTGATGTGATTTAGCTCATTGATCTGTTAGATATCTTTGTTGAAATCAATGTGAAGCAGGGTAAATAGCAAAGATTGTAGTTCTTTAATTATTATAGTAATATTTTCGAGGTTTTACAACATAGAAATGTAAACTGAAATTCAAATACCAAAAATAATGTTTAGCTTAAGTTAACATCACTGCTTTTGTTAAAACGTACTGTAAGTCTTCCTCTTCAAAATTGCTTCCTTTAGAAGCCCTTATGTAAGTATTCTTATTAATGTTTAAGATAAGTTTGAAGTTTAAAATAATATGCTTTTTAAATTATTTTTAATAATTCTCAATATTTTCAAAGGATTATATGTTGACCCTGAATTTGAATTCTGATAGAGTAAAAAATATTTGGAACCAATTCTTGAGAATAAAGTATATATTCAAGCTTTAATGAAAATAAAACATGTTGACCAAAGAAAAAGGAATATACATTTTTGTGGCTGTATAAATTCTATATTTTGGTCTTTACATCAATTAAGAAGTAAGTTACAAGCTATGTTTTTTTTTTTTTTATGAATGGTCTGGTTTACTAATGTACTGTTTGATTGTTGATAAAAGTATATGGCAGATGCTACTTAATGTGTTAATACAGTGTCAAACCTATTCAATTTTGTAATATAATCAACCATTAACTAAGCCACCGTTATGCCACCATAATTTATGAAAAGCTGTAAAATCGGCCAGCCCCAGTGGCTCACGCCTGTAATCCCAGCACTTTGGGAGACCGAGGCGGGAGGATCACGAGGTTAGGAGTTTGAGACCAGCCTGACCAACACAGTGAAACCCCATCTCTACTAAAAATACAAAAATTAGACAGGCATGGTGACATGTGCCTGTAGTCCCAGCTACTCGGGAGGCTAAGGCAGAAGAATCACTTGAACCTGGGAGGCAGAGGTTGCAGTGAGCCAAGATCGCACCACTGCACTCCAGCCTGGGAAACAGAACGAGACTCTGTCTAAAAAAAAAGAAAATATATTTGGAAATGGAATTTTTCCCTATGAATATCCTCAAACTCTGTATTTCTATTTTGTTATCTGTGGTGCATTAAAAAGCAGCACTTTTATCTAAAATAGTTCTAGACAGCATATTCAATACCCTATTTAATCTCTGAATTCTAAATGAAGACATATTTGTTTTGCACCTGTCACTGGAAAGAAAAAACAAAGCAATAATGTATTTTGAATAAGTCATTATTAGTTTTGCTATTAAATATGTGCAACCCTAACTCTTTAAAGCCAGCAGCTGTTCTCACATAGTGGAACAGACTTTTCCATTATTTTCACAGTCCCAGACTTTATGAAAATAATTCCTACCATTGCTAATCATGCTTATCCACATGCTTAAAGAGTTGCAAACATCTGGGGATCCAAAAGTTTCTGCCTATATTTAAATCCGAATCTTGAGTATTATTATTTTTAAATACTGTAGATCCTAAAAGAAAACCTATTATAAATACTGGAATTAAAATAGCCACTACATTACAGAGTTGTTAAAATGTTACTAAATACAAACTACCCTAAAACTCAGTGGCTTAAAACAATATTGTATCATGCTCACAGATTCTGTGGATCAAGAATTCAGACAGAAGTCAGCAAGAATAATTATTTATACTCCATAATGCCTGGATACTCAGCTCAGAAAGTTTGAAGGCTGGTGGTGACTCAAGAATTTGGCCTGGAAAGGGTGTTTCTTTATTTATGTATCTAGCTCCTGGGCTGGAAATGACTTGAAGGTAAGAACTCTCACCAGCTTTCTCTCCTGTAGAGTAAATTTTAAAAGTAGAATGGCTGAGTGATTTGCTATACATCTGTTTACATGTTTAGAAAACATAGTTTTCCTAACAGGTTACACCATTTTCCATTATTACCAGCAGTGGATGGAGGAGAATATACATATGATATTAGTCATCATCATAGTTTGGGTGGTACAGATAATTCCATATGTTTTCATTATGCATTTATTATTTTATTATTTATTTTATATTTGTGGGTGCACAGCAGGTGTATATATTTATGGGATACATGAAATATTTTGATACAGGCATACAACGTGTTGAAATCACATCAGGGCAAATGTATCACCTCAAGCATGTATCCTTTCTTGGCATTAAAACAATCCAATTATAATCTTTTAGTCATTTAAAAATGTACAATATATTGTTGACTGTAGTTACCTTGTTGTGCTATCAAGTACCAGCTCTTATCATTCTACCTAACTATATTTTTGTATCTATTAACCATCCCGACTTTCCTGTCCCACCCACACCACCCTTCTCAATATCTGATAATCATCATTCTACAATACCCAAAATTTCCATGAGTTCAATTATTTTAATTTTTGGCTTTCACAAATAATTTAGAAAAAGTTTATCTTTTTGTGCCTGGCTTATTTCACTTAACATTATGACCTCCAATTCCATCCATGTTTTTGCAAATGACAGGATTTCATTATGTGTTTTATGGCTGAATAGTACTCCATTGTGTATATGTATCACGTTTTCTTTATCCATTTTTCTGTTGATGGACACTTAGATTGCTTCCAAATCTTGGCTATTGTGAAGCATGCTGCAATAAACATGGGGGTGCAAACATCCCTTGGATGATTGATCTTTGGCCTGAATTCTTTAGAAAAGTACATATCAATATTTTCACATAGATGAATTTTTCTTCTTTGTTTGGTTATTGTTAGTATTTTTACCTTATTCTACTCCCCATACTTGTTTCATTTTAGTATTTTCATTAAAGTGTTTTGGTTTCTCTTTGACTGAGGAATTATTTTTTTGCCTTACTACATTTCTAATTTTTTACAGTGTCCATGGGAAAATAAAACACACACACACGTAAGTTGGAGAGTAAAAATGGTTATCTGCAAAATCCACTTGAGAGTGTTCAGTATTTTATTGTTTTCTTCTTGTCATTTCTGACAGTGTATTGCTTTATGTAATGTATTAAAAACCTTCTGAATATAAAAATGTGATGGACCTTCTTTTAAAATATAATAATATATATCAGAAATAATATGGTCTTTTAACAAAAACCATGTGTTTTCTGACAAGATTTTTTTTCATATGCACAGAATGTTGTACGATTAGTGGACAATTCTGACTAATTTTTGGCCAAATCAATAATTGTATACTCCAAAATTAAAGGAAGGCATATTTCTGAGTAATTATCAATAAAAATTGAGAAAATTGTATTTAAATAATCTTAGAGAATCAAGTTATCTGTCTCATATATTATTTTTTGATGTTTTAATTAGAAGAACAACAGAAAATAATAATTAAGACACTAGGGATTTATTATAAAGACAAATTACAATAGTAAGTGGTAACTTAATCAAAGATATATATTGTGGAAAAGGAAATATCTATTAGTTAATTTATTCAAGGTACTAAAATATTACTAGAACACATCTAATACTGAAAATTAGGCCAGGTGCAGTGGCTCACGCCTGTAATCCCAGTACTTTGGGAGGCCGAGACAGGTGGATCTCTTGCGGTCAGGAGTTCAAGACCAGCCTGGCCAACATGGTGAAACCCCATCTCTATTAAAAATAAAAAAATTATTCAGGAGTGGTGACGGCCACCTGTACGCTCAGGTACTCAGAAGGCTGAGGCACAAGAACCGCTTGGGCCAGGGAGGCAGAGGTTGCAGTGAACCAAGATAGCACCACTGCACTCCAACTTGGGCAAGAGAGCAAAACCCTGTCTCAAAAAATAATAATAAAATAAAATAAAATTGAAAATTAAACAATGTTATGCAAATATCTTTACAGAAAATGTCATTGAAATATAGAATTGATTTTAAGAAGAATGATCAAAGATTCCTCTATCCGTTCTTTAATAAAATTCTTTACTTTGTAATAAAGTATTTTATTTACTTTGATAAACTAAATGATATTATTAACAATGTATGACAAGAATCCCAAAGATTAACATAAATAAAAGGCTATTTTTTTAAGTCGTAGGAAATCTAGATATGATTTAATGATTGGCATTTTATTTCATAGAAAAGACAATCATTTTTCCATTTATATGTGATGCATTGCACAATATACACTAATTCCTATGAAAAAATATTTTATTAAATTAAAATGTGTTTAAAGATCCATTAATCATCAAATCCAGAATAATATAAAATTCCTTTTTTTCTAATGAACACTAATTCCTGTAAAATATCTTTATTTCCTTTATCCTCCCTTCAAAATAGGCATTTGATTGACAGATGAATTCTGTCTTTAGTCAACTTACTGCCTCATGCCCTGCCAAGGTATTTAGGTAATCTAGGTATGCTCCCACCTTTCATACCTAGACTAGAGGCACATCATCTTTCTTTTAGACACAGTCTCATCATTAGTTCCCCTACCACTATCTTTTTACATTAAATATTTACTTAGTATATTTTAGTAGACAGCATGATATATTTTGCATCCATTCCCTTGCATAGCCCAGTTTAATTGAAAGCAATTTTCTTTTTACTTAAACTCTGTTTCACAAAAAGATGCCCCCAGCTCACACAGCTTTTTTTTTTGTAAATTTTAAAAGGAAGTCCCATTTGTGTGGTCACAGCCCTCCCAGAGTGCTGGACTTGGCAAAGGGGAGGCTAGATTCAATCCTACTCACCCTCTTGGCCAAGTGTGCTAAAACTTTCATTCACGTGTATTCTCTATAAACTTGCTGGAATCTAGTCTAGGCAACATCAATTTACTTAACACTAGTTCATTCTGAAAGACAGATTCTACACTGTAAATTAAAATGATTTCAACAATTTTATACTAGTTTTGAGTTGCTCATATTTTAATACTACATATTATGCCATAAACAGTGATTTTGATAAAAAGGAGGAGTGAACAATTAATTTGTATGGAGGTGATTGTTTACAATACAGTAACACAATTTTCTTCTTACTGCTTATTTCTTCCTTTACAAAAGAAATATTTAACTCTATAGTATAAACCAAGTAAAAATAATTTGGTAAAATACACAAAAGTATGAAATATTTCTCTTAGCCTTTTCTTTGATGATTTTCTTTTATTAAAATTTAAAATTTAGCTATAATAAAGAACATAATTCACCCTGAAGATATTGACATTTATAACATATTATTTACATAAAAATACATTGTTATATAAGATTATTCATACTTTGAGAACAAGGAAAGAAGCATTTGCTTAGTGTATTCAAATGTGAAATTATTTTTGAATAGTTACATGTACAATAGCTCATAAATATTTATACAATCATAAGCAAAGAAACACTTAGCACTCTGAATTTTATGATCATAGTTTTGTTAACAGTTCAAAAATTTCATGTTCTCCTTTGAGAGAGCCAGTCTGATCTATGTTTGAAATATCGGGTAAAATATCATACACTAATTTTTAAGCAAATAAGAAAATTTTGCAAGTAAAATATAAGCTGCTTTGGTTATGCCACTTGGGCTCCCTAGCCGTGAAGAATACAATATTTAAATTTTTATTTTAGAGATTAGTTTAAATTTTTTTTTCTTTTTTTTTTTTTTTGAGACTCTGGCATCTCATGTAAGCTCTTCCAAGATTCTTAAGAGAATCCAGAAGTACTTTTTGCTTATTACGAATTTCAAAAGAACACAATCCGACATGAAAAATGTAAAAAATTATAAAGGTAGAACATTTGACTGTGTTCTCTCAAACTTTTAATTTGTTAAACAACCCTGTTCATAACACTGATGATAGTTTTATGCACGCTAGTGCCTGGGAATAATTTTCAGAGGCTATAATATTTACCATTCTGAAAGACCAGCTTTAATAAATTATGAAGAATTTTCATCAAAAGTAGTATTTGCATTAGTTTGTACCAACATTTGAGCACACTTATGTATTTAGCTCTAAGAAACTTCCAAATTAAAGAAAAATAAAATGTTGACTAACATTATACGGTTTTCTGTAGTGTGCCTATGGGCATTATTATCATGCATAGTGAAACTTTTTCCTGTGCTTGATTTTTTTCTTCCTAATTAATTGTAAACGTATGCAATATTAAGAACAAAATAATTTTCAGCTACTGATGTGCATTGGTTTCACATTTAAAGACATTTATAATAAATAATATAAATGCAGATATAGGATTCAATATCTGGGTTGCAATTATTAGATAATCTGTATGTTGTGTCAATTTTTTTTTCCTTAGGCAATAAAGATCTTACCTAATAAAGATCTATGATTGGCCAGAAAAGGTGGCTTATGCCTCCAACCCAACATTTTGGGAGGCCGAGGCAGGCAGATTGCTTGAGGCCAGGAGTTCTAGACTGGCCTGGCCAACATGGCGTAACACCATCTCTAATAAAAACACACAAATTATCTGGGGGTGCTGGCACACACCTGTAATCCCAGCTACTCAGGAGGCTGAGGCATACGAATTGCTTGAACCGGGCAGGCAGAAGTTGTAGTGAGCCATGATCACGCCACTGCACTCCAGCCTGGGCAACAGAGAGAGAAGTTCTCAAAGAAAGAAAGAAAGATCTATGACCACTTTTCTACCATAATTTACTTTAATTGAGCACTTTTGAAGATGTTCTAAGACAACCTGTAAAATAACATACAAAATATGTGGAATTATATGATTATCTTAATGTGTATCAATTATTAGGTTGGTGCAAAAGTAATTGTGGTTTTGCCATTAAAAGTAATGCAAAAACCTCAATTACTTTTATGCCAATCTAACATACAATATAATCATCAGAAACAACTAATATAGCAAAATCAAATGGCCGGCATTGTTAGTAATCATTTGTAAGCAACAATAAATGAAAGCAAAAGCATAAAAACAAAAAAAAATATTTTGAGATACATTAGTTTGTAAGTCAATCACTCTAAACTTCTATGTTGTTTTATTCACATTTTAAAATAGAGGAATATAAGCATAGTAGTTCCTATGAGTTAATTTTTTTCCTTTAGTGTACCTTTAAAGCACAATAACCTTTCTTTATAGTTTTCTAGAAATATTAAGAATTGTGTGCTACTTTTGTTCTCCTTAATTAAGTATTACATTTCTCTTAAGGGCAAGTTTTTCAATTAGGAACAACTTTGCCCTTAAGCTTATTATCTATTTCATACAGAATATTTCAGTTGTAATTTCACTAATCAGTACATTTGGAAAGATTCCTCAAACACTTTTCAGCTATACAAAGTTATCTAAAACAATTTACTTTCTCTATGCCAATGTTTTATAGGCCCTTCTATTATTCAGTTTCAAATATGTAAAATATCCTTAGGATTCTTGTTACATTTGCATTATAATCCTGAGGAACTGTTTATATTTTTATTGCATTATATTATTAATTGATTCTTTTGTCTGTGCTTTTTGGACTTGAGAGAAATTGTCTGCTATCTAATAAATGTTGAGATCTTAGTCCCATTAGTTTATTGTATAAAAGATATATTAAATATTTGGACATTAATGATGTCATAGTAACAGAAAACCCACATAATTCTGGTTTGATTGGTCCACTAGTGGACAATTAACCTAAGAAGAACTATCCAGTCAGTCTTCTGTGATGTGGCTTGGCACAAAATAACAGACAGTCCAAATAAGATCACGAGGATAAAGAGGGTGAGGGGATTAGCAGAGCATTGTTGGAAATGTTGCTGGTAGATACGAGAGAGACAGTGAGACAGAGATATTGAAACATCCAAGCCTTAATATCAGAACCATGATTGTGACCTCAGGTTTTATTTTTTTAAGGTAATACAAACGTATAATTGTTCCTTGCCACCAAAATACCTAATATAAAACTTGGATAAATGGCCATAATTAAGCAACCCATAGTCCAAAAACAAATGACTGCATTATTAACACTATTAATATGATCAAAGAAGGAGAATATAACACGGGGGATAGGAAGAAAACAAAAAAGCAGTTAGGGTGTACAGTCAATTTTTCATTAGTTTTTTTTTTTTTGTATCTATGTTATAGTGAGTGAAAGTGAGTTACAAAGGCAAGATTTCTTTTTCTGTGTTGTTCTACAGTCTATCATAAGTATCTACAAAAATTTACATATTGTAATTTAACATTGTCTTCCTTCCGTTCTTCTTTTATGCTTTGATCTGCCCTAAACTCTTCCTTCCTTCCACACTTCAACAAACATGTCTTTATCCTATTAAGAATTAATTTAAGAAGTAAGGGGTAAAGAATTTTCAATAATTACTACAATATTCAAATAATTTATTGTCTGGTAGTAGAAACAGACTAAAACCAATATTTTCTGAAAAAAAAAATAATTATAAAAGAGGTTAGGGAAGAACATTTATCCTACTTTTCACATTCCCCCTTGGAGAGCCTCACTAGAGTAATACTATAGTTTATTTCCACTCTGACATTTTCTCTTACCCAGGAGTGATGTATATGATGGAGATCCTGGGAGGTGGGGATTGGCTCACTGAGCCAAGGTCTTTTTTTCTACTTTTCATAATATTTGAGATTTAAAAGGAGAGAGCTTACATTCCCTACAACTTCCTTTTTAAGTTTATTAGGGCTAATCCCTATAGGAAGAAAACTGCAATTGTTCAGTTAGGTCATGGACTAATGCAGAGATAACTATTAACGAATATACTTGGAATCATAGATGATATTATGTTCTACTTTATCCCAATATTTATTACTAATTACCTCTTGGACAGAGAATAAAGGATGATTATTAACTTTTTAAATTTTAACAACAGAGAGAATAAAGGCTGTTGAAAGAGTATTTTAATGTGACCAATTTTAACAAGCCGTTTTGATGTTATATTTTGTTGCAGCTGTATAAAATGGATATCAACACCCTAATCAGCTTTATATCTATGACATTCCCCATTTTGAGCCTCTTCCCAAGGAGCCTCATATGTTCTTTGATGTCCATTCTCAACCAACTGCATTTGCAAAATAGCCATCATTTCTGGCACATTCAATCTATTTTTCTTAATTCTCACTTTTATAATTGATGAACATTCTAGTAAAATATACATTTTAAAATTTAATATAAATAACATTATTTATTACAGATTTTAAATAAGGACACTCACTTTTGGAAATAGCAGAATAGATATTCCAAAACTAATCTCTCCCAGAGAAAAACTAGATAAAACTGGACCACACATCTAAAAATCAACAGTTGTGGATAACAATTTGGAAGTGCTAGAGAGATTATAATACAGTGAAAATTATTGGTCCAGAATCCAACAGAAGTCATAGGCACAAGTAAATGGATTACATTTTTCTAAGAACATTTTCCAATCCTGGAAAGATCACTTAGAGAAAGACTTAGAGGCACTCTTCAGGCTCTTGGGACTAGGAAGAAAGGAAAAAGAGCCCAAGAATCATTAAGGAGTGATGATACTTAGGTAACCATATTGCTATGTGTTGAGATCTAAAAGTGCTCTTTTGTAGGTAAAAGAGAGAATTAGGAAGTAGGTCTCTTTTGATAAGTCCCATTTCCTGAAGTTGGATTGAGTTGAGTGTTCGTATCCTCTGGTGAAAGTAAACATAAACTTTATCTGAAAAAATATAATAGTTTTAGGTCTTAAATTATTTGTGGAAAGAATATTGCAATAACAGTGCCCACCAAAGCTGAAGAAATAACAGCTTTACAGAAAGATGGTCATGAAAAATAAGTGCCTAGAATGAACCAAAGAAATAGAGAAGGAAAAATTCTTAAGAGACATTTAAAGATATATTTGTCTTAGATATATATTTACTTGAAGATGTAGAATGAGAAAAGTGAAAAGCCATATTAGAATATATAAATAAAAGTGTGTACTTTTTAAAAAAGATATCAAACCAGAGTGAAAGTGTTATATGAAATCCAAGCAGGAAAAATAAAAGAAATCCATACGTAGTAAAATTGCTGAAAGACAGAAAAAATCTTTAAGTCAGAATAAAATGAATATTTCAAAGGAAGATCAATAAATAAAACTGAATAATCTACATTACCAATGTTAATGTAGATAATGTTGGTAGAATATAGAATAACTTAAAATATTATTTAAAAGTCAGGTTGGCAAAATAAGTCCACCTGTAAATTTATACCAAATAACATGATATTCTAAAATTAAAACTATATATAATTTTAAAGACAAAAATTACATATGAAAACAATAAATTACCATCAGTCATTAAAGGAAATACTGAAGAGTGTTAGCTAAGTAAAAAAAAAAAATATATATATATATATGTGTGTGTGTGTGTGTTTGCATATGTGTATGTGTGTGTATGTGTATGTATCCCAAAAGAAAATTGGAGATACAAAAAGAAATAAAGAATAAATAAAATAGCAAGAACTTTCACAAATCTAAATAAGCATTTATTGCACAAAATAGCAATATTAATATCTTATATAATGTGAAAAGAAAATAGAAGCTTATAGGCCTGGAAAATGATAAAGGGAGTTAGTCTGCTCATATCCTTGAATCAGGGTAAACATATCAATTAATGTTAGAAATTTATAAAATTATATGTGTGACTACTATTCTAACAGAGAGGAAAAAGGTAATTATTAAAAAAAACCTGGATAAATAGAGGTAAACGCCATGTACATTGATTGGAAGAGAATGTTGTAATTTCTGTCAAGTCTTTTCAAATTGCATTACAGATTCAATTCAAATAAATTTTTAATGCTTTTTAGAAATATTAGCAATTTGGTTTTATAATTGATATGTAATTTCAGGTCTAAACTAGCTAAGAAATCTTTAAGGAGAAAAGTAATGCGAGAAAACGTGTTAACAATTATCAAGACTCAATATAAAAATTTGGTGTTTTCATAAAAATACATGGTTGAAATTAATCTCTAAAATGAATGGTTAATTGTATGAAACTAATAGTAGCTTAGATACTAGAAAGGAAATATTAGTGAACTTAAACAACTAGAAGCAGAAACTATATGCAGAAAAAAAGGCAAAAAAGAGTTTGAGTTATATGTAGAACAATAAGATAATATAGATGAAATAGACAATAGAGAAATTAAATGTTTAATCTTCAACATTTTCTTCTATTTCTTCTTCATCAAATACAAACGTTGATTCTTTGAAAGGATTAATACATTTAATAGACCCCTAAATAGTCTGATAAAGAGGAAAAACAAAACAGAAAAACAATAACAAGAACAGAAGACACAAATTATCAATAACAGGGATGTAAAAGGAAACCTCAATTGCAATCCTATAGACACTAAATGGATAATGCAAGAATAAAATAAATAAATTTATGCTAATTAAATTGACAAATGCAATGACAGATGAACCGTTTGAGAAAAAAGAAAACAATTTAATCAACCTACAAAGAAGAAATCTGGTTAGTTCTATATCCATTAAAAATAATTTATGTTTTTTAAAAACAACACAAATATACTTCTTACAAAGAAAGACCCATTCCCAAATGCCTTCACTGATGAATTATTAAAAAAAAACTGAAGGAAGAACTATTACCAATATTTCACTAATTATCAGAAATTATGAAAGAGTGTAACATTGGAATGCTTTCCAACTCATTTTATGGGGACAAAATATTCCTGAAATCAAAATACAGCCTTCTGAATTATAGAAGAAAATTACAGACTAATATTCTGAGAGATTCAGACAGTCTTAGAAATGGGGGGTATGTCATTCCATTTCTTTGTGTCTCCCTTAATTCCCTCCATCAATAATTGTAATCTTCAATGTGCTAGTCTTTCACCTCTTTAAGTTTATTCTTCAGTATTTTATTCTTTTTAATACTATTTTAAATGGAAATTTTCTTATTTTTCAAATAGTTCACTATTAGTATATACAAATAAAATTTATTTTTGTGTTTTGATTTTATATCTCCCAACTTTACCAATTTTTTAAAATTCTAACAGAGGTTTGGTGAAGTCTTTAGAAATTTCTACATATAAGAGGATCATCTGCAAAAGTATAATTTTGTTCTTTCTTTTCATCTGGATGCTTTTTATTTTTCTTGCCTAATTCCTCTGGTTAAGATTTCTAGTACTACAATGAATAGAAGTAGCAAGAATGCACATCCTTGTCTTGTTCTTGATCTTAGAGAAAAACATTTCAGTTTTTCACCATTGAGTATGATATTAACTGTGGGATTGTCATATGCAGATTGTATTATATTGAGGTAAATTCATTCTATATACCTATTTTCTTGGGAGTTATTATTAAGAAAGAATGTTGAATTATGTTGAATGATTTTTCTGCATCTATTCAGATGATCATGAAGGATTTTTATCCTTCATGTAATGTTTCATATCAATTTATTTGCATGCATTGAACCACTCTTGCATACCAGAGATAAATTCAACTTGGTCACCGTGTACAATCCCCTTAATATGCTGTTGAATTTGGCTTATTAGTATTTTGTTGAGAATTTTTTAATCTATGTTCATCAGGGATATTGGCATGTAATTTTATTTTCTTGTGTCTGTGACTTTGTTATCAGGGAAATGCAAGACTCAAAACATGATCTGGGAAATATTTCCAACTTTTCAATTTTTTGGAAGAGCTTGAAAAGATTTGCATTAATTCCCCTTTAAATATTTGGTAGAATTGAAATATTCAAGAAGAATGTAACCAAATGCCAAGCTAATTTGAAGGCAGTTTCTTGATGAAGAATTCTTATAGAAGAATATTTTTTTCATTCAACTTCAAAGCTCATAAATCTCATTTTTTATCTCTGTGTGAAACCGGTTAGGCATTTTCTCCTCTATTATATTAATAAGCACATCCCTTTACTAATTTCTTTTCGTGGAGTATCTGAATTTGAACCTTCCAACATTTTTAGATGGATTTCTTCTCTTGTCTCACAGAGCTGTTAATATATAAAGGCTTTTTTGGTATATTTTAATTGAGTAAAATTTACATACAGTAAAATATATAGAACTTATTTGCATTATTCACTATTTTTTGAAAAATCTGCACAATCCATGTGTGCAAGATGGAATTAAATTAAAGTTGTATTGGAAAAGTTCTATCATTAGCTCCAGAGATGGCCAGATGTTTGGTTTTTAATTACTGGTCAAGATAAGAGCAGTAGAATTTATAGTGCTGTCTACAGTCCAAAATACTTCTATTGACCTTCCAAGGCCATTTTCTTTATGAATGATATACAACTAGAACAAATAGCTAAGCTTGTCTGATATGATTATATAGTTAAAGGAATACAAGAATTACATTAGGATATTCTTTTATTACAAATAATTTCCACTTTTATTTTAGATTCAGGGGGTACCTATGTAGGTTTGTCACATGGATATATTGTGCGATGCTGAGTTTTGGGTTACAAATGATCGCATTGCCCAAGTAATGAGTATAGAACCCAATAGATAGTTTTTCAGTCATTTCTCCTCTTTTACTTTCCTCCTCTAGTAATCACCAGTGTCTACTGTTGCCATCTTTATGTTGATGAGTACGCAATGTTTAGATCCTACTTATAAGTGAAAATATGTGGTATTAGGTTTTCTTTACCTGCATTACTGTGCTTCGAATAATGGCCTCCAGCTGCATCCATTTTGCTGCAAAGGACATGATTTTGTTCCTTCTTATGGACTGATAGTTTTGTATGGCATATATGTACCCCATTTTCTTCATCCAGTCCACCATTGATGGCACCAGGGTTGATGCCATGTCTTTGCTATTATGAATAGTGTTGTGATGAACATAGAAATGCTTGTATCTTTTTAATAAAATGATTTATTTTCTTTTGGGTGTATACTCAGTAATAGGAATTGCTATGTTGAATGGTAATTCTGTTTTAAGTTCTTTAAGAAATCCCCAGACTACTTTACACAGTGGCTGAACCAATTTACAATTCCACCAACAGTGTATAAGTGTTCCTTTTTCTCTGAAGCCTCACCAGTATCTGTTATTTTTTGACCTTTTAATAATAGTCATTCTTACTGATGTGAGGTAGTATCATTTCAGTTTTGATATGCATTTCTCTGATTCTTAGTGATGTTGGACATTTTTCATGTTTGTTGGCCGATTTTATGTCTCAAAAACTGTCTATTCATGTCCTTTGCCCACTTTTTGATGGGGTTATTTATTTGCTTGTTGGATTTTTAAAGTTCTTTATAGATTCTGAATATGAAACCTTTGTCAGATGCATAATTTGCAAATATTTTCTCTCATTCTGTAGGTTTTCTGTTTTCTCTGTTGATAGCTTCTTTTGCTTTGCAGAAGCTCTTTAATTTGATGCTACTTGTCAATTTTGGGTTTTGTTGCAACTGCTTCTGAAGACTTTTTCATGAATTCTTAGCTAATTTTCAGAATGGTATTTTTAGATTTTCTTCTAGAATTGAACAATTTTGAGATCTTACACTTAAATCGTTAGCCCACCTTAAGTTAATTTTTGTTGATGGTGAAAGGTAGGGGTCTAGTTTTATTGTTCTGTATATGGCTAACTGCATTGGGATGTACTGCTTTGAACTCTTTTGGATACAATATTTCTACAGAAATCTTGGTGGTTTAATTCAGAGACATAAAATAGCCACTGTGGGAGTAAGGACGCTGGGGAGCTTGTGCATGATATGTCTCTAAGAGACCGATATTTCCTCCATTCTCTTTCTCTTGCTTCACTGTATCCCTTGCTTTTAAATAAAACACTTAGGAAAGTATATTCTGTGGAGTCTGCTAATTCTTTCTGTTATCTGAACTTGGGAAAATTTTGCAGTATGTAATTCACATCCATTCAAGATATAGATCCTCTCCCTCTTGACAGGAGGTTTCTTGTGAATATTCTCAATTTCAACACCTATCACTCATCACCTAGGAATCAATGTCCTTATTTCTTTCATCATACAATTAGTTTGCCTGTTCTAGAACACTGATTCAAACGTTTTTTTAATAAAAATCCTACTGACAATGTGCTTACATTTCCACAATAACAAAATACGTTAAATGTCCCACTGTGAGAATCACACAAAAAGCAGGATTAAATTTTAAGAAATTGTGATAATTGAAATAGCAGAAAAAAGGCTTTAATGATGTTTAAAGACATAAAAACTAGAACTGAAAATGTGAGAAAAATAACATAAAAATAAAATTAATTTACTAAATTTAAATTTTATAAGGTAACACTTAGCAGCACTATTATACTGTGCCAATATACTTAAATCTCAAAATTATAGCGCTGAGTGAAAAAAACAAAAAACAAAAAACAAAACAAGGCTGTGGATGGAGAAGCACAAAATCCTAAAATGCTGAATTCTATCATGTGGTATTTTAGATATGTAAACACAGAACACGATTTGGAAGACATCTGTGAAAATGTTAAGCATCCAATTCTTCAGTTTCTTCCTTCTTGCATGGGGGAAAGTAATACAATTGGAGAAAGGTATATAACACTTTTTAACTGTATGTATAAAATGCTTTACAACTCTAAAAATATTTATAAAATGACACAATTTAATATTTGAAAGTGTTTATAGTTGGTTTATCATTTTTATTATATTACTCTTTATAATATATTGAAAGCTTGAAATAGTTCATAAAAATAGATTATTAAACTTTATATTTGCCTAAATTAGCAAACATTAAAAATAAAATATCAACATAAAATCTAGTACTATAGAATGAGCTCATAGGATGTGAGAGTTTCCTGAGAAGTGAAAAGCTATGAGACAGTATAATTGAATGATAGTTTAACATGATAACATGCATGGTCGTTTTCTTGGTTGGTAACATTAGATGTCATTAGAAAAATATTTTACATTTAGGTTTTAAAAAGGTAGTGTAACTGCTAAGAATAAAAATGAAATGGCACACTTTCAAACAAGCAGAAGAGAAATGAATATATCTAAAGAAAGTAACCATGTAAGCGAAGAAAAAAATGTAAAGTTGTGGGCTGGTGCAGTGGCTCACACCTGTAATCCCAACACTTTGGGAAGCTTGAGCTCAGGAGTTGGAGACGAGTTTGGGCAACACATAGAAACCTTGTCTCTACAAAACCTACAAAAATTAGTCGGGCGTGGTGACATGTTCCTATAGTCCCACCCACCTACTTGGGTGGCTGAGGCTTGACAATCACTTGAACCTGGGTGGCAGATGTTGCAGTGAGCCAAGATCATGCCACTGCACTCCAGCCTGGGCAACAAAGTGAGACCCTGATTCAAAAAAAAAAAAAGGAAAAGTTGTATATTATATGTATATATGAAATAATATTGCAGGATACCTTCTGATACATTAATAATTTTAATGAGTATGGGTAAGATAAATTACAAATCCAAACAAAATTACAATTAAGAATAATTTTTTTTAAAAAAGTCCAGCCAGTAATATCTTATATAAAAGCAATACTTAAAACCAAAGCACTGGAAAGTTGTAAACAAAAGGATGAAACAAAATTACCACACATATAAGAGCATACACATTTTTTTCTTTAATATACATGGAATATTTATTATACCTGATCATATCATGTACGGGGACATCAAATAAATTTTAAGAAAATCCAAGGAAATGATATGTAGATTATGTTTATTGAATGCAGTGTAATACAAACATTTTTAATGAAAAAATTTCTAAAATAGTCCTATAGTAGAATATGTTCACTTACAAGTAACATGCTATCCAATCACTCGTTGCTTATATCTTTGCTATTCAAAGTGTTCCATGGACCAGTAGCATTTACTTTCCCTGAAAGCTCATTGGAAATATGGAATTTCAGACCCTTCTCCAGACCATCTAAAACAGAAGCTGCAGTTCGACAGCATCCCCATAATTCTTATGGACCAAACCACCATATTATCTGACCTAGACTATTACAATAAGATCCTAATTGTTCACACTAGTTATAGTGTTACTCCTTGTATGAGTCTGCTCTCATGCCACTAATACAGACATACCCGAGACTGGGTAATTTATAAAGGAAAGAGGTTTAATGGACTCACAGTTCCACATGGCTAGGGAGCCCTCACAATCATGGTAGAAGATGAAGGAAGCGAAAGGGACATTTTACATGGCAGCAGGCAAGAGGATGTGTGCAGGCGAAGTCTTCTTTATAAAACCATCAGATCTCCTGAGACTTATTCACTATCATGAGAACAGCATGGAAAAGACCTGCCCCCATGATTTAATTGCCTCCCACTGAGTCCCTCCCATGACATGTGGGGTTTGTGTGGGGACACAGCCAAACCATATCACTCCTAAAGTTTTTATCTACAATGTAGCTAGAATGAATCTTTTTAAAAGTCAAAGAAGAATGTTACACCTCTATTTAAAATCTTGTAGTGGCCTCCATTTCACCCACAGAAAATCCTGAGGTCTTTATAATGGCCTATAACATATTTCATATCCTTGTCCCTTATTAGATCCCTGGAATCAATTTCTACCTTGCTTTTCTTTGCTCATCCTAGTCCAGATTCATTGGCATTTATTCTTTATATGACATATTAAGTATGCACCTATATTTGGGCTTTGATTACCTGTCCACTTATCTGTGTTTGAAAAAGCAAAACACAAAAACTTTAATATTATTTAATTATAATTTAAATATGGATATAATATACATATTTGAGTTTCCTTGAAGTAATGAAACCAAATTAAGCCAAATGAAATGGTTTGGTGTTAATTTGCTATCATTTAGAGATTAAATGTACAATATTGATTATAAATTATTATTAAATCAAACGTTTAAACATTATCTGTAAGAAATCCTGAGCATAAGACTAAAAATAGTCTCCAGAATTTTTTTTTTTTTTTTTTTGAGATGGAGTCTCACTCTCTTGCCCAGGCTGGAGTGCAGTGGCGCGATCTTGGCTCACTGCAAGCTCCACCTCCCGGGTTCACGCCATTCTCCTGCCTCAGCCTCCCAAGTAGCTGGGACTACAGGCGCCGGCCACCACGCTCGGCTAATTTTTTGTATTTTTTTTTTTTTTTTAGTAGAGACGGGGTTTCACCATGTTAGCCAAGATGGTCTCGATCTCCTGACCTCGTTATCCACCCGGCTTGGCCTCCCAAAGTGCTGGGATTACAGGCCTTAGCCACCGTGCCCAGCCTAGTCTCCAGAATGTTGTCCCCATTGTGCCTCCTCATTTATATGGTAGTTATCTGTGCCGCTCATGTATATTTCTAGTTTTGGTCTCTCTGGGTCTTTTATGGGCTTACACTGTCCTCTATTCTGGAGTTAGCTACAGTAGACCTCCCTTATCCAGGGAGTATATATTCCAGGACCCACAGTGGATGCCTGAAACCACAAATAGCACTGAACCCTAAATACTACATTTACACACATACCTATACACACATACCTACATATAGTTTAATTTATAGTATAGTGTGTATAGCTCCTATACACACATACCTACATATAGTTTAATTTATAAATTAAACACAGTAAGAGATTAACAACAATAACTAATAATAAAATAGAACAATTATAACATTACACTCTAATAAAAGTTATGTGAATGTGGTCACTTTCTCTCTCAAAATCTTATTGTACTCTACTCATCCTTCTTCTTGTGATGATGTGAGCTGATAAAATGCCTAAATAATAAGATGAATTGAGGTGAATGTCTGTGGGGTAACTTTTGCAGTTTGAGCTGTGCTGACAAAACTAGCACAGATTTATTTTATCTTCTTTACAATTCTGTGAATAGACGATTCATTTTTACCACAGATCTTAGCAACCTCAGCATACAATTTATTTTCTTTATTGATTCACTTTTTTTTCACTTAAAGGATGTACTTTATGGCTTATCTTTAGTCAAATTGCCAGCATTACTACTCTTGTGCATTGGAGTCATTATTAAGTAAAATAAGGATTAGCTGAGCAAAAGCACTGCTATATTGTGACAGGTGATCTGATAACGGAGATGGTTACAGACCGACTAATGGGCAGGGAGAATAGACAGCATGTATACACTGGACAAAGGAACGGTTCACATGTCAGGCAGGACAGAGTCAGAAGGCATGAGATTTCATCACACTACTCAGAAGTTATGAATTATTTCTGAAAATTCCCATTTAATATTTTCTGAATGTGCCTAGAACACAGGTGACTGAAACCATGAAAAGCACAACTGCACCAAAGAGGGGGATGAGGAATCTCAACAGAAAAATAAGATGCTTAAAAATGAAAATTTCAAACTAGGAATACATTAGCTGAAAAATTTAAAAACCAATTGCTTGTGTCATTTTTATTGATACATACTTTTAGCAGCAGAAATTTCCCTCTCAGCATTAGTTTAAATATACCCCATAAATTTGATATCTTGTTTTTATTATCATTAATTTTTAGAAACTCTGTAACTACTGTTTTTGTTTCCTATTTTACCAAAAAAAATTCGTTAATGAAATATTTTTAAATTATTAAAAGGTTAAAAATTAAAAGGTTTTATTTTTTCATTTCTCGTTTCATTGCATTGTTTTGTTTGTAAATGTGTATTTTATGGAAACTTTTTATTACTTTTTGCTCTATGATATGATCAATTTAGGGAATCATTCTACATGTTTTCTAGAAGAAGATATGTTCCCTATGATATAGTATAGTATTTGATGTATTTCCAAGTATTTACTTCATGGTTTTATTTACATCTTTTTTTAAATTACTATACTTTAAGTTCTGGGATACATATGCAGAATGTGCAGGTTTGTTACATAGGTATACGTGTGCCATAGTAGTTTGCTGCACCCATCAACCCATCATCTACATTAGGTATTTCTCCTAATGCTATCCCTCCCCTAGCCCTCCACCCTGCAATAGGCTCCAGTGTGTGTTGTTCCCCTACCTGTGTCCATGTGTTCTCATTTTTCAGCTCCCAGTTATGAGTGAGAACATGCAGTGTTTGGTTTTCTGTTCCTGTGTTAGTTTGCTGAGAAAGATGGTTTCTAGCTTCATCCATGTCCCTGCAAAGGACATGAACTCATCCTTTTTTATCACTGCATAGTATTCCATGATGTATATGTACCACATTTTCTTTGTCCAATCTATCATTGATGGGCATTTGGGTTGTTTCCAAGTCTTTGGTATTGTGAATAGTGCTGCAATAAACATTTATATCCTTTCTTGGTTTCTGTTCACTTGTCTTGTCTGGTCAGAAATGACATGTTGTAGCTTCACTGTAAATGTCAATTTTATCATTGCAAAGTATTGTTTGTGTCTAACTTAACTAACTTTTGTCTAACTTTCATAGTGAAATCTCTAACATCGAGTATCAGGATTGGTAAATTTTGCTTTTCTTATTATTTATATTTTTCTGACAAGTATTTCTCCATGCCTACAATTTTAGTTTTTTAATCAATGTATTTTTAATTCATTTCTGAGCATACTTGAAAATATTTTTCTCTTTGAAAACCATGTATGCTCATTCATATTTATTGATGACTATTATGTTGGTCTCAGTACCATATACGATGTGCTGTGTTTCTTTCACCATTTGGTGTGTTCTGTTTGTTTTCTAAAACTGTTACTTATATGGGAAGGTATGTATTTTTATTCTATGAGTTTTCTATTTTTTGTAATAATTTTTAATTTTACCTTAATCTAATTTTCTCACTTAAGCTTTTACTATCTGTCAGTTTCAAAAGGAAGCCTTTGACTCCCAAATGTTATCTAAAGAGCAGTCAATAAGCTTATTAGCCTTTCCCCTGTTACTCTCCTCCTTTCTACCACTTTTATTTATATCATTCTAGTCTGTCAGACTACACATTGCTTACATATATTTTCAATCCATGACCCCACCTTGTTTAGTCTTATCTCCGCCATTATATATATATATATATGTTCAACATAAGTTTTCCCTACTATCTTTTTTGGGATAAATGCCATCTTGTTTTTGATTCCATGGAAAGAGCACAGTTGTATGGTATTTTTTGAGTTCTGGTGGAGCAAATAATTTTCTATAACCTTGTTACTTGAAGGACGGTATTATGGATGAAATATAATTGAGTGGCACTTTTTCCTTAAGTAAATAGAAAATGCTTCTCAACTGTTGTCTTTCTTTATATGGTGTTTCTCAGTAGTCTCATGTCTGTGCAGTTCCTTTGCCCTTATCGGAAGGACAGAAAAGTTCTGGGTCTTCTTAAACTATTATATTATTTCATTTTGTCCATAGCATCTAACATCTTATACTCTACAATCCCCTTGTAAATCTTGCTCTTTTATATTTATTTTCTGCTTTCTCCCTACTGGATTGCAAGCTCCATGCAGGCTAGTATTTTGTTTACTGATGAGTCCTACACACTTAGAAGGGTGACTGGCATAGAGTAGGTAGTAAAATAATTGTTGAACAATCAGTGGTCATATATACTGCTTTGATAGATTCAACCGCAATGATAGCATTCAATTTGGTATCATGAGAAGTTTATACCTCATAACTATAAATAGGTAGGAAGAAGGCCTCCTAGCTGGGAATAGATAGCATCTTAGAATTAATATTGCTAATGTTCTAGTTTATCTCATTTTGTCTGAACTGCTACCTAGAAAGCAAGAATGAACTTATTAATATTGGTTCAAAGTAGTAAAAAAAAATATGATTAGCATTGGCTCAAGATGGCTGTCTGGCTGTGGAAAGAGAAAATCCAGTAAATGAGCTGGATAGTAGAATCAACACAGCTGAAGGGCAATTTGGACAGCTACTAGATTGAATCAATGAACTCCCTGAAAATGATCAATCTTCTAGCTTACATAGTAACCCTCCATTACTTTCTGCTGATTTAGCAGCATGAAGATATTAAAATGGCCTGGGACAGTCTTGACATCCAATTTAATGGAAACATGACTCTGTTTCCTGGCAGAATCACTTCTCCCTTGAGAATAGAACTAACTCATTGAGCTCAATATCATGTAAATAAGGGGATAAATACTTCAGCAGCTGTCACTATAAAGTCAAATGAGATTTTCTCACTATAAAGTGAGACTCTTAATTGATGAACCCATGCACTCCATTTATGAGAGAAAGACCATCATATGAAGAGCACTAATGAAGGCATGTATAGCACCATAAGGACTGCATCATAACCCTAAAGAATTTTTATTCAAGATGTCTTCATAATTAAGAACGTATCACACTATTCCACAATTTTCTTACACTGAATTTGGTTGATTAAATATATGGTTGCATCAGTGAACTGTGTATGTGAGCCAATTGCTTCAATTCTGTCACCAAGAAAAGTGTCCTTTGATAGATAAGAGATGCTGTGTGAGATATTGTGGCCATGGATACAGTTTTCTTTAAGTTTATAAATTGTGATGCTGGCAGAAACACTGTGGGCAATAAGGAAATTCTGTACCTAGAATATATTTCCATCTCTGTGAGGACAAATCATTGCCCTCTTTATTATGTAAGCAATAAGCAATCAGCCTGTCAGCAGATGCCTGGCTGATGCTTTTACACACACACACACACACACACACACACACACACCACATATATATACATATATATGTATGCACTACTTACATATACTAGTGTATATACACTTGTCATTCACCTTTGTCATTGACAGATTAAGCACTCAGCAGTGACAGTAGCCATATATATGCAGACATACATATATGTGCACCACGTATATATACAAGTACATATATACACTTGCCATTGACATCTGCCATTTACAGGTTAGGCACTCTGCAGTGACATTAGCCCCATCAGTCTGGTGCAAGAATATCAAATATTTAAGCCTATGCACAGCTTTCCTCTCTGTCATTATGCCCATTGTGTATGTATCCAGTGAGCAAACACTGACATGACTGGGGAAAAGAGTGAGTTGTAACAGTTACCATCTGCTTATGGAAACCCTTACTAAACATTCATACTCACTCCATCTGCCATGAGTATTATCCACTTTATAACATATGATGTTCATTTAACTGGGACACTATATCATTGTGGATCCAATTTGAATAAAATGTAAAAGAATTGTAATAGATAAATCTCAAAAAAAAATCACAGGAAACCATCTGCATTTTTCAAGAGGCTTGTGAAATATCTACCAACTCTTTTGGAATGCAACGGAAAGTGACTGCTGAAAAGAAGTCCTTGAATCTTCAATGCAATTCAGGTTCTTGCTATATTAAGGTAATGGGATACACAGTAAAACCAGCAAATTTCATGGTCATGAGCCCACTGGTGCCACTAATTTCTACAAACTATGTTCATGGTCAGAATTACAGGACCCTGTATAAGTTCAAAGATATGATTTTAGCAGAAACATTATCAGCAAAAAGGCAAATCCATGTGTAGATTAGTTATCTATAACAGAAAGGAAAAATTCACAGCCCATTTCTTAATAGAATGAATCCAATGTAATCAATATGCCACAAAGTAGCTTGCTTTTTCCTTCAGTGAGTATTACCATATTGGGAGCTTAGGTTGGCAGGTTAGGCACTATGGTAAATTAAAATTTGAGAACTGTGATTAATTGGGGAAAAAATCAGGAGTTTTACTGAACTCTATATGAATGTTCCTTTGAAATGTAACTTTGAATTCTACCTTTCAAGCAAAGTCTACTTTTCTTTCTCTTCACTCTGGGCAGGTCTGTGATTTGCTTAGGAGAGTGGGATGTTAACAAATTCAGGATTGCTCACTTTCTATTTTTGGAACATGTCTGCCACCTTGTAAAGAAGCCCAGGATAGCCTGCAGGTGATGAGTGGCGTGTAGCCCATTTGCCCATGTTAATTCAACCAACAGCCTGGCAACTGGTAGAAATGTGAGTGAGGCCATCTTAGATCTTCTGACTCCAGCTGACCTGTCAGAGAAACAGGAGTTTATCAGACAGACAAGCAGAACCAGCCAAATCCTCTCAAATAAAAAGAAATGCCATCTAACCCATAGAATCATAAGTTAAGTAAATGGTGATTGTTATAAGCACCAAGTTTGGGGATGTTTACTTTTCCTAGTAATGGATAACTGATAAAGGCACTCAAGAGTGACTACAGCCAGATCATTGTTGTTGAATGGAAAACCATGCTGATGAATCCACAAAAAACTTCCATCACTATTGCCATGGCAGCTTTCCTCATGAGCTCATTGGAAAAAGAAACTGACCAACATTCCCAGTACAAGTAATCTAGTCCACCTGATTATTGAGAGCTTTCTCTGCTCTTCTTTGATGAGCATTTACATGAGACATGATTATTTTCATATTTTCTGATCAATCCTAAAGTTTCATCCACATGTATCTTTTCTAGGCTCTCTTGTTATCCATCTTGTAATTTGTTCCATTAGCCTTTGCCATCTAGCTATACTATTATTGTTCATGACAAATCCCTGCCCATTTAGAAAAACTTATTAACTGATGAATCAGCATAGATTTATGTACATCAAGCAATCTCCTCTTCCAGGCAAAGTAGAAAACCAGGTATACAGCACAAAAACATGCAAACTACAACTCCCTTTACACAGTTTTTCAGAGCCACCCTTGAATGGGTGAATACTGTTTCTTTCTATGGGCCAGTGGCCCAGTTAATTGCACAAAACACTGTAGAATAGTGTGTATTAACCATGGTTCTAGCTTCTGAAACTTGATGCTTTAATATCTGCCCTATATGTCTGACATGTCTTAATCTGGACAACCTAGTAATATGCTTGAGTCACGTTGCCTTGAACTCCTGACTCCTTGTCTCTCACTCCTGAGGAGCAATCTTCCTCCTATGGGCATTCCTTTCAACTAATATAGTCTACAACCCAAACCACCTTACTATTTTACCCTAGGCCTTGATACATTTGTCCTAATTACCCCAAGGCCGGGTAACAGAAAACTAGACACAGCCTCTATTCCATAGAGCCTGCTGAAATTATTCAAACTAGCCCATCCTAAACCGGCATCCCTGCCTCACCTGTTCCTTTCCATGGAAATCACAATAACAGCTCTTGCCCACAAAATTCTCTTCTCCTATATTACTAGAGTTATCAACGTTGGTGATTCCCTATGTGCCCCCATGGCATAGAGTCTTCCTTTCTTTTGGAGTCTGATTACAATAAAGTATATTTTAAGGGCTCCCATTTCCTGATATGTCGGCCTTAGTACACCCCAAATTGTCTAATAATTAACTTAATACACAAAATTTGGAAACACAGTCCCAAATTATTTTTCTTCCTCAATTAAGTAGTCATATATATTTCCCTATCTATATGACTATAATTTTGAGGAGAAAGAGGGAGTCATCCAGGTATGTGCCTTGGAAGTTTGAGCCACTTGCTGATGTGACATTTTTGTGCCTCCACTTGCTCAAGTTTGATCTCCTATATATGACTTTCACTTGATGCATGCTTGGTGAGTCAGATAACAGCCAGTTAATCATGTCAGTTCAGGTCACATTGGAGGTTAAAGGCTAAAATCAAGCAACCAATCTCTACCAGGGCTCAGCAGGATGAAAGTTGCTTGTGAAAGTAAAGATAATACTCTTCAGAAATCAGCATGCACTTTAAAATCTTGAAGTTCTGATATGTGATTAATCTGTATGGGACTGCCAAAGGTTGCATACAGCATCTGTATTGGTAACAGATATGCAAGTACCTTGAATCTACTGGATACATAAGAGTAAGTGTCACAGCTACTATGATATGGCCTGGATCTGCCACACAGCTTTCTCCTGTGATGTAATGTACCCTGCTTAAAAAACTGTTGGCTTCTGTATATATACACACATACACATATCCTGCCAGTTTACACATATATATGTATGTAATGGCAATTTATATAATATTTTAAAATATAAAGTTTACAATTATATATAACATGACTGTAAATTTTGTAGTTTATATAACATATATGTAATTATATATATATAGTGTGTGTGTGTACATGCATGTGTGGTTTTGTGTGTGTGTGTGTGTGTGTGTGTGTGTGAGTTTGTGTATGCAGAACATTTTTACCCCCAAAACCAAAAGATAACCCTGGTAAATAGCCACATACCCTTTGGAGGAAGCATATGAAATAAGATTTATACTTTAAATTTTTGGTAGCATAGAAGGATCTTACCTCAAGAGGACACAGTCTACCTTCCTTTCATTCAAGGGGTTCTTTTTCTGTGAACTAGATCTGATAATTTCACGAGCAGTCACAACTCTCTGGGAGCAATTAAAGCTTAGTCTGCATTTACCATTGCAAAAGAGTTTTAATTATACAGATCAGGTGAGCCTCAAGTAGGACACCCTCCTATCTCAGTCATAGGAACTTCCAAAGATCTATGTGGAGGAAAATAATTCTGATTATTGCCCCAGCTCTATTATCCTCATTACAGTAACTAGCTTTCCTTAATAACCACAGCTAATTGTGGCCTCCTGACCTCTGCTTGTCCAGCATCCCATTATTATCATTGAATGAAAGGAGCCCATCGTGATAGCATATTTGACTATGTCATTCTTGGCCTACAGAGAACTGAACACTACCAACCAATTATTTTCACATTTTCACCAAAATTTGGTATTAACAGTCTTCTTAATTTTATCCATTTGAGTGGAATCAAAGTGGTATTTCTCCGTGGTTGAACTTTGTATCTCCCATAAAACTAATGATATTGATCACCTTTTCGTGTTTGTCTTGAGCATTTGTATGTTTTCTTTGGAGAGTATCTTTTCAAATCTTATGTCAATGGGGTTGTTTTTTATTATATTGTTCAGTTATAAAAATTATTTATATATTTGGAACACTAGTAGTTTTCAGATAGATGTATTAAAACTATTTCCTGCCATCTGTGAACTATCTATTCATTAGAAGTTTAATTTTAATCAAATCCAATTCACATTGTCTTATTTTATAGTTACTGATTTATAGATATTGATAAAACTTTGTCTCTCCATAGCTGCATAGAGGCTTTAAGTTAACTTATGTCTAAACAACTCTTCAGTTTAATATGAGTTAGTGCCAAGGTTCATTTCTTTACATGTGTTTTATGTGTTTTTAAATTTTCTGCATTGCAATTTGATTCAAAATCATCCCTTTCTCCCTTGAATGGGTTTAGTGACTTTTTCAAAAATTAATTGACTATATAAATATACACCTATTTCTGAATATTCTCTTGTGTTTCATTAATCTATTTTTTCAGATTTTGTGTCAACACCATGTTGTCTTGATTACTGTTCATTGATAATGAATCTTGACATTAGGTAGTATAAGTCCTTTTTAAAAAAAACAAAATTGTTTTAGCTATTCTAAATGTTTTGTGGATCCCCTTGACCTTTCTCACTTTGCTTTTGTTTGTTGCTTTATTCTTTTCTGTTTTGCTAGAGAAGATCTAGAGTTAACTCTAAAAATAATTTGCCCCTACAGTGTCTCATTCCTTAAGAAAAGTGTCTTTACTGACTGTCATGGGTGTCCATGAGGACTGTACAATCTGGCTGACCAGAACTAAAATATTTTCAAGCCCTGTGTAAGCTGTGGGTGTTGCTTAGCTAATAGTTTTCAGAACATTGTTCTCTGCCTTATTTTGTAGAGTTTTAACCTTTGTACAAACAGATTAGTGTATTTACAAAAACAAAAAACAAACAAAAAAAACCCTGAAAGAAAGCTGTCGGTGAATTTCCCTTTAAAAAGCCTCCTTCTTACTGGTATGCCCAGCGAATTCCAGCTGTATTCGTCTCTATGAACTGCAATCACTTTCTCCTCAATTCTAAAAAAAACTAGTGTTGTATGATGGGATTCTGCCTACTGATACCAAAGTCTGGAATGTTAATCTAGACAAAAATATAAGAATTATAAATTATACCTAATTTATTTTCTGAGCTGCCTGTTCTATTTTTAGTTTATTGAGAACTGTTACCATGAACATATGGTACATTTTGTCAAATGTTTAATTGGCATCTATTGAGATTATCTGAACTACTAAGGGCTGAAATTAAAGAGTTGAGCTCCTGGTTAAAACCTGCATGTGATTTTACAGGCTTGCCTATAGGCATTAATTACAAAGGCTTTTCCTGGTAGACCCTTCAGAGGGAAGCTACCCTCCCACCCCAGGACTAGTGCACAACCAGTACACTGCAGTCTTGGAAGGAAGTTACATTCAATGTCTCAAGCAGATCATGCTCATCACATATTTGAATTCCTAGACAGGTACCCTCATTCTGAGGTCTCTATCTGAGGCCTTGAATAGAACTACTTTTAAGGAGCCTCTCTGCTCAGGCCTTCTTTCTAGAGTAGAAGGGTAAGTCTCGGAAACACTTTTCTGTACTCTAACTCAGCCAGTTCCAAGCTCTCTGCACCTCTACTTCCCCAATCCTTCCACTCCAGAATCCATAGAGACATTGAAGCCCTTCGTTTGGGGCTCCTTCCGCAGTGAGACAACCTCCACATGTGTTGATCCTCCTGATCCCTCTGGGCATGCCATTCTTTGGGGAGAAAAGGAATAGGGTAGTTCAGTGTTTCTCCTGATTTTAGACACTTGCTTACACCATCCCAATAATTGTCTAAGGGTTTAATTATTTCTTTTTGACTTGTTGCTTTAGTTGGCTACTCTAACACCTGGCAGCTCAACTCTCCTTTGACCAGCCTGGCTGAGCTACTGACAGTCTTTTGCGGCTCTTTCTCTCCCAGTCTTTTTTGGCTTGGGAAGTTTCATTTATAAATTCTATTGCTTTTTTTTTTTTTCCTAAGAGGGAAGTCTTTGTGCTTTTTGTTGTTGTTGTTGTTCACTATTTTTTTTAAAAAATATATCTTTTATTAATTGTATAGTATAATAATTATGGAAAATACAGGTCCTGTATAAAAGAAATAAATATTTAAAAATTTAAGGCAATCAGTATGGCCTTTCAACAAAGTCTGTACTAATTTACATTCTTATGATTTGTTATATGAGAATTCCCACTTCACTGAGCACCAAAAACTAGTGTTGTCATTTTTCTGCTCTACACCAATTTGATGGCTTGGAAATTGAATCTTATTTATTCATATGTGTATTTTCCAGTTACACTTATTTTTATAATGTATTCTTAGAAAATGTCAAGTTTCTTTAGGATGTTACTGTTCGGCTTTTAGTTTTTAAAAGCCATTCTTTGCGAAATATATTAACTTTTTTCCCTACTTTTTGCAAATACTTACTCCAAGGTCATCATGTATTATTTAATTTTTTGATTATAAAAGCTAATAAGTATTGTTTTAACTGATAATTTTGCTTAATGTTACATTACATGGAATATGTAAGTTTTTAAAAGTCTCTATCTTGAGCTAAGTTAAATAGCATTTATATGTACAAGTGGAAAATGTTTACATTTAATATCTTTAAGTTTTGTTTTATTTTTTAAACCAATTATTATAATATATATTAAGTTATTGAATGTGTAGAATACATTGCATTTCCTTAATTTATACAAATCAATTCACTGATTTCTTATATATATATACATAAACATGCACATATATATATAAATGTTTAACTTTTTCATTGCAAAATTTGAATTAATAAGGATAATTATAAGAATATACTGAGCACTTACTTGTAGTAACACAGGAAAGCACTTATATATATTTTCTGATTTTTTTTTCTTTTTTGGAGCCAGAGCCTCGCTCTGTCTCTCAGGCTGGAGTGCAGTTGCGCGATCTCGGCTCACTGCAATCTCCGTCTCCCAAGTTCACGCCATTCTCCTGCCTCAGCCTCCCGAGTAGCTGGGACTACAGAAGCCTGACACCACCCCTGGCTAATTTTTTGTAATTTTAGTAGAGACGGGGTTTCACCGTGTTAGCCAGGATGGTCTTGATCTCCTGACCTCGTGATCCCCCCGCCTCAGCCTCCCAAAGTGCTGGGATTACAGGCGTGAGCCACTGTGCCTGGCCATTTTCTGATGTTTTAATCAAAACACTTTAAAATGCTAAAAAAAAGAACAAACAAAAAACCTTATGCCAAAAATATTTTCCAAAGATATCTGTAGGCATCTACCAGCACTTTGAGAGATTACTGATCACTGGCTGTGAGCTGATGCTAACATTGGTGGGGGGTCCATGATTAATTTTTTAAAGTATTGTATAATTCCTTACTAAATAAATTTACCTGTTTAAAGTGTCATAATCTATTGTTGGTTCAAGTATGTCTCAAAGTGGGCCGACTGAGTCTATCCACCTGACCTGTGTTTTTTTCATCCTAGTTTTGAAGATGTAGTTGGAACAAGGATTGGCAGAACACTTAGGTTGGTCCCCTGACATATGGAGTGAGGAATATTATGGTAAAAATGGCCAAGTGAAACCCCTAGACTTGCTTCTTTCTTCAAAATATTAAACCAAAAGCAATACAATATATATCTAGAGAAATCAGCAAACTCAGTACCACCTTCAAATTTGTTAATGATGAGGGAATAAAGAGTCTTACCATGTCTCTGTTGAACTTAGCCTGTTTGGAGAGTAAAGAAGTGGAGAGATTTGAGAGAGCTTGGAGGATATTAGTGAGTTATCATGAACTATTCCACGTTGTTTCAAACTAGAGTCACTGTTACAAATCCGGCCTCTTTACTAGCATTAAGTCTGGATGGCCCCTTAACATCTGGTGGGTAGCTATGGACATACTTGTCTAAGGTTGCTGATTGACTTGTAAGCATAAAGTTTTAAATACCCCAGATGCTTTGATAGCACATGTGTGCCAGGAGTTGGCAAATCAACCTCACTCCTGTTACCAAAACTATAGTCAATCTAACATCCAACAGTAAATAAAAGCCACTTTAAGTTTTCCAGGTTTGGAAGTTAATATCGGAATTAAAGGCTTAGAGAAATATTAGAGGAACTATGAGAGGAAAGGTCAGGGAAGCTAACTCTAAACAGCAAGTAATTCAGCAAAAATTTCAGGAAAGCAACCAGAGATCTCAGCCAGAAGCTCCCAGTAACTGTCTTGGAAACTGCTGCTGTGCTAACGGTTCTATGTGAAACTCTCACTAATTGTCTTTGTGTGCAACAGCCAAGCAGGTAGTTCCCCTGTGCTCTTTGAAACAGTCCAGTGAAAACTCTCATCTGTTCATTTGTCTGGCTGTGATTGCCTTCAGAGAATAATGGCTTCTCCGGATTTTCTGTCTTCCAAAGCTCACACCAGTGTTTTTTGCTGGCAAAGCCTAACATAGAAACATACAGAGAGAAGGTTTTGGGAAATGCGGAGGAGACCTTGGAAAGCTGCGGTAATGATGTCAAGTTGACAATAGCCAAACATCACAAGAAGAAATCAAATTTTGTGAATGAAGCAATAATACAGTGAAGTTGTTCAACATTTCACAGCTATTAAACAGCACAGTAATTTTTTTCAGTATTGTAAGTTCCTTACTGTACCACCTAAAGCAAAGGACATGTCTTGTTTACTTCTATGATCTAAGAGACCAAAACATTATCAGTTGTGTGTAAGCATTAAATAGTGGTTAAAAATTAGTGATAACATAATATTTTATTTAAAAAGACAATGTTTTGTTTGCTTGGAAAATTTGCCTAGACATTTTAAAGACTGTTTTTTCTTTTTATTTCTCTATCTGCTCTCCCTACCTAAGCCTGAAGCTATTCCTAGCATACATTAAAACTTCCAGATCTATCCTTTGAGCATTTTGAAATTTTATGTCCTTGTGCTAATTATTTTCCTTTGTCCTTTCATCACTTTCAGCACACTTTACTGTAAAGCAGAAGTGCTAGTAAAGTTTTATTCTGGCCATCTTTTACACATTTTACTCTTGTGAACTTTTTCTCTTGTGAACCTTTTTATGCTTGTGAAATTGACAAATGGATGTTTCTTCCTTCACTCTGTTATTTCTTATCTTTTCTTGTGTAATATTTTATATAGAACTCTTCAAACATCTTGTCACAATGTCTGATTTTTTTCCTATATTATTCAATATTCCACTTACCTCTTACACATTTAACATTTGAAAATTAGGATCTCTTACACATTTAACATTTGAAAATTAGGAGTTTAATTTCAATCTAACCTACTGATCTCTGCTTAGTAGATTTAATATTCTTTCTCAACTTAATAGAAAAAGGAATTCTAGATACCAACTTTTCCTTTTCAGTAACTGTTTAACTAGAGGACCTTGGTTTGATTTTTGAAATTGGTTCTCTTTTAAACTACTTAATGACTTTATATTTCTGAGAATTTTCCGAAGAGCATGTTGGAGGGAGTTGAGAATTTGTTTTTGTCCAGTATTGACTCCGTAGGCTATGCTAGCAATTTTTGAATTCTTGTTTAAAATATTTTAGGGCAGATAAAGAATGTAAATAAAGTTATTGCAGTTTAATAATGTAAGATTAAAGACTCAATGCTGGTGTAAAGGAAGAATGAAAAAGAGGAGCAGCAACCTTTCCCCTCTGTTAACATTTAATTTCTGTATTTGTCATGAAGACCCAGTAATCTTGGTGATGTGCTACTCTTCACAGATGTGATTACCTTCTTATTAGTCAGCCAAAGCAAGTAATATTTGCCAATCGCATGAAATTTAAGGAGGGCTTAAAAACATGTACCTCAAGGGATAACAGCTGTGTTGACAATAGTGCAAGGCTCTCTTTATAAAACTGTCCATGGAATAAATTTTGCCTTCCCACCAACAAGTGTCTTAGGACTTTAAAACATTTTAATAACTTCATGTTAATAAGAGCTAAAGATTTTTTCTGGGTTTACTTTCAATTTATTAATCAATTTTTGTATTGTACTAGCCATTCTCAAAGTTGCCAGATCAGTGAAATAAATGAAAAGTGCAAAAATACAAAAATGAATAAAATAATATACTTCCAAATTCTAATATATTTTTATGAAACTCCCCAAAAAACTCTGCTTATCATTTTAATTTAGAACCACTGGTCTTTCTGTTTTTGATGCTGTTATTGAAATCACATCTTTTCTTCATTTGTTTGCAGTCCTCCTTTTTAACGCAGGTACAGATTCACTCTTACTTGTGTGTGTCTTTGGCTAATTCAATAACAACTGAAATATGAGAACAAGTAATTCCTTGAACTCAGATTGCTAATATTGAAAAAGAAACTCCCACTTTTAGTAGTTTATCAGTTGCTTTTCTTTCTTAATGAACATAAACAATCTAGCTCTGTTCTTTACAGAGTTATGATAATCTTTAGCTTCATTTACTAATTTACCAACAATCCATATCTTATACTATACCATTAAATAATAAAGATGATAATTTAGAATGTTAATTTTAATAAGTTGTTCTAAATATATTTTATTGTGATGGATAATTTTTTTCAGCATTGATAACAACTGTATGTTTAATAGAAAGCCCATTAAAAATTATCTCCGTATAGACATGTACTCTACTAAAAGATACCTTTAGAACCTGTAATCAGTCTTGACATTTTCTTCTGAAGTACTATAATTTAAAACATCATAAGCTGTATCTCAGTAATGCAGAGCTGGTTAAATTGAAATTCCTTTTGTATTGTCTAAGTTATAATGATTATATTGTTGTCAATCAGACCAAGGATCCAAGTGGTCTTGTAGCAATAAAATCACAGGAACTTCCTTATTAGCATGGGGAAATGAGATAGGCCATGTTTGTCATTCTAGCATTTCTTCATTCAAAAATTCTTCTTGATACATCTTTTGAAATACATACCAGTGTTTTACTCTGTTGGGATATTTTGAGCTCAGTGAGAGCAAAAGAAAATCACTCATCTAGAATCCACAAATGTAGAAAGTGTCAGTTGGCAAGTGGCGGTGTAAACAGTTCACTTTCATATATGGTAAAGCTACAGATGAACTCTGGCAACTTTAGAGAATAAACTGAGTCTTGGCTGTAATGATTCCTTGTCTTCCCAAACTATAAAAGTAGGACGGGGAAGTCCTGTTTTGGACTTGAACAAAGCGTCTCTGTTTTCCTCTCAGGAAATATAGAATAAAATAGCTCTTTTTGTAATACATCTGGTTAGAAGGGATGATTTCCTTACTTTTAAACCATAAAAATATATATAAATAATTAAAGAAATATTAACTTTTAATAATAGAGAAATAGAAGAGAATATTATACTTTGGGTTCTACCTATATTCCTAAGTACTATAATCAGTGCTATACAGAATTTATGTTAAATATCCTTTGCCATAACTCCTGGAGTAGGAATTATAACCTTTAATTTACAAACATCGATGCTTGAAACTTAACTAGTTTCCCCAAGTTTTCAGAGCCCCTCTGAAGTCTTTTCTAGGATGGAGAGTGTATTTCAATAAGCAAATCAGAGCCAAGATTTAGTTTCCCTATGTGACCCTTTCCAAGATTGAGGAAGGGGGAAGAGGCAGAAAATCATCCTTACTGTTCTATGTGGGATCAATTTAATACAGAATAATAGTACCTAGTGGCATAAATCATAAAAAGATATTAAAGAGTAAAAAATTTAAAACTGTTTGTACTAACTAAAGTAGAATATGATGAGGTATTTATCCAGGCTAACTTCCTATCTTTTCTGCATAATATGTACTTTATAGGTGGCTTTGCGTTATGATCTCAAATAAAAGTTTCTAATCATTAAAAGAAAGATAAGAAGTTTTTAGCACTCAATGGACAGCAAGCATATATAGAAGGACCAGTTTTCAAGATGGTTCACAGCGTGTGTTTTTAAGCCAGGAGTGAACAGTGGAAAAAAGCCCATGTTTTTCTTACTTTCTTAAGGACAGTGGATTTGTTTTGTGTGAATAGCAATGCACTTATGAATCAAACAGTGTATTTTTCATTCTGGTACACCACAGATATTTTCAATTAACCTAAGCAGGTACATTTTTATTCTGTTTTTAGAAGATGGTTATAATCAGAACTGAGAGCAAAAATATTTATTATAACTTCCAAACTTCTTTTTTTTTAAGACATAGTCTCGCGTGGTCACCCAGGCTGGAGTACAGTGGCCTGATCTCGGCTCACTGCAACCTCTGCCTCCTGGGCTCAAGTGATTTTCTTGCCTCAGCCTCCTAAGTAGCTGAGATCACAGGCACCGGACATCACGCCTGACTATTTTTATTATTATTATTATTTTTGTACTTTTAGTAGACACGGGATTTTACCATGTTGGCCAGGCTGGTCTTGAACTCCTGACCTCAGGTGATCTGCCTATCTTGGCCTCCCAAAGTGATGGGATTACAGGCGTGAGCCACTGGGCCCACCCTGTAACTTCTAAATTTCTATTAGAATTTTCATGTGACTTTTCTTACAGATTAGATGTGAGATTAATTGATTTTTATCAGGAAAATTTAATTATCATGAAATAAATATTAGTTGGAAAGACTGAATATATTAAATGTGTGTTTTTGCAACTTTTATAATTTTATCTAGTTATATTGTCTTAAGAACAAAGAATGACCTGAATCAGTTCTGTATTTAAAGTTAATTAATAAATTTGATGCAATAGATGATAAAATTTAATATAATTTTATAGAAGTTTCTGAGATGTAGTCTCTGTATAGTTTTAAAAAGTGTGTTCACTCTCTGTATTTCTATATCTTTTTAAAATTAGACCTCATTTTAAAAGTACCCTTTTCATTTATATTTTATCTTTTTTTTTTATTATTATACTTTAAGTTTTAGGGTACATGTGCACATTGTGCAGGTTAGTTACATATGTATACATGTGCCATGCTGGTGTGCTGCACCCACTAACTCGTCATCTAGCATTAGGTATATCTCCCAATGCTATCCCTCCCCCCTCCCCCCACCCCACCACAGTCCCCAGAGTGTGATATTCCCCTTCCTGTGTCCATGTGATCTCATTGTTCAATTCCCACCTATGAGTGAGAATATGCGGTGTTTGGTTTTTTGTTCTTGCGATAGTTTACTGAGAATGATGATTTCCAATTTCATCCATGTCCCTACAAAGGACATGAACTCATCATTTTTTATGGCTGCATAGTATTCCATGGTGTATATGTGCCACATTTTCTTAATCCAGTCTATCATTGTTGGACATTTGGGTTGGTTCCAATATTTTATCTTTGAAAGACCAGAAGTAGTAGGAAAATGTAAAAATCTACTATATCAATTTCATTTATGATTTTTTTAAAATTGTTTAAACTTTACATATGTTTTGGGGTTATTTGAACATGCTATTTTAGAGTGTTTATTTTTTTCTGGGTTGTAATTTTACTAATACAAAATTTAAGGCTTTAACTTCTATTATATTTTCAAAATAAACTTCTTACATGATTTTTCTTTGTTAAGCTATTAGTAAATAGTTATTGAATAAATATTAATTTAATAGTTCTATATTCCAGGTACACATATACATATGATGGAAGTATGAGGGAAGAACATTCTAGGCAGATAAAATAGCTTGCATAAGGGCTTGGTATGTTCATGATCTGGCACGTTAGCATAACTGGATCCTAATAAGTTAGAGAGAGGGAGAGTACAAGATATGCAATCAGCTAGTAGGCAGAAGCCCAACCTGAAAAGGGCTTGAAGACTTAATGATGTTTGGATTTTATCTTACTTATATATTTAAAAGTTTACTCTAATTGTTTAATAATTACTGGATAATTATAAGGCATTGAGAAATAAAAAGCCAGGAGAATAATAATGACCTAAATATGGTAGTCTAGATGAGAACAAAAGGGTGGCTTTTACCAGAAAGGTAACAATACAGATTATGGAGATAAATAAATGAATATGAGATATATTTTGAATAAGTTTATTAATGAATTGGATATATCAGATGAAGATATGATAAAGCTGAGTATTTATTTGAACTTATAGGTAGATGGTTGAGGTATTTCAGGTTGATGAAACTAAGATTAGAAATGGGTTTATTTTGGAGAGCAGAGAGAAATAATCAAGAAGCCTGAATAATTTCTATTAAATGAGAATGTCAAATGGGCATTTGGACATGTGATGTAGAGACAAAGTAAGGTCTTAATTTGTGAGTCATTGACATATAAATAAAGTGTGAAATTGCGAACTTGCACAGGCATAAGACTAGAATAGAAAGTTTAGAACAAAGACAAGGTTCATAAATAATGTTGATATGAATAACGGAATGTAGAAATGTTTACTGATTACTCATTATGTGTCAGGCAATACAAGCATTTACATATTTACTATCAGAATTAATCTTTGCAAAAACAATATGAGGCCAGTTATATCATTATGCATAATTTACAAATGAAAAACTTCAGACAGAAAGAAGTTCAGAAACTTGACAAGAATCAACTGAGCAATTGTAGGGCAGCCCGCATTTGAAAACTGCAGGTATGTTCCTCGGGCCTACACTCCTTCCCACAGCAATAAGCCATCTTCATACATATTCACGTATACACTACTCTGAGACAGAGAGAGAGAGAAAGAATGAAAGTGAGGCAGTAAGAGGGCAATAGACGGCTTTTTTGGGAGAGACAGTGAATCAAAATGCTAATGATGATCAGATACTATAGCCATTTGTTTAGCATCTGAAAACTGAGATTTAACAGAAAAAGGCAAATAAATGTATAATTGCAATAAAGTATAAGCACTGTAAGAGAGCTATGATAAGTACTATATTAATTTACAAGAAGAACTTCTCAGTCCTATGGGATGGTCGCTAGAGAACTTGATATTTGAACTAAATATTGCTGGATGGGATGAATAATAAATTATTACATAAAAGGTAGCAGATGATGTCACTATCCTAGGCCAATGATTATTTTTCTGGTATCAGTGATATTTGCAAACATACTCTACTCATTACTTCACATACATTCACCTCCCCAAAAAGTATCTAGGAAGTACTTAATAACAACATTTTGTAAAACTACAGTCAGAATTGGGGGAAGATTCCTTTTAAGATGTAAAAAGCCATAGTCTTAATGGATTATTAACATTAGATTTAATTAATATATGTAACCACAGTCATAATATTGTAGTGTTATGTTATATACTATGTTATTAATATATAAAACAAAGTATCACACTATGACAATTTTTATTTTGTCATGTTATTAGAAATTATACATTATTATATACACTCAGTTTTTAGTTAAATCAAAGTATTTAAATGTTTATCATTTTTAAATATATATATAATGGCATATTGACAATGAATAATTCTTTGCTTTCCATTATTTATAATTGGATGGTATTTAGTGAATATGTTAAATGATGCTCAGTGCAATTAAAAAGGACTTTACAAGTCAGCATGCATTGTCAGGGCATGTCTTTTGCCTCATCTACTAGGATAGATACTTCCAGCACAATTTCATTTTTTATAACTTGGGATTTACAGTTCATTACTGTGGCCCAGCATAGTGAGAAGGGCTCCACATTAAGGAATGTGTCAGCATTTTAACCAAAACAAGTTCAGAATATTTCAAAATATTTTATATTTTAACTTTGGAGGAAATATACACTTGATCTTTGAGATATCTTTTAAATTAAAAACAAATTATCTGTGAACGGGCCGCATGCTCCACAGTTGTCAGCTTCCATTGCTAGTGCTGTGGGGGCCTGCCCTCCCCATTGACACACAACCATCTTGCCCCTGCCTAAGCATTTTAGCTGTGGCTGGGTGCCCTTCAGAGGGCCCAGCCCACAGAGACCTGAACTCTGCCAAGGGTCTCCCACCACTGTGGTAGAGAGGGAGAGGGGAGACCAGACACCTTCTCATACCCCCATGACATGTACCACCACTGATCCTGCAAGAGGGAGGTGTGAGTGGGCCATGCATCTCACAGCTGCTGCTCCCACTACTCCCAGTGACTGGGGAGTTGGTAGATGGGGTGTCTGTATTCCCTCTGGACAGATCCTAGTGCAGCTGCCCTGCCCCTATTTAATCATTTAAGCTGCAGCCCAGCACCCTCCTGGGATCTCAGGCCCCAGAAGCCTTCAATCTGTCCTGGCTGTTACCACCTTCAGGCTTTAGCTGCCTCAGCATTCGGCCAGCACTCTTGGAGCCAACCTGCCCATCTTTATCACAGTCAGCACCGGGATCATGAGGACCTGAGGACCTGAGGACAAGTCCAGTCCAGTCCAGACACTCTAGGACTCAAGCACAAGGTCTGGGGGACCATCTAGGAATCTAAAGATTGAGGGATTGCCTAGTCCAGTCCACCACTGTTGGAACCTGATCACTGCTCCTGGGGTCTGAGATTGGGCCAGTCCAGCCATCTGACACCACCATAGCTGACTACCACTCATATGTGCCACAAGGTAGAACACTTACCTTGATCTACATATGTGCCACAAGGTAGAACGCTTACCTTTATCTACATGAAGTAGCAGCATATCTGCACTGGAGAACAGGCAAGCCACAATGCTGTCTGTATCGGGCTGAGGGAAGAAGTCTCACCCTGTCCCACTACCACAGAGTACTTTGAGACAGGCATTTTCCATGGCTATTAGCTACATTCTGGACTGGAGGTATAGGAAACTGTCTGTCTGATCTGAGAGTCATGAGCCCTGGGACAGAGGTGTGATAGGAAAACACATTAGATTCTTACCTGCCCAGGATATGGATCTGGTGCAGCTCCCTCCCCAACCTATGGTAACCTCAACACATTTCACCAAGGGCTCCCTCAAACACTTGCATCAGGGCTGGTGTGTGAGCTGGTCATTGGGACATTCATAGGTGATCTTGGTAGTCCAGTTCCACCTAGTTTTGACCTCCCCACCAGGATGAACACAGAGACTAGCCCATCACCAGAACAATACAGAGTACATCCTAGTAAACAAAGGTCCAGCATACATCCAAGTGTTCCTGCGGCACCTTGTTGTTGCTCACAGGTGCCACCTGCTGGCCTGGAGGCTGAACTGCCTGACACACTAAAAAAAACCTACTGACAGAAGTGCACAGGCTAAATAAGCAAAGCCAAAGAATCTTCCCACATATGCTACATTTGCAACCTCAGGTGAAAAAAAAAAAAATTCAAATGAGAGTAAATGTAAAAGTCAGAAGTGACAGCTTCCCCAGATGAGAAGAAATCAGTGTAAGAACTCTGGTACCAGTAAACAACAGAGAGTTGCAATATCTTCAAAGAACTACACTAATCCCCAAGCACTGGATTATAACTAAAATAAAAATTCTGAAATGATAGGTAAAAACATCTTAAAATAAAGATAATAAGGAAGCTCAATGATATCCAAGAGAAAGTTAAAAACCACACACAAAAAAATCAGAGAGATAGTACAAGATGTGAAAGAAAACATAGATATCTTTTTTTAAAGTACAACATAACTTCTGAAAATGAAAAATTGAGTTACAAATTACCATTTAAAGTTTTAACAACAGGCTACACCAAAGAGAAGAAATAATCTCAGAGTGCAAATTTAGGCTTTTTTCAACAAACCCAGTCAGACAATTTTTTTTTTAAATTTTAAAGATAAACAAAGCATTCTAGAAATATGAGATTATGGAAAGTGACCTAACCTATGAGTTATATATATTTCTGAGGTATAAGAAGAAAAATTAAAATGATTAGTAAACCAATGTGAGGGAATAACTCAGGAAAATTTCCCTGGTTTTGATAGAGATGCAGAAATCCAGGTTCAAGAACCTCAGAGTACAACTTTGATATAATCTGGATATTTATCCCCACTCAAATGTTATGTTAAATTGTAATCCCCCATGCTGGAGATGGGGTTTGATGACAGGTGTTTGGTTTATGCAGGTGATTCACTCATGAATGGCTTGGGTTATCCCCTTGGTGATAAATGAGCTCTCACTCTGAGTTCACACAAGATTTTGTTATTTAAAAGTGTGCAGCACCCTCCAATTCTTTCTGACTTACCCCTGCTTTTGACATGTGACACGCTAATTCTTGCTTCACCTTCTACCATGATTGAAAGCTTCCTGAGGCTTCATCAGAAGCTGAGCAGATGCCAGCACCATGCTTCCTGTAAAGCCTGCAGAATTATAAGCCAATTAAACCTCTTTCCTTTACAGATTACCCAATCTCAGGTATTTCTTTGTAGCAATACAAGCCTAATATAAACTGGAAGATATTTTGCATGATGAACATCATCAAGAGATTATCATCAGACCATTTAAATTCAACAGACAGAAAAAAAGTTGAAAGTATCAAGAGAGAAGTGTCAAATCACCCATGAAGGAGTTCCATCAGACTGACAGTAGACCTCTCAGAAGAAACCTTACAAGCCAGAAGGAACTGTAGTCCTATTTTCAGTCCTCTTAAAGAAAAAATTTCCCAGACAAGAACTTTGTAAGCTTATAAATTAAGTCTCATAAATGAAGGAGAAAGAAAGCCTTTCCCAGATAAGCAAATGCTAAGGGAATGTGTTATCACTAGGGTGGCCTTACAAGAAATGTGTGAAGGAAATCTAAAAATGGAAATGAAAGACAATACTGATTTTCATAAAAGCACATGTAAGTACAAAGCTCACAAATCCTATAAGGCAATCACAAAATTAAAATTACAAATCAACCATGTAAGAACACTGTGACAGGAACAGAGACTCACATAGCAATGTTATCCTTAAACATAACTGACATAAATGTCCCCACTTAAAGATATAGACTGGCAAATTGGATGAAAAAAAAAAAACAAGATTCAAACATTTGCTGCCTACTGGAGACAAAGGCAATGGGTAAAAACACCCACAGAGTCAAAGAAGTGTGGTGGAAAAAATATACCACACAATGGAAACCAAAGACAAGCAGGAGTTGCTATATTTATATGAGATCAAACAGGTTTTAAATCAAAAAAAGTAAAAAAAATACAAACAAGGTCATCATAATGATTTCAATCCAATAAGAAGTTATAACTATCCTTTATATACATACATCCAACACCAGGGCACCTAAATTCGTAAAGCAAATACTACTGGACCTAAAAAAAAGAGATAGATAGCCATGCACTGGTAGTGTGGAACTTCAATACCTCTTTGACAGCATTAGATAGATCACTGAAGCAGAAAACCAACGAAGAAATTTTAGACAAAACTAGAATTGTAGCCAGGTGTGGTGGCACACGCCTGTAATCCCAGCTGCTTGGGAGGTTGAGGCAGGAGAATTGCCTGAACCTGAACCTGGGAGATGGAGATTGCGGTGAGCCAAGATCCCACCACTGCACTCCAGCCTGTCCAACAGAGAGAGACTCTGTATCAAAATGAAATGAAACAAAAAACTAGAATTGTTTCGTCATTCTTTAATCATTCTTCAAAATAATACATATATATTCTTCAAAGTAGTCCATATACTTGACCATAAATTGAGTCTCAATAAATTCAAGAAAATCAAATAATTGTAAATGAACACCAAAATAAACTCAAAACCACAGAAATATATTAAAATTACACAATTGGTTTCTGAATGACAGGGGTAAACAAAGAAATTAAGGCTGAAATAAAAAAATATTTGAAATAAATAGAAACAGAGACCCAACATACCTAAACCTTTGGGACACAGCAAAAGCAGTCTTAAAATGAAATTTTATATGGTTAAATACCTATATTGAAAAGATATAAATATCTCAAATTAAGAACTCAACAACACACCAAAAGAACTAAAAAAGCAAGGATAAACCAAAACCAAAGCTAGCAGAGAAAAAGAAATAACAAAGTTCAGAAAAGAGCTAAATAAAATTGAAATAAAATATCGTACAAAATCTCAATGGAATGAAAAGTTCATTCTTTGAAAGGATAGACAAAATTGTTAGACTGCTAGCTAGATTAACCAAGAAAAAAGACAGAAGTTTCAAATAAGCACAATTAGAAATGATAAAGATGATATCACAACTGATACTATAGAAATACAAAAGATTATGAGAGATTATGAATATATCCATATGCACAGACTAGAAAACTTTGGAGGAAATAGATTTCTGGAAACACACAACTTCCCAAGTTTGATTCAGTAAGAAGCAAAACTTCTGAACAGACCAATGAAGAATAATAAAATTGAATCGATAATTAAAAAAAAAATCTCCCAACAAAAAGCCCAGGACCAGATGGATTCATAGCCAAATTTTATCAGACATACAACGAAGAGTTGGTGGCTATCTTCATGAAACTATTTCAAAATATCTAGGAAGAGGGATTCTACTCTAATTCACTCCGTGAAGCCAGTGTGACCCTGATACAAAAAGTATGCAAGGACATACCAAAAAACAATACAAAGAAGAAAAAAAAAAGAGAGAAATCTACAGACCAATATACCTGTTGAAAATTGATACAAATATCCTCAGCACAATACTAGCAAACCAAATCTGGCAGCATTTCAAAAAGATAATACATCATGATGAAGTGGATTTTATCCCACGGATGCAAGGAAGGTTCAAAATACACAAGTCAATAAATGTAACTCACCACATAAACACAATTAAAAGCAAAAACCATATGAAAATTTCAATCAATGCGCAAAAAGCATTTGATAAGATCCAACATCTCTTTATGATAAAACCCTCTACTATTTAGGAATAAATGAACTATACCTCAAAATAATAAAAGCTATGCATGATAAACCCAGAGTCAACATCATACTGAATGAGCACAAGTTGAAAACAGTCTCCCTAAGAACTGGAACAAGACAAGGATACTCACTCTCACCACTCTTATTCAACTCAGTACTGGAAGTCCTAGATAGAGCAATCAGTCAAGAGAAAGAAATTAAAGTTATTTAATAAATTAAATTATGAAAGACTAAGGCAAATTATCTCGATTGACTGATGATGTAATCTTATACATAGAAAACCCTAAAGACTTCTCTTAAAGACTCCAAGACATGATAAATTATTCAGTAAAGTGTCAGGATACAAACTCAACATATAAAATCAGTATTATTTCTAGAAAACAATAACATTAAAAGTTAGAATCAAATCAAAACTCAATCGTATTTGCAATAGAAAAAAACAATGCCTAGGAGGTTAAAGAACTATACAAAGAGATCTGAAAATACTGATGAAAGAAACAGATGACACAAACAAATAGACAAGTATCCCATCCTCATGGGTTGGAAGACTCAATATTGTTAAAATGATCATACTGCCCAAAGTAATCTACAGATTCAAAGCAATTCCAATCAAATTACCAGTCATTTTTTACAGAGTTGGAAGAAAATCCTAAAATTCATATACAACCACAAAGAGCCCAAGTAGTCAAAGCAATTGTAAGTAAAAGAATAAAGCTGGAGGCATCGTGTTATCTCACTTCAAACTATACCATAAGGCTATAGTAATGAACATAACAAGATTCTACTGCAAAAAAAGAAAACGGGTCATTGGAACAGAATAAATATCTCAGAAATAAAGCCACGTATGTACAACAAACTTTTTTTCGACAAAGTTGACAAAAATAAACAATGGTAAAAGGGCATCCTATTTAATAAATGGTGACAGAAAAATTATACAGCCATATGCAGAAGAATGAAACTGGACCCCTATCTCTCAGCATATACAAAAATTAACTTAAGGTAGATTAAAAATTTAAATGTATCCAGTCTATCATTGATGGGCATTTGTGTTGATTACATCATGGAATACTATGCAGCCATAAAAAAGAATGAGATCATGTCTTTTGCAGGGACATGGATGGAGCTGGAAGCCATTATCCTCAGCAAACTAATGCAGGAACAGAAAACCAAACACTACATGTTCTCACTTATAAGTGGGAGCTGATCAATGAGAACACATAGACACAGGGAGGAGAACAACACACTCTGGAGCTTGTTGGGCAGGTGAGGGAGGAGGGAGAACATCAAGAAAAATGCTAATGCATGCTGGGCTTATTACTTAGGTGATGCGTTGATAGGTGCAGCAAACCATCATAGCACACATTTTCCAATGAAACAAATGTGCACATCCTGCACATGTACCCTGGAACAAAAAGAAAGAAAGGAAGAGAGAAAGAGAGAGAGAGAGAGAGAGAAAGAAGAAAGAAAGAGAGCGAGAGGGAGAGAGAGAGAAAGAAAGAAAGAAAGAAAGAAAGAAAGAAAGAAAGAAAGAAAGAAAGAAAGAAAGAGAAAGAAAGAAGAAAGAGAAAGAGAAAGAAAGAAAAAGAAAGAAAGGAAAGAAAGAAAGAAAGAGAGGGAAAGAAAGAATTGAATGTAACAGACAACATAAAAATGGGAGAAAATATGCACCAATTATGCATCTGAAAAGCAGTAATATCCAGAATTTACAAGGAACTCAAACCACTCAAAAGATAAAAAGAAAATCTCAATTAAAAAATCTGCCAAAGACATGAACAGACACTTCTAAAAGGAAGACATAAAAGTGTAAAGCAAACATATGAAAAAATTTTCTACATTGCTAATCATCAGAGAAATACAAATTAAAATCACAATGAGATACCTACTCACAGCCATCAGAATTGCTCTGATTAACAAGTCAAAAAATGACAGATGTCAGTGAGGATGAAGAAAAAAAGGGAGCACTTATATACTGTGCATGGGAATGTAAATTAGCACAACCACGGTGAAAAACAATATGGAGATTTCTCAAATCACTGAAAATATAGCTACCATTCGACCCAGCAATCCCACTACTGATATCTACTCAAAGAAAAAGAAATTGTTATATCAAAAAGACACCTACACTCATATGTTTATCACAAAACAGTTCACTACTCACAATTGCAAAGTCATGGAATCTAAGTATATATCAGTAGACGATTGAATAAACAAAGTGTGATACATGTACACAATGGAACACTAAGTAACCATAAAAATAATGAAGTCATGTCCTGAGAGACAACATAAATGGAGCTGGAGGCCATTATCCTAAGTGAAATAATTCAGATTCGGAAAATCAAATATTTCATGTTCTCACATATAAGTAAGAGCTAAACAATGGTACACACTGTGATGGATAAAAGCAGTAGACAATGGGGACACCAAAATAGGGGAGAATGGGATGAGAATGAGCGTTGAAAATTATCTGTTGGGTACAATATTCACTATTTGGGTGAGAAGTACACTAGAATTCCAAATCTCATCACTACAAAATATATTCATGTAACAAACCTGCACATATACCCAGTGAGTCTATAAAATTATTTTTAAAATAAAATATACCACATATTTTATGATTTTTTATGCTTTTTGGGTTCCTTGTGGTTCATCCAATAAGTCAAAATTTCTTAATATAAAACTGCCCACATAGTTATAACAAGGGTATGGTAAAGAGTGTGGACTACAAGGTAACTGAAATCGGAGACCATTAAAAGACTTTAAGGATATTTCTCAGAAGGGGCATCTACCACTTTGTTTTTCTAATAAAACATATAAACAAATATATATGCATATGTATACACACACTCATGCACATACACACACGTTCTTCATAAAAATTAAAATTGTCTAAACATATATATGTGTGTATGCATGTACATGTCTCTCTGTGTATGTTTATCTGTATCTACATAGATATGTGTGTACATATGCATCTATAATTTCTCTATATATCTATATCTCTACATAAAGAAACTATAGATATATAAAATGATATGTAGAGATATATTGTGAGAAACTCTTAGAAATTTTCTCCTAAAGAATATGAACTCAAATAATTAAAGCTACATTTTGTTTTCTCTAAAACTTGCTGCAGAGCTGGTCAAGTTTGCAAGATACCTAGTAATTCTAACCTTTTCAACTTACAAATGAACTAAGAGATGATCTGAGATGTTAATTTAATTTACTCCCATGCATATTGAAAAGTAGTAAATAAGGACAAAAACTTGAAGTTGTAACAGTTTCCATATGACTGAGGAAAGATCTATGTCAAAGTAATGACACAAATTTCAACTGCAAAGTAAACTCTCAGCTACAAAATATTAAAATGGTGATATTTCTTAATACATAAATTATTTCATAAAGGACTAATAAGTATCACATTTAATATTTATTATGAGTCAAGTCTGTTTTTTCTCAAATGTTTTACTTTAATGAGTGTTAGCTCCCATATCAGTAAATAGGAAACAATATTAATATAACTTAGAAGCTGATTTGTTTTATATGTAATTTTGTTCAGGTACATTAATATTTTAAAGCTTCAGTTGACAAGTTTTCCCACAGGACAGTGTAACCACAGAACCACAATCTGGTTTAACTTTGTATCATAAAATAGTGAGTTGTTTTTCAGTCGCCATGGACCCCAGGTTTCAAGTTATGTAACCCAGGCGTGCCCAGATTAACCAGGCATGCAACCACAGGCAGAACCTAAGTGCTCAATCCAAGGAAAGGGGACTGAATGAAGAAGCACACACTTCATAATCCATCATCCAATTAGACTGAGCCCTGGCATCACACCGTGGCAGAGTCCAGTCAGATCATGATTCCAGACATCACTTCATTCCAATATCTAATTACATCATGCCTCATTACCCTCTGTCTATAAAACCTACCCCAGTCTCTAGCTGAAGAAGACAAGTTTGAGTGCTGTCTTCTGTCTCCTTTCCAGTTGATTGACAGTAAACCTTTCTTTTCTCAAAAGCCTGTGCCATAGTATTGGCTTCTAAGCATGTTTGGAAGTAAGGGCATTGCTAGCTTAGTAACAAAAGGACAAACCTAGGCAACATAAAAACCTTAAGAATAACTAAAGCCTCTACGAAAATGCCTTTGTTTAATGAAAGTAGTAGTTGATTTATTGCTTCAAGAACTTCTTTGATTCTACTCTGTTAAATTATTTCAGAAAGCAGAGAGTATAAATGAGGAAAAGGTGAAAACATTTTCTCCAAATTAAAAAAAAAACACCAAAGATAAAGAGTACTACACAATCTCTTTATCTCTTTAGGCATTTGCATATCAATGTTTATTGATTTCAAGTTTAGAATTTTGATAACACTGGTCTTTTTTGAAAGTGAATCCCTGTAAGGATCCACAGGAATGAAGAAAGCAGAGTTTACATTTTAGGGCTACTAAGGATATGATTCTGTGTGTGAAAGTCAGGGGAGAGCTAGCTGTGCTACTGGTTTTCTTTGGATGGTTATCTTTTTTAGGAATCTATATTTGAAGTAATCTGCTTCTGGCTTTATCTTTATTTGTAAGCCTTGATATTTTGGCTTGCAATTTAGTGAAGTATGAGATTATTCAGGAATATCTATACAATGTTGAAGCAATAATGTGTGTACGTTACCCTTAGTAGGAGTCTACAAAATAAAAACTGTAATGCTGTCTTGTCAGTAGATCTATACTAATTATGAGTTTTCTTCTTTGGTTCGGCATTTTCTCTCTCCTTTTAATATGCCAAATCTTTTTTTTTAAGTTATTTTCTCTCTGTTTGGACAATCATCACCCCACCTACACCTGCCTAAAGCTTTCAAGTAGCATCTTAACTGAAAGCTCCTTAAGAAGGTCTCCTCATTTTATATCACAGATTTTAATCACATGGACTTTGGAATCAAATTCTTTTATTAAAGCATAGCTCTACCACTTATGAGATAGGTCATTGTAGTTAGACAGGATATTTAACTTCTCTCTGTCTTTATTTTCTCATTTGTAAATTGGAGGATAAGCACTTACTGTCATGTAAAAGATATAAAAGCATTCAAAAATTTTAGATATAGTACATGTGTTAGTGCTGGGTTTTGAATATGCATCTCTACTTATTTTATCAGGAGTGCAAATAAAATCTCTGTGGAATTAGAAAGATTTTTTTAAACTTTACAATAAATAACATGTGTATCTATCTCCATGCCCTCATTGCTCTAGTCATTACACTTAGCGTGACACCATGAGAGCCAGTGGTGGGAATTTTCCTGCCTGAGTGGTTGTAAGTCCAAAAATAAGAGGTTTAGAGGATGATTTTCCTGTACTTATAGAGTAGAAGGAGGTAGCTATTTCTCTCACTACCTCAAAGTGTCTCCTCCATGCAATAGTCCCACTTTTATTTTCTAGCTCTTTAAGATGTGAAAATATCTTTGCAGGAGTCTGATAGCTCTGCATGTCTCAGCTTTTAAGACCTAAATTTATCTCCAAGTGGTTGGGTCTTATTCCTCATTGATATGCTAATACCTAGAAAGATAAAGCTTCAATCTTTCCAGGAGCCTTTGATACTTTACTAGGGACCTAGTCCAGTGCTGTAACTGTTTGGGCACCTCCAAGTAATAAGAGACATTTTACTGGCCTTCGAGGTCACAGCAGTGAACTAGACAAATGTCTACATATTTCCTGGTATACGAAGATGGTTCTAGGAAGCTGGGGTTTTTACAAGAACACGGGGAAATTCAGGGAAGTTTTTCTTTTTTTCACAATTAGCATTAACCTGAGCATCACTAGGCATTTTTATTATATACTTTCAGAGCAAACTTCTGTTTCACAACATATACCACTATTGTAGTTATATTTATGTGTATTTTTTTTGCCAAATGTGTGTGTAAACCTTTAATTTGTTTCACATATGCTTTTCTAGATGTGTTGTACTTTTACCTCTCAAATGTTAATGCACAATTCATCTGAAACATTTATCTTTCACAACATTTATCAACCTGTCCTTTCTTTTGTTGGACTTTCACTGAAGTGCTGTTCAATATGTTTCTTTCATGATGGGTATGTTTTATATCTGTGCAATTCTATATAATAGCCAAAAGCCTTATAGCTGTTGAGCACTGGATATTTATATAATGCATGTGAGGAACTGAAGAGTTAATTTTATTTCATTTTAATTTATTTATATGTAATTTAAATAGCAACATATGGCTGTGTGGCTGTTGGCAACAACATTGCATCACATAGTGCATTCTCTTCCTTTGGTTTTTTTCTGTGTGTTCAAAATAAATTTAAAATCATAGTTGTATAAATACAGTCAGGAAGGTCTCTAAAACCTCTCCTCTAGGTTAAATAAATCTGTAGAAAGGCTCACAGATCTTAACAAAGTTGTTATACTCATGGTTTCATTTCATGTTAATGAAAGGATACAGATTAAAAGAAGCAATAGAAAAAGGCTTATTGAGCATGGTGCAGGAAAGAACAAGCATGAAGCTTCCTGTTGTCATCTCTTAAAGGAGTTGTGTGAACATATTCCTCCTAGCAACAATGTGTGGCAATACACATGGAGCATTGCTAACCAGGAAAATTCATACAAGGACTGGTATCCAGACTTTTTATCATGTAGACACTGCTGACCACCCATATGGCTGAATTTCGTCTCCAGACCATCCAGAGATTGAGATGACACCATACGGTCCGAAGTCCCCAACATAAACTACATTGTTAGCATAGGTACAGTGGCATAGCACAGGGTCCTACAGCAAATGAAGACACTCTTATCAGGCAGTACATTCCAATAAGTTCAAATTACCCCTCAGAACATCAGTGCAAAACAACAAACCTTTCTTTGGGCAAGGTTAATCTTTTACTGAATATATGTAATACATCTCAAGATAGTAATTTAAGTCCAAAATTATTCTTTCATCAAGATTTTTTGACATTATTGGAACTTTAAATTTTTATATAAATTTGGAATCTATTTTCTCAATTTCTTTATAATTGTTCTTGAATTTCTTGAGCAATGGTACCTAGGAAATTGATAGAAATAATTGAAGAGACAGTTGATGAGAAAAAGTAAAAGTTTTTTAAAATGTCTCTTCTGCCTTTACATTTGGCACTGGGTTAAGAAATTTAGCACAGAGTTTGGGAACACTTTATCAAGAGTTTATATTTTAATCAGGCTTTAAATAATAGCAAGTTAAATTGTTTAGAAATACAGCAAGCATAGTGGTCAAGGATGTGACATAAAGTTACATAAAGTTGCATTGAAATCTTGTTGGATATACAATTCATCACTACTGCTACAACTTGTTTTTATGTTACTAAAATATTTAAGCAATTAGAGTAATCATACAACATGGCAAAGTCTTCAAAATATCATCTGACTATTTAAAAAAGCTGGATAATTTGCTTAGTGAATTCAATCAATAATAGAGTTCAATCATATCTAACACCACCAATGTTATTTAGACTCATTGAAGAAAAAAAGGAAAGTCATAATTTAAAATATGAGACAAATTTATGCAGTGTTTTATGAAGAAAATGCAATTTACAAAATTCAAACAGTGAATATTTAATTGTCAACAAATTGTTTAGCACTTAATAAGTGCTATGCATTGTTCAAGCACTTGATAAATTTTAACTCCTTTAGGGTTGTTAACCTTGTTGGAATGAGTATTTTCTCAATTAACAACACAGTGTTATGTACTTCCTTAGTGTACAAATTTAGAATATTGTGAGCCTGTTTCTCTAGTTAATTGGAGATACATAATACAGTGATTACTGATGCATTCAAAATTCATTAGAAGGGCAAGAGCACTTGGTTTCCTTCCTCGAGTGATTACATAGGCAATATGTAGATCTATAAGCCTCCAGAAAGCGCAGCTATCTTACATACTATCTGAATACACATTTTCCGCTTTCCTCAAAGTATACATAATTCACTAACTCAATAGTCAGGATTGTAATTTTACATGGTTTAGTATGTACTTTGCAGGAATTACTGTTACAACAGCAAAAAGCACTTGGAAAGTATCTAAAATTATTTTTCACTCAACGCTATATATTTCTCTGTCTAACTATGACAGTGCTGCCATTCAGATAAAAGTATTTATGGTGGTGTCAGTTCATATCAAGCACATTGGGACAGTGAGAAAATGTAATCTAGATGGAAGAAAATTTCATCTGATTCTCAAGAGTCCATGCTCTACTGTAATGCATTAGAAATTACTATCAGAATGTTGTAACCTGCACATCATCCCATCTCATGAGACATTCATTATTATAATAGAAGTGCCTGAGGCTTTTTTTATTCTAATACTGTCTTTGTAAGGCAACTGTATAAACAGATGGTTAGTGTAAATACAGTTTAGTGCTTCCTAATAATTATTTCCAGAAAAATAATGTTGGCAGAACAGAAATAATTTTGACACCTGTTTATGTCTACATAAAATGAATGTTGACATAGATATTCGAAAGGGACTTCAACCATTTTTCAAACATAGTATATCTTTGTTCTTATTGCCAATGTTTACATTTTTCATGTTAGCTCTCTGCACTACCTTAAATTTTTATGATAAAACAATTTTTTGTTTTATAAGGCACCTTTCAAAGAATGTTTGTATATATTACCTCTTTTGATCTTCAATCCTGAGGATACATTATCACTCTACATAGGTAGAGTAGCTTGTTCTTCTGAAGAAAATGGCTCAATAACATTATATTTTTCTTTACATAGAGGATACCCTATTTTTTAATTAAACAGAATATAGCTAAGAAATGAGTAATTTGTTGCTTTAAATGGTTTTTTGTTTCTTTGTGTTTTTTTTTGTTTTTGTTTTGTTTTGTTTTGTTTTTGAGACGAAGTCTCGCTCTTGTCCCCCAGGCAGGAGTGCAATGGCATGATCTCGGCTCACTGCAACCTCTGCCTCCTGGGTTCAAGAGATTCTCCTGCCTCAGCCTCCCAAGTACCTGGGATTACAGGCATCTGACACCATGCCCAGCTGATTTTTGTATTTTTTGTAGAGACGAGGTTTCACCATGTTGGCCAGGCTGGTCTTGAACGCCTGACCTCAGGCGTTCACCCACCTCTGCCTCCCAAAGTGCTGGGATTACAGGCATGAGCCACCGTGCCTGGCCTATATGCCTTATTTATTATAAATTATATGGAAACAATATACTTATAATTTAATTAATTTAATTTTTAAATAAAACCAAGGAAAAGCAAATTATAAATTATTTCTTCTGCAATTATTCTTTTTTCCTTTATACAGTTAGCATAAAGTTCGTTTTCTAATAAAATAGCCTCAATATATTATAACATAACTTCAAAAATGATGCCTATATTTTGTATCTGTGTATTTATGTACTGCATACTTTTTTATATAGTATATATTGTGATTAATCCAATTTAATTCATACATTTCTAGAGACTAATTTCATGTCCTTTTCTTCATTCTGTATTTCTTCATCCACTTTTGCATACTGTGGCTGACATTCCAGTGAATTTTTCCCTAGAGCCTTACTTCTCAGAGCAAGATGGGAACATTTTTAGGTAGCCACACTGAACTTGAAGAAGATAGTGTTTGAAGATCAGATTCAGAAAAAATAAAGAAGTCTGAAAGCAATGAAATACTGGATGCCATAATAGCAACCAATAACAAATACTTTGGGATAATATTTTCACATGATTGACTTTGTAATTTTGAAGAAAACCTTGCTCCACTAATTTATTACAGTCTTTTATTATTTGCCGTGTCTTCAGTTATGCTCTCATCGACTTTTTGAAGCCATTTAAGATACGGAGCCCAGTTACTGAGAAACTTTCAGGACATTTTAGGGTGGATTTTCCCATTTCAAATCAGGGTAAATAGTCTTTCACACAATTATAGATAATACTTACTTCTCAGTGCCCGTATCTACCTTACATTTCTCTACCTTAATTTTTATTTTTCTCCATGTCTATGCTTTTTAATCCCATTTTTAAATGCTTACTCATTTCTTAATGCCAAGTATTCTTTCTTTGTATTTATATATATTTGATTTCATCCTGTGAGCAAAGAGTCATAGAAGTCTAGCTAATCCCTTAAAATGTATTAACCAGATGATTTTTAATTTTTGATTTTAGATAATTTAATAGTTTACTATAAATAAAAATATTATTTTAAATACACTATACTTTAAAACAAAATGATCTTCAATCCAATTTAAAGCAGTTCTACATTTTTCATGTTGTAAATGTATAGAGTTCAGAACGCTACACAAATAGTCAAAAATTTTGCATAACACCACAATCCAAAGTTATCTTCCTTAGGCTGAAAGACAGGCAAAGAGAGCAATTTTAGAGAGTTTTATTCACTTCTCACAGCTTTGAAATAATGAATATTATACTGACTTAATTTTCCAATCCATTACTGCTTTCATTGTTTTATTTCTCTTTTTATTTTTATTAGGAGACAGTCTCTTCATATTTACTGTAAGAAATTAAATAGACATTATTAGAAATTAATTTACAAATATTGCTTGTCATGTCACCATATATTCAAAGATCTAGAATAAAATTATGTGCTATATCATTTCACTGAAATATAGTAGCTCCCACGAGTTTAGCAAATATTTCCTTCATTAAACAAATTTGTACTTACTAGACTTTGTTTCAGGAAGTGGGATTATGTTAGTGAATAATTTAAACAAATAACCAGCTATCATGAAGTCTACAATCTGATGGAAGAGACAGCTAATAAATGAAAACAAACAGAAATAACTAACTTAAATAATATTATAAACTGTGTAATAAAATAAAGTAGAACAAGGGGTTAGATAATCTGGGAATAATTATCTCAGAGATTTTATAAGAGTAGAGACCAAAACCATTGGCAGGATTAACCAAATTGATGTGCTCTATTAAGTAACTTACATGCTATTAAATCCACAGAACAATGGTATGATGTAGATATTTTTGTACATTTGAGGAAATGATGCTCAGATAAATTAAATGCCATGCACAAGACCATGCAACTATAAAATGGAATAACCGGGATTTGGTTGCAGGTTTTACTGATAATAAAATCTGTAGGCAATATAAAAATATTAATGGTGACATAAAACATCAAAATTTGAGGAGTGGGGAGAGTGGAATGAAAGTGTAAAAGTTTATTTGTGAATAAAGATAAATTGATAACAGCTTAAACTAACATGTTACGACTATATGATGTATTTTTAAAGCTTCATTGTAACCACGAAGCAAAAACTCATAATAGGTATGCAAAAAATAAAAAGGGAGGAGTCAAAACTTACCACTAGATAAAATCGCTTACCCACAAAGGAAGGTAGCAAGAGAGGAAGAAAGAAAAAAAGGATCTAGAAAACAGACTAGAAAACAATGAACAAAATGGCAGTGGGAAGTCCTGATCTATCAATAATTTCTGTGAATGTAGCCAGGTGTGATGGCTCACGCTTGTAATCTCTGCACTTTGGGAGGCTGAAGTAAGAAGTTCACTTGAGACTAGGAGTTTGAGACCAGCCTAGTTAACATAGCAATACCCTGTCTCTACAAAAAATAAAAAATAAAAAAATAGTTGGCCATGGTGGCACACACCTGTAGTCTCAGCTACTAAGGAGGCCAAGGCAGGAGGATTGCTTTAGCAAAGGAGTTTGAGGCTGAAGTGAACTATGATCATACCACTGTACTCCAGTTTGGATAACAGAGCAAGACTCCATACCCTCCGCCAGAAGAAAAAAATTTCCCCTCAACGTATTAAATGTATTAAGATTTCCAATTAAAAGACATCGAGTGGATGAATGAATAGATGGGATCATACAAGACTATTATAAACAACCATTTGCTAACAAATTGGATAACTCGAAAAGAAAGCAATAAATTGTGGAAACATACAATCAACCAAGACTGAATTACAAAAAAGTAAAAAGTATGAACAGACTAATAATGAGTAAGGAGACTGAGTTAGTACTAAAAGTCTCCCATCAAAGAAAAGACAAGGACCTGATGACTTTACTGCTCTATTCTACCAAACATTTAAAAGAGGAACAATACAAATTCTTCTAAAACTCTTGCAAAAATAGAAGAACAGGGAATACTCCAAACTGATGTCATGAAGCTCGCATTATTTTGATTCCAAAGCTAGACAAAGAAGCTACAAAATATAAAAATAAAAAAGGAAGAAAGAAAAATTACAGGTCAATATTCCAAATAGATCTAAAAACAGAAATCCTTAACAAAATATCAGCAAACTGAATTCAACTGTACTTTGAAAAGATCATTTACTGTGATTAAGTTGGATTCATCCTAGAAACGTAGGGATAGTTAAACATGAGCAAATTGGTAAATGTAATACATGACAGTTACATAATTAAAAATAAAAACATTTCAATAGATGCAGAAAAAAATTGACAAAATTTATCATAATTTAATGATAAAACCCTCAAAACACTTGTTGTAGAAGGAACGTACCTGAACTCAAAAATAGGCTATATGTAACAAACCCACAGCTAATATCACACTTAGAGATAAGTTTAAAAGTTTTCCTCTAAGATCTGGAAAATACAATAATAACCCTTTCGCCACTTTTATTCAACACAGTACTAGAAGTCTTAGCCAGATCAATCGGGCATGAAGAATAAATAAAAGACATCTAACGTTTAAGAACGAAATTAATGTGTCCTTATTTGCGGAAGCCATGATCTTATAAACAGAAAACCCTAGAGACTCAACCAAAAATTTATGAGAGCTAATAAAAAAGTCAACAAAGTTGAAGGGTGCAAAATTAACAAAAATTAGTAGTCTTTTATAAATGAACAGAAAACTATCTGACAAAGAAATTCAGAAAATTTCTAAAATAGCCAAAGTAATCTTGAGCAAATAGAACAAAGTTGGAGGCATCACACTATCTGAATTCAAAATATACTACAAAGCTGCAGTAACCAAAACAACATAGTACTTGCATAAAAACAGACACATAGACCAATGGAATAGAATATAGAGCCCAGAAATAAATTTGTATATTTACAGCCAATTGATTTTTGATAAAAGAGACAAGGACGCACAATAGGAAAAAGAGACATCATCTTCAATAAATGATATTTGCAAAACTGAGTATCAACATGCAGAAAAATGACCCTTATCCCAACCAAGCATAAAAATCAAACTGAAATGGATTAAAGACTTCAATGTGTAACCTGAAACTCAACTCTAAAACTACTATAATAAAACACAAGAGAAAAGCTCCATGTCATTGGTCTGGGCGATGATTTTTTTTAGAAAATATTACCCCGAAAGCACAGTTAATACAGTGAAAATAGACAAATGAAATTACATGAAACTAAAAAGCTTCTACACAGCAAAATAAACAATTGACAGAATGAAGAGACAAATGGAACAATGTGATAAAATATTTGCAAGCTATACATCTAATGAGGAGTTAACTTAAGCAATTCAATAGTAAGAAAACAAATAATATGATGAGAAAATGGGGAAAGGACCTGAAAAGACATTTCTCAAAAGAAGAAATGCGACTGGCCAACTGGTATATAAAAATATGCTCGACATCATTAATCATCAGAAATGTAGATTAAAATCACAATCAGATATCACCTCACAACTCTTAAAATGGCTACTGTCAAAAAGGCAAAAGATAACAAGTGTTGGCAAAGATTTAGAGAAAAGACAAGTCTTGCACACTGTTGGTGGGAATGTAAATTAGTACAGCCACTATAGAAAACAGTATGAGGTTCCTTAAGGTAAAAATAAAATTACCATATGATCTGGTAATCTCAGTACTGGGCATACATCCAAAGGAAATGAAATCAGTATGTTGAAGAGATAGCTGTACTCTCATGTTTACTGTGGCATTATTTACAATAGTTGTAAATATTTGTTGTTTAACCCAAGTGTTTAACCTAAGTGCATATCAATGAATGGAGAAAGAAAATGTGTTACGTATGCATAATGAAATACTATTCACACATAAAAAGGAAGAAAATCCTGTAATTTTTGACAACATAGATGAAACTGGAGTACATTATGTTAAGTGAAAAAAATAAGGACCATAAAGACAAATACCACATAATCTCGATCATATGTGAAATCATAAAAAGTTGTTTTTATAGAAGTAGAGAGTAGAATGGTGGTTACCAGGTACTGGTGAGGTTGGTGGAGGTCAGCTAGGGAAAATTTTGGCCAAAGGATATAAAATTTTAGTTAAATAGGAGGAATAAGTTCAAGAGATCTATTGTATAGTATGGCTACTATAGTTGATAACAAAATATTCTATTCTTGAAAAATGCTAGATTTAAAATGTTCTTACCACAAAAATGATATGTAAGGTAATGTGTGTGTTAGCCAGATTTAGCCATTGCACAATATATATATATATATATATATATATATATACTTGCAAATATTATGTTTTACATTTTTTATCTGTGAATTTAAATGGCAAAACAAAATTTGCATGTTCTGAGTTTCTGATAGCTCTTTTTTTAATAGACCTTCCTAAAGCCCAGCTGCTTAAATGACCTGATGTAAAATATCTCCTTGTACTTTAAAAAATGCCCCACTTTTTAAAGCTACTACAAGCTAATTTCTGTTACTTTGAAACCGAAAATGCCCAAGCTAAAAGTTCTTAATTATAAATAAGCAAATTAAAAAAAAGTAGTAGTTAAAAACAAACTCTAAAAAAAATTGAGGTCTGCATTTTACTGAAAAATCTGTTAATGAAAGGAAAGAAAAGTTGAAAATTTTCATGTAAGGCATATGCAAGAAATATGTCATAGGAAACTACCAGTTGAATCAAATATTCCTTAAGTGCCCAAAATGTCCTCTACCTAGATATAAATGGGAAATTATCTACAGATTACTTCTATCTATCCAACGTATGCAATTTAAATAAAATTAAGGCTGAGTTGCATATTTGGCAAGAATTCTTTATAATGAAATTTCTGTGTTTGAGTGAAGAACAGTATGCTGTAAGTGATAAGGCTGATGGAGAATGTTTTTATTTAATACAGTATTTAGCTAGGAAATTTAGTTTCCTGATTGGCATCAGAGACATATTAGGTCATAGCTTTAAACTGCACTACTTTATTTGAAGAATATGAACTGAAGGATGTGTGAATAAACATTTTTTAAGAGGTAATAAGAACTGGTGGAAGCAAAATGATCTTAGTGATTAAATATGTGATTACCAGATGCCAAAGAAAATTGGAATAACCTGTCTATAATACTTTCTAGAACATTAGCAACAAGCCAACAAGCAAGCAAATTTAAAAAAAAAAAAAGGAAAAAAAGCTCTTTTAATGTGAGTAATGAAATGTTAATAGTTAAAATACCAAGCAGTAGAGTTATGTAGTTTCCTGTATATTTCATACGTTTTCAACAAACAAATTTATTCCTCAAACTCTGACATATAATGCATTTTGAGCCAGGAGTTATGGGTTTCATTTTATGCTTTAATGTATTTTTTTCTTTTTCAATTTCCATCTATGAGACATGTGTTATATTTGGCTGATATCATAACCTTATTAAAAGAGAATTAAGTCAATATGTTTTAGTATTAATGTTTATTGAATAGCTGTAATTATGTATAATGTTGAACTTTTGTTTTGATCTAAAGTAAAAGATAAACCAGTGACAACATGGTGAAATATGTTAATTTTGTACATTACAGGATGAATTTATATTCCTAATTTTAAAACATTTTAGCTTTACAGTATTATTATCATTGTTACAATTATATTTTATAGTGTTTAGTATGCCCTGCATGCCTTCTATGAGATAATCTATTTTTATGTTGACTGTTATTATATTTAAAAAACTTTTATAAAATGGATCCTGGTGCTTTTTATATTAAAAAGATTCATATTCTTAATTACTCAATGCTAAGCTAATTGAGACATTTTAATGTTCCCTAGCTTGGAATTAAATTAAATTTAACTTCTACAAGATGGCTAAAAGTTAACTAGCACTTTATTGTACCATCCGCTGTGCTCTGTTACTTTCCTGCCAAACCAAACACCACGCAATGGTGCCATGTAGAAAGGCTGATATTCAATTATGTGAAACACACAGTAATCCTATAAAATTCGTGATTTAAAGTTGATCTCATTTTTCTTCAAAACATAAATAATTAAGAACATTCAAATATTATTTTCGTTATGGCCACATACATCGTTTTAGGTGACTGTCAACCCGAAGTTTTTTCCTCTCAAAAAACTCAACATCCTATCTCACTCCTGAAATTATCATTTATGTCACTGATTTCCACTAAGCCATTATAATTTCAGAAATTTCTTGTTAAAGTATAAATGGGAGATAATAAAAGTAGGACAAGGAAAGTATCCTACGTATGCCTTTGGTATACTTTACTTCTACATTTATTACATAAGCTGCTTGTCAAAACAGAGACCAGAACTCTGGAGGAATGAGCATAAGAGAGGTGAATTGTGATGAGAAGTAGAGAGATGAGAAATTGCTAATGGCCTGTGATGATAGGACTAGAGACCTGTGAACACTGTACACCTAGAATTATGTGGTCTTGGAAGCAGGGGAGAAGCCTGGGGTTATCTATATCCCTTTATCCATATGACAATCATGTCCTGGATGGCCTTATAAAAAATTTTGTTGTTTTTTATTATCCTGCCTTATTGACATACTTTGGAAAACACCATGGAATGTAGGCACTACTGGTCAGAGTTATGAATAAAGGTGGGAAACAAGATAATCCAATATTTTAATATCCTTTATTCAACTGAGACGTTATCAAGCTTTTTCAAGTTCATGCTTATTCTGAAGCAAGTCTTATATAATTTATTTTTCAGATATTTTTTTCTCTTCTTATAATGTTCCAGGAACAAAGTAATGCATGGGGATTATAGAATTCCTTTCAGGACAGTAACTCTAAACATTTGATGCACTAAATTAAAGTCAACTACTTTCAATACTTCTTTGTTTCTGTCTTTCTTCTTTCGCTTTTCTTTTAAAATCATGACTCAGAACTATTTTAAAACCTGGTTAATCACGAACTTTGGGGATGGGAGAGAGGCATGAATCCTAAAAAAAATCTAAGCCAAGAATCACAAACTAAGGCTACAGGGCATCACACAACAATGCTGGAGATGAACATGTAAATATATTAAGGCCAATACAGAAATCGTACTTGTGACAAAAGTCAAACTAAAATTATACAAAAGATACAAGGGATACAAGGGGAGTTTGACATTCCCCCAGTCTGGGACTGGCAGGTTGTTAACGGAGGAGGAATTCTATCCTGAAGATAAGAAAAATGTCAGCCAATATTAAATTATGGGGAGTGGGATATAGATTAATAAGAAATGGAGGATAAACTTTAAGCCTATGGAATATCATATGTAAAGACATGAATACCTGAATTACATGCAATTGCATAACTGTAGTAAGACTGCAAATAGAACTATTTCTCTTACATTGAAAAGAAATGCAGGTGGCAAGGTTAAGTACAATAGGTGTTATGTTGATAGGAATTAAAGAAAAAAAGTTTTGATTTTTTTTCTGATATTTGGAGATACTAAAGTTTTATTTATATTGAACAATGATCAAATCTGCATTTTAGATCAGTCTTTTAGATAGATGGACTTCAGATTCAGATGGTATGCTTCAGAAGGCCGAGATAAATTGCCAGTGGAATATTACTTGCAGAGTGATGCAAAGCAGTATATTTTTTCATGAAATATTATATGTAAAAAGAATTCTTAAAGCCCTGTGAACACTTGTCCCATACACTAAAGTTGCTAGTGAAACTAACAGCAACCATTTTTCTGCTGCATATATGCAAATTAAGACTAGAGGCTATACTGCTAACTTCTATTAATTATTGCCTTTGCTAACAATGGTCATAAATGCCTTCATCATGCTATATATTCATTGCCTTACTGCTAAGAGGGATTTTTTATAGCTGTGGGTCAATGTTTTAAAAAACATCTTTCAACATCCATAACACTAATTGAGCTTTTTTATAAATATATTGTAATAAAACTACTTTTATAAAATAAGGAAGATAAGTTTCCCTCTTCTATTTTAGAAAACTCTTCTGTATTAGGAACATTTTCCCCTTGCTCCAGATTTTTCGACCAGGATGTCAACCTAGGATGATATCTGGAGTAAAATGCTATCCTTCAAACACGAAGCCAGCTTCCACAAAAAATTAACTTTGAACTAAGAGAATTCACATAATGAAGAAAAAAATTCAAAGAGGATTTGATGATGTTAGGCAGTAAATAAATATTTAGTACAATGTTAAAACTGTTTTACTTCAATGTGAAAGAGTTGGGGAATTCTCATGGCAGGGAAATAATGTGGTCATATAAGAACACATTGAATGCTCTTGGGCACAATAAAGGAAGGAGCTGGTAACCCACCTGGGGGAAAAAAAAGGTACAGAGTGTGTTATGTTAATGAAGGCTTTCAAACAAAAACAAGTCTTTTTAAATCTCAAATTAAAGGAGTTTAAGAGTAACATCCAAGTAGACACAGCAGTATAATTAAAGGCATGGAGGATGGAGAGAGCATTAAGGAACTGAGAACACGGGAAGCATCATGTTCAAGATTTCTAGGAAAGAAGCTCTATCTAAAAAGTGAATCAGTAAGAGCTTATTAAACCTTCTAACTCTTCATCTCATCTACCATTTCAATTTCCATTTTTCTTTTTTATTATTTCTCTGTACCTAAAAAGAGATGAGAGCTATATAGAGATATGAATGTAGATCAGTATAGATGTAGACAACATACCATTCATAAGTAGGTATAGAATACATACTACACATAATCTACATCTATACACATTCTATTTTATGACGTTTATTATCTTTAGTAGAATATAAGCTTCATAAGGGCATGGACTCTTTCTAGTTTGTTTTACCACTCTAGAATAGAAGAATTCCTGATATATAGAGGCTACTCAATAAATTTTTAATGAATAAATGGATGACTGACTAAATAAGTGAATAAATACAATTAGATATAATTTTTACTCTATTCAGATAACACAGCCAGTAAAGGTATTTTCTTCTAGCTTATGTCTGAGTCAGTTCCTGAACTATCCTCCTCTAACAGTTGTGTGGATATTAATGCACACCCTGAACCACAACCTCTATGTTCAGATTGTCTATTTAAAAAAAAAATAGTAGCAATCCTTTCTTTGTTGATGATCCTTTAACTTTTGAGCACCTCTTATCATTTGCATTATTCCTGCAGATCTGTTCCCAGTTCACAATTTTTCCATGCCTGGCTCATGTGGCACTAACATACTGTTGTTAAAACAGTCCTGAACAATCAGCTACACAAACTAAATCTATGATCACCAGGATTCAAGCTCTGAGATACCATCTGCTTTGTTTAACACTGTACCTCTAGTGTCTAGCCCAAGACCCAGGCAAGAGATGTGTTCAATAAATGCATGATGAATAAATGAGTAAATGAGCGAACATTTGCTGATCTATTTTACTATGCAAAAGACAGGAATTAATAAAAATCACTGAAAGGCTTATCACGTTTGATTTTCCTTGGAAGGTCAAGCTTAAATGATTATTTTGAATTGTTAATTTCTTAATTACAAATATATTATCCAATGTTAAATTTCATATAATTTTAATGAATTACATAGAGTTTTACATTATAAACATTGATTGATTTGCAAAATTTTATTTTTATAAAAATCAGTCAACCAAAAATAAGTGATTGATTTTCTAAAAGATGATTTAAAAAAGATTTTTTCTTTGGTAAAACTAGAGTAGAGATTTAGAAGAAATTGAAACATTAGATTTACATTCTTCAGAACATAGCTTTAAATTTATAATACTATATTTTTAGTTTGTTAACAGTTTATATAGCTTTAGCTCTGTTAAACCTAGAGCTGCATTTAGAGTTATCCAGCAGATTTTTACCTTTAACTTTGCTAATGTAGAACTACTTTTTCAATGATCTAGTACTTTTTAACTTTAATAGTACTAATACTAGAGGTACTTTTGCATTATCCTATAGTTTTGAGATTATGACCTCCCTTGAAAATGTCTGATAACACCCTTTTAACATGTTTATGTTTCTGCCATTGAGCATTTTACTTCAGATGCTCAATTCATAGACCCATTCATAGACTCATTCATGGAATATTTAGGTGGTTATTTTTCCATTATTTCTGAAAGCATATATTTACAATTCCCATTACTTAACACTTTTTCTCTTACTTTTGAAAATTCTTTAAATTTAACGTTAAACAAAATTCTCAGTTGTGATGGTATGACTGTGGAATAAGCACAAAATCTGCATAAAAATATATTTGCCTCCAATTTGATACATTTTATAAGTTCACTTTTGTGTCAATTCAAAATTTGATTTGGAGTGTTATCACTTCTAGTTAATGTGCCTTTTCTAATAAGTATTGAAGATTTCATAATAGGATATGTGATAGATTTTGCTGTGATATGACTGACTTTGTAGGGACTTAAATATAAGCTATTTCCTGTTTTCTGAAGAAAACTTTGAGGAACAAAATTCTCAGTGCCTCAAATTTGGGCATATGCATTTACTTATATTTATAATCACAGGCCACACTGCACATTGTAGGCACTCAGTAAACATTTTATTTATTCAGAAACCATTTCAAGGATATTATGCAGTTCACAAATGTGTCTGCATCTCTATTTCTATTTATATACATACACACGCTTAAAATGTCACTTGGAAAAATCGACCTGGGTTGTGTGTCCTGCATACATCATCTTCATTTTAAAATTTCTATAATTATTTTGAGGCATAAAATATATCTGGTTATAGCCTAAGGGAAACACACAGTGCCTGCCCTCTCAGTGGGGGACATCTTTCCCCAAATGACAGGCAGATCTGTCACAGAGTGTGGTCATTTATCTCTTCTGATTTCATCCCGTAAAGATGCCCTATACAAGGTGAAGTGATAATTTTCCTCAGAGTTAACATGTCCAATGTCTCATTTATCATTCTAGTCCTTGTGAAATGACATCGAACATTAAATTGAGAACTAATTTTGGTTGTGAACTTTGGCTGCCTGCCTGCTTCTCTGAGAAAATAAGCAAATTATCTATACTTTTTGTCATGGAAGTCATACGTCACCTGGAGCCGTCCTTTTGTTCTTTTAACCCATGTTGAGAAGCGACAGAAAAGAATACACGAAAGAGACTATAACAAAATAATACATTTTGCCAGGAAAAGTTATCAAAATTATGCAAAATGTTTAATTTGTGGAAAAAAAAACAGTGGACAAGTCAGGGGAGAACCTGGAGAAAGCCTGAGAGTACATATGATGGTTTTAATTCAAAAATATGCAATTAATTCCCTATAACTTTGGATATAAAAACAAATACAATTATATAATTTTTCAGAGAGTAAAATTTCTACAAATCAACATATTATTTTCATCCAGCAGGGAAACTTGTTTGTAAATATTTGCCTTAAGTTAGAACACAATTTTATAATTTGTTTTCTAAATGCACTTATTCACACATATAATCAAGACAGTCAACTGGATCCTGTGGCTGGGTCGAGAAAACATCTATCTGCTGAACTTTTAATTTTACCTTATACAATTAAGAATTTTCCCTGAAATAAAATTGATCATAGATTGTAATTTATCAGGTAAGTCTCACTGTTGTGAGAAAGTTAGACATAGGGAATTTATATACATTTAACAAGTCACATAAAAATAAACTAAGAATAGAGGAAGGTTGTGCTTTTTAAAGAATATTATTGTTTTATAAAGATGGATATACTAAGGGGATATGGATACATAGTCGAATTGAATGTAAATTTATTAACCCATTTGCAATTTGCCCAAAGAATACTCTTGTCTCTAATCCTGAAGTATTATCTGTTAGAGAAATGTATGTCATGTTACGTTCTGTGATGGAATATGACGTTACATTCTGTAACAGAGATGTATGTGATGTTGCATTAGGATTAGGGATAAGAGTATTCTGTAACAGGAATGTATATAATGTTACATTAGAATTAGAGACAAGTTCTGCTTAGAAATAACTCCAATAACAGTTTCATATTTTATTTTCACAGTGAAAAATCAGTCAGATTTACTTAAGCCTCAAAATGGAGTTATGTAAAATTAAATGAGCATTGGCAGCAAGCTGTACTTTTTTTTCTAAATGGAAAATGGGTTAAATAAATATTGTCTATAAATTTTGCAAATCACTCCTGTGAGCCCTGACATTATGAAGCTTATTATCTAAATAATCTACCTAATGATAAAAATGAATATAGAAAACATACAGTAATAAATAATATCTATTGAAAGCTTACTATTGTCTGGTATTAAATACAATCAATGCTTTACATGAATTATTTTATTTATTCCTTTCACTCCCTCTGTGAAGTATAAACTATCGTTTGCATCATTTTATGATTGAGGAAAATAAATCATAAAAAAGAAAAATAATTTTCACAAAGTCTTAACAACTAGTAAGTGATCGAGTCAGAATGCAAAACTGTCTCCAGCATGCATTTAGTAACCTTAGACTAATAAAACGCAAAATATGTTAAGTGCTTATAAGCATCTAGTAGCACAAAAGAGAATAGAGATACAATGAGAGAGGGACAGAACAAAGAGCTGGCATTTCAGCTGCAGTTTAAGGAGGCAGAATTTCTTCAAGCTGGATTATGAAAAAAGAAAAGTTACTTCAAGAAAATATAACAGTCTGAGCAAGGGCAAGTAAAGAGGAAAGGTCTTACTTTTTGTAATTACAAGTTTTCTAGACTGTCTGGAGCATAAGCTTCAGGCAAAGTATTTGAAGGGGATCAGGCCTGGAAAAATTGTTTGCCATCGAATTCTGAACTTCAAATTCCATGCCCAAACTGAGTTACAAAAATAGGAAGACTACTATGCAAGTATAGCAAGTCCTCAAACATTATACTCAAATATTGATTCCTCATAAAGTTGATTTGATAAAAATCACTTTGCAGCCAAGGACCCTGTCTGTGAAGAGCTTGTATGTTTTCCCCATGTATGTGTGACTTTTCTCTGGGTGCTCTGGTTTTCTCTGGTGTGGTTAGTTGGCCTGGCTGAGTGAGTGAGTGAGTGAGTAACCTGAGTGTGTGTGGGTATGTCTGTAAGTGTACCCTGCAATGGAATTGCAGCCTCTCCAGGGTGGGTTCCAACAGTGTACCCTGAGCTTCCTTGATGGACTCCTGCCGCCACAACCCTGAACTGGAATAAGAAGGTAAGTAATTATCTTGTTTTTATGAATCTTTCTTAAATGTATGTATAACTCACATTTTTTCAATGTTTAATATTAGAAGTGCTTTGGTCTTCACTTAGCAGTTTTGCAATGTTTTTATGACCAGAAATATGCCATAGGAATTAAACTCTTGTTTATATCAAGTAGCCTATGGTAAAACTGGTTTTCTTATACATAATTTCATTTAAAGCTGCTGTTTCCAAAAACCTATCGATAATGTTAAATAAGGACTTACTATATACTTGTTTATGTTAGTAATGGCATTTCAAATTGTGGGAAAATGAGCAATTACCTTGTATAAATTGCTGGAAAAGTAATTATATGGGAAAATAATTTATATTTCTATTTTTCATAATTACTAAATTATGTTAAATTTGAATTAAATCACTAGACACAGTTGGTAGATGGTTTTTCAAGTGTATTGGTAATGTTGTATATTCTAGTTCATATTTCTCCCTCCTCAAGAAGATGATTGTGGTAGATTAAATACTGGCCCCAAAAGATATCCAGGTTGTAATTCCTGGAACCTGTGAAAGTCACTATATATAGTTGCTAGGACTTGCATATGTAATTATGTTAAGGATCTTGGTATAGGTATATCATTCTGAATTATCAGGATGGGTCCTAAATGGAATCACTGTCCTTATAAGATGAAGGCAGAGGGAGATTTGAAGACTGAAGAGGAAAAATCCATATATGTAACATAGTTTGGGAGCACGAGCAAAGGAATGAAGACAGCTTCCCGAAACTGAAAAAGTCAAGGAAACAGATTCTCTTTTAGACCCTCCAGAGCTAGCTCTATGGTGCTGAAAACCTGATTTCAATGAGGTAAACCTTATCATAAACTTCTGGCATCTAGATCCACAAGAGAATAAATTGGTGGTGTTTTAAGCCAAATAATTCCTGATAATTTGTTATAGCAGTTATAGGAAACCGATGCAATGATATTTACAGAGGTCTACATCATACCATTATACAGTTCCATGTATATGGAATATTTATAAATAAGTATATATTAATAAAAAGTAATAAAATATAGATGACTATGTTTTGCTGATTGAAGAATGAGAAAACCCCAAAGAGGTATAAAATTAATCTATGCAACTACTGGATAAGTTTATCTGCACAAAAATTAAGTATTTATATATTTTTAAAAGCAATAAAATTAAATACAAACAAAGCCAAAACTGCAACAAATATTGATACTCTATTTTATAAGTGAGAACATGCAGTATTTGCTTTTCTGTTTCTGCATTATTTTGCTAAGGATAATGACCTTCGAGTACATCCACGTTGCTGCAAAGGACATAATCTTATTCTTTTTTTATGACCACATAGTATTTCATGGAGTATGTATGCCACATTTTCTTCATCCCACCTATATAGGGCCATTTAGGTTGATTCTATATCTTTGCTAATCCGAATAGTGCTGCAATGAACATACACGTTCATGTGTCTTTATGACAGAATGATTTATATTCCTTTGGGTTTATATGCAGTAATGAGATTCCTGAGTCAAATGGTATTTCTCCTTGTTGGTGGGAGTGTAAAGTAGTTCAACCATTGTGGAAGACAGTGTGGTGATTCCTTAAAACCTAGAGGCAGGCCGGGCGTGGTGGCTCACGCCTGTAATCCCAGCACTTTGGGAGGCCGAGGCGGGCAGATCACCTGAGGTCGGGAGTTCAAGGCCAGTCTGACCAACATGGAGAAACCCCGTCTCTACTAAAAATACATTAGCCAGGCTTGGTGGCACATGCCTGTAATCTCAGCTACTCGGGAGCCTGAGGCAGGAGAATCACTTGAACCCAGTAGGCGGAGGTTGCGGTGAGCCAAGATCATGCCACTGCACTCCAGCCTGGGCACCAAGAGTGAAACTCTGTTCCCCCCCCCCCCAAAAAACAAAACAAAACAAAACAAAACAAACACCTAGAGGCAGGCCGGGCGCTGTGGCTCACGCCTGTAATCTCAGCACTTTGGGAGGCGGAGGCGGGCGGATCACGAGGTCAGGAGATGAAGACCATCCTGGCTAACACTGTGAAACCCCATCTCTACTAAAAATACAAGAACAAAATTAGCCGGGCGTGGTGGCAGGCGCCTGTAGTCCCAGCTACTCGGGAGGCTGAGGCAGGAGAATGGCGTGAACCCAGGAGGTGAAGCTTGCAGTGAACCGAGATTGTGCCACTGCACTCCAGCCTGGGCAACAGAGCAAGACTCCGTCTCAAAACAAAACAAAACAAAAACAACAACAACTAAAAAAAAAAAAAAAACTAGAGGCAGAAATAAATGTACACTAGAGATTCTGGTACTTTGTGTCTTTGTTCTCATTAGTTTCAAAGAACACCTTTATTTCTGCCTTCATTTCGTTATTGAACCAGTAGTCATTCAGGAGCAGGTTGTTCAGTTTCCTTGTAGTTGTGTGGTTTTGAGTGAGTTTCTTAATCCCAAGTTCTAATTTTATTCCCTTGTGGCCCGAGAGACTGTTTGTTATGATTTCTGTTCTTTTCTTTTGCATTTGCATTTGCTCCTAATTAGTAATGTTGAGCATTTTTTGTGCTTGGTGGCCATGTGCATGCCTTCTTTTGAGAATACTCTATTTATATCCTTTGCCCATTTTTTAATAAGGTTGTTTGTGCTTTGCACATTGATTTGTTCCTTATAGATTCTGGATATTAGACCTTTGTCAGATCATAGTTTGCAAATAATTTCTCTTCTTATGTATGTTGTTTACTCTGTTGATAGTTTCTTTTGCTATGCAAAACTCTTTAGTCTAATTAGGTCCCACGTGTCTATTTTTGTTTTTATTGCAATTGCTTTTGAAGTCTTTGTCATGAAATCTTTGCCAACATTTATAGCCAGAATGCTATTTCCTTGGGTTTTTGCTAAGGTTTTCATAGTTTTATGTCTTATATTGAAAACTTAAATGCACTTGGAGTTAATATTTCACATGGTGAGTGTAAGGGTTCCAGTTTCAATCTTCTGAATATGGCTGACCAGTTATTCCAGCATGATTTATTAATATAGGGATTTATTTCTCCATTGCTTGTTATTTTTTACTGTGTCAGAAAACAGATGACTATGGGTGTAACACATTATTTCTGGTCCTCTAACCTGTTTCATTTGTCTATATGTCTGTGTTTATAGCAGTACCATGCGTTTTGGTTATGGTAGCCTTGTGGTATAGTTTGAATTAGAGTAGTGTAATGGCTCTGGCTTTGTTCTTTTTGCTTATGATTGCTTTGGCTATTAGGCTCTTTTGGTGTTCCATATGCTTTAGAATCATTTTCTCTAATTCTTTGAAAAATAATGTTGGTAGTTTGATAGGAATAGCATTGAATCTGTAAGTTGCTTTGAGCAGTATGGCTTTTTCAACAATATTGTTGATTTCTATCCATGAGCATGGAATGTTTTCCTATTTGTTTGTATCATCTTTGATTGCTTTGTTTTGCAATTCTCATTGAAGAGATCTTTCACCTCCTGGTTAGTTGTCTTTCTAGATATATTATTTATTTGTGGCTATTGTGAAAGGGATTGTGTTCTTGATTTAAATCTCATCTTGGACATTTTAGATATGTAGAAATGCTATTGATTTTTGTACATTGACTTTGTATCCTGAAACTTTATTGAAGTTGTTTATCAGTTCTAGAAAACTTTGAGCAGAGACTATGGGATTTTCTAGCTATAGAACTATAGAATTATGTCATATGCAAAGAGAGATAGTCTGACTTTCTGTCCTCATATTTGGATGCTTTTTAATTTTTTTCCCTTGCTTAATTGCTCTGGGTAGGACTTCCAGTACTATGTTGAATAGAAATGATGACTGTAGGGATGCTTACCTTGTTCTGGTTCTTGGGGAGAATGAATACAGCTTTTGCCACTTCATTATGACGTTGGCTGTGGTTTTGTCATAGATGGCTCTTATTAATTTGAGGTAGGTTCCTTTGATGCCTAGTTTGTTGAGGATTTTTAACACGAAGATATATTGACTTTTATCAAAAGCCTTTTCTGAGTCTATTGAAATGATCATGTGGTTTCTGTGGGTTTTTTGTTGTAGTTGTTGTTTGTTCTGCTTATGTGCTGAATCACATTTATTGATTTCCACTGTTATTCCGTATGTTTAACCAACTTTGCATCCCAGGAATAAAACCTACTTGAATGTGGTGCATTAGCTTTTTGATGTGCTGCTGAAGTCAATTTGTTAGTACTTTGTTGAGGATTTTTGCATCTATGTTCAACAAGGATATTGACCTGAAGTTTTGTTTGTGTTGTTTCTCTACACCTGAATGACGCTGGCTTCATAGAATGAGTTAGGAAGGAGTCCTCCTTCATTGATTTTTGGAGAAGATTTTCAGTAGGATTTGTATCAGCAATTGTTTATATGTCTGGTAGAATTCAACTGTGAATCTGTATGTTCCAGGTTTTTTCTCCTTGATATGCTTTTTTATTACCTCTTCATTTTTGGAAGTCATTGTTGTTCTGTTCAGGTATTCAATTTCTTTATAGTTCAGTCTTGGGAGGCTGTATTTTTTTCCAGGAATCTATCCTTTTCTTGTAGGTTTTCTGGATTGTGTGCATAAATGATGTTCACAAGAGTCTTTAAGGATTTACTTTTTTATTTTTGTGTGATTAGTATAAAAATTACCTTTGTTATTTCTGATGTGTTTATTTGATTTGCCTCTCTCTTTTTCTTCATTAGTCTCCTAGTGATCTTTCAGTCTTACTTATTCTTTTTTTTTTTTTTGTTTTGAGACGGAGTCTTGCTCTGTCGCTGGAGTGCAGTGGCACGATCGAGGCTCACTGCAAGCTCCACCTCCCAGGTTCATGCCATTCTCCTGCCTCAGACTCCCGAGTAGCTGGGACTACAGGCGCCCGCCACCACGCCCAGCTAATTTTTCATATTTTTAGTAGAGACGGGGTTTCACCATGTTAGCCAGGATAGTCTCGATCTCCTGATCTCGTGATCCACCCGCCTCGGCCTCCCAAAGTGCTAGGATTACAAGCGTGAGCCACTCTTTTTTTTTACTTTTTTCCTGAGACAGAGTCTTGCTCTGTTGCCCAGACTGGAGTGCAATGATGTATTCTCCGCTCACTGCAACCTCCGCCTCCTGGGTTCAAGCGATTCTTCTGCCTCAGCCTCCTGAGCAGCTGGGATTACAGTTGCACCCCACCACGCCTTGCTATTTTTTGTATTTTTTAGTAGATACGAGGTTTCTCCATGTTGGTCATGCTGGTCTTGAACTCCTGACCTCATGATCAGCCCGCCTTGGCCTCCCAAAGTGCTGGGATTACACGCCTGAGCTACCATGCCCGGCCTATTCTTTCAAATAATAAACTTTTGGTTTTATTGATGTTTCATGTGGATTTTTCCATCAATTTCATTACATTTAGCTCTGATTTTGGTTACTTCTTTTGCTAGCTTTGGGCTTGGTTTCCTCTTATTTTTCTAGTTTCTCTATGTGTGATGTTAAGTTGTTAATTTGAGATTTCTAACTTTTCGATATAGGCATTTAGTGCTATAAGCTTTCCTTCTAACACTTTTTTACCTGTCTCCCAGAGATTCTGGTATGTTGTATGTTTGTTTTCATTAATTTCAAAGAATTTGTTGATTTCTGCCTTAAATTCATCGTTTACTCAAAAGCCATTCAGGAACAGGTTAATTTCTGTTTAGTTGCATGGTTTTGAGAGATCTTACTGCCATTGACTTCTATTTTTATTGCACTATGATCTGGGTTGTTCTGATTTGGGTTTTTTTATTTGTTTGTTTGTTTTAGAATTGCTTTATAGACCAGTGTGTGGTGAATCTTAAAGTATGTGTCATGCACAGATGAAATAAATATATATTCCATTGATGTTGGTTAGAATATTCTATAGATTTCTGTTAGGTCCCTTTGGCCAAGTGTCAAAGTTTAGGTCTCAAATATCTTTGTTAATTTTCTGCTTTGATGGTTAGTCTAACATTGTCAGTGGGGTGTTGAAGTCTCTCAGTACTCTCACTATCATTGTGTGGTTCTTTCTTAAAATGGCTATTTCATCTTTCATCTCTTGTATTGTTTTATTGAATTCCTTAGATTCCTTGGATTGGCTTTTAATTTTCCTCTTAATCTCAATGATCTTCATTGCCATCCAGATCCTGAATTCTATGTCTGTCCTTTTGGCCATTTCAGTCTGGTTAAGAACTATTGCTGGGGAGACTATGGTTTGGAGGTAAGAAGGCACTGTGGTTTTTAGAGATGCTAGAGGTTTTGCATTGGTCCTTTCTCATCTGTGTGCCCTGATATTTCTTTAATATTTGATGTTACTGTCCTTTGAATAAGTCTTTTTGCTTTTGTATTCTTTGATGCCCTGAGGGTTTCACTGTGGTATAAATTGGGTTTCCTTGATGGCTTTATATCTGGATGGAGCCTGGGCTCAGCTAAGCACTCCTGGGCTGTGTGCTCTAACTGCGGGAGCTGGAACCCATGCCTATGGCTTTTTCTCTTGCCCCTTCGTGTTAAACATCTGCTGTGTCTAAAGGTTCGAGGTGTTCCCAGTCCACTGGTGACAAACTCTGATCAGATGTGCCTACAAATGCACTTGGTGAAGCAGCAGCACGATGGAGAGATTTCCTCACATGAGTGTACATCAGCAGGGGGACAGTGGTGGTGACAGCTCATGAGCTCACACTAGCAAAGTAGCATGGAGAGGGCTGCATGCACATGTGTGCCAGTGGAGGCCCCTGTGCAGAAGGTCTTCAAATGTTAGGTGGTGTCTGCTGGTGAAAGAGGTATGGTAGTGGCCTCTGGCAAGTGCTTCCTCTGGGCAGCCGAAACTGCTACAAGCAGCCAGGCAGGAACCCTTGGAGAGGCCAGCAGACATGGGGAGAACTCGGATCAGATTGGCCCCACCCCACAGGCCACATAGCCCTTCTCTGAGCAGGTCTGGCATCCAACAAATGCTAAAGCCACCTAGAGGAGCATGGCAATCTTTGAGGGATAGGTGCCCTTGGCCATGCTCCACTGCAGTCGTTCCTTCGCCTAGCTCTGTTGGCTCTGTTCAAGCTGGAGCTCTGTCTCTTGTCAATTTTCTGGGCAGTTCTCCCTACCCACTCAAGTGTTCATATGGGTCATGGGGTTTCCTGCAGCTAAGATTCTGAAGGTCCATGGCAAGAATGTGCCACTCCACACCTCTTTCACTCACCACATCCCCAGAAACTGCTCAGGGTCCGGAACAAGCCCTCATGCTTGGCAACCACATGTAGGGTTCCCAGCTTCTTCCCCTTTGAATCTGGGATCTGCATCCCTTCGATGACTCTCAATGCCTTGATTTCAAAGATCTGTTTGGATTGTGCCAGTATTCTTGGTGGTCTTGCCTCTTAGTAATAGAAGCGTTTCCTGACCATATCTAGTTCATCATCTTACACCATTAAAAAGTGGAAATTAAAAAAAAAAAAAGCTGCAGCTGATTGTTTTCAGCTACCACACTGAGGGTAAGGCTTTTCTTATTCAGCAAGCTCTGGATTAGGTCAAATAATCACAGTGCTCTCTCAGTAGAGATTTTTCAGGAACTGTGTGATAGGCCAGATATTTAAAAGGTATTTTAGAGAACTCTGAACCCATCTAACCTTGCCTATGGCTCTGAAGCTAATGCTTTTTATAACTATTTTTGTCATAAAACTGCTAATTTTCAAGGCTGTCACAGAGCTGGGAAGAGCAAAGCAGTAGTGGGCCAAGTTTAAGTATCACAAATCCCTGTGTTTGTACTGTAGTTTAGCTTTTTTCTTGAAGAAATCATTTTTAAATTGTTTTAAACTTTGGTTAATTTTTGGAGATCTGAAAAAAAATGGCTTTGATAATTCTTTAAGAATTTTTGTTAATAATATGGGGGAGAAAATTTACAGATATCTTCACTTTGCCATTAAAGGAAGTTCTGCCTCCGTCAAACTACATTATATTTAATAATTCGTTATAGCATATGAGCTGGGCATGGTGGCTCATGCCTGTAATCCCAGCACTTTAGGAGGCCAAGGCTGGTGGATCACCTGAGGTCAGGGGTTCGAGACCAGCCTGGTCAACATGGCGAAGCACCATCTCTACTAAAAATATAAAAAAATTAGCTGTGCATGGTGGCAGGTGCCTGTAATCCCAGCTACTCAGGAGGCTAAAGCAGGAGAATCATTTGAACCCAGGAGGCAGATGTTGCAATGAGCTGAGATAGCACCATTGCCCTCCAGCCTGGGAGACAGAGTGAAACTCTGTGTCAAAATAAATAAATAATTTAATAACGATGTTAATAATTTATTATAGACTACCAGATAATTACAGTATGTCACTTAGTGGTATAAGCATTTTATGTTTATATATATGTATATATATGAGTGTGTATATATGCACACATATATGTAACATATATATATGTATATATATAAACTTTAATCTTCACAACTATCCCATGAGACAGAAAATATTACCCCCATTTTATACAGGAGAAAACCAAACCATATAGAGTTTAAGCTGACTAATCAATGTCAGTAAGAGGGAGAGCCTGATCTGAAACCAGGAAATACATTTTCAGAACCTGTGTGAATAACCATTATATCTTCTATATTACCACATGCTGCTTTTCTTCTTCCCTCTCAGGTGTATGACACTTTGGTCTAACATAATCTTTGGTGTTATCCAGATCGCTTCTCTTCCAGTCCATTTTGCTTATGCCCAATGCCTTTTTCATGCTTTATTTCACCAACTGCACTATCTTTGTAAATGTTACCCTCACAACCTATACTCTTTTGTCTCTTTACATGCTTTCCTAAATACTGTATAATTTCAAGATAACATTTATTCATAGCAATCCATAGAACATCATTATATTGTATAAATTGGCTGGGCCTGCTGGCTCATGCCTATAATTCCAGCACTTTGGGTGGCTAAGACAGTGGGAATGCCTGAGGACAGGAGTTTGAGACCAGCCTGTGCAACACAGCGAGACCCCTCATCTCTGCAGAAAAAAAAAAAAAAAAAAAGGCCAGGCATGGAGTGTACCCATAGTCCTAGCTACTTGGGAGGCTCTGCAGGCAGAACGGTTGAGTCCAGGAGGTTGAGGCTCCAGTGAGCCATGTTCACGCCGCTGTACTCTTATCTGTGTAAGAGAGTGAGACCCTGTCTCTAAAAAAACAAAAATTAAAATTTTAAATTATCTTTCTAACTTTACCATATGTACATCAAAGACAAGGCTGTACCTTATTTCCCATAGTCACTAGAAGAAATTCTGTGTTAAAGAGTCTGTAAAGATTGGATAAGTGAACAGACATTAATTCTCAAGAAACAATAAAGAAATGTTTTTTTTACTATGTAACCTTACATATTATTTTAATATTTATTGTGATTGACCTGGATTATATAAAACTCTATTATATTTAAAACACTCTGATAGTAATGCCTTTAAATCATTCAAATTGTATACAAACGTTTCTTATATTCAGTTAGTAGCTGAAATATTTTCCAGTGCACCTTATTTTTTATTGCTTTATTCATACAATCCTAAAGTAATACCATACAATTAAACAGGAAAATAAAGTATCCTGGTTGCCTAGCTTATGTCATAAGTGTAAACCATAATTATATTATTTTTTCACAATTTTTTGCCCTTGTTATAAGTTAGACATTTCTAATAATTGATTATAATGAGCAATATTTGCATAATTTCTCAGATAAATCACAATACTGGAATTAATTTCTCACAGCTTTGTCACATATAACATATTAGATACATGTTTAGATTTTATTTGTTCCACTTAGTCCATATGTTACACTGAAGTTTGATGTATTTGTGGAGAATATAGAAAAAAAATTATACTCCTTATTTGAAGAAGCTTTATGGTAAAAATAAATGTATCATTATATCTACTTATCTTCTAATTTGATAATTTTGTTTGGAATCCATTTTGTTATAATTAGTTTTTAAGCTTTTATGATTCACTTATTTTTCATCTTTCATTTGCAGGAGTGTGTAGGTTTAATATTACTGCAAGTTACATAGAACTCTGGGAAGACAATATTTTACAAAACTTTAGTCACTTAAAAACATACAAATCTATGCAGAGACCATAAACAAAAAATGCTCTAAAATGATATGAGCTACACTTTTTTATATTAAGGATGTTTATATTTGACATTCACTTCAGAAAGAGGAGATAGGAAGGTTTAAACAGCCAGCATGCCGAAACTAGTTTTTCCTGAAATGGCTTTTACCATATTCACATCTGGTTCATCTAATTAGGTTTGCAATTGTTATACCTTCAATATTCACATTTTATAGGCGTGCACTTATCAACATAGTCAGAACAGGATATCTTTTATTTTTTTAAGTGATAACAATATATAACCCTTAGTATTTTTGTTGTTGTTGTTGTTCTATTTGCTTTATTTTGTGTTTTACATTTTTCTAAACACTAACATTTTTCTTCATATTTATTTGGATGTAGAATCTCTAGCTAGAGTTTCTTGCTTCTGGTTTGTAATTCTAATTTCAATGTTCATATACCCTGTGAGTGTGATTTGTCTCAGCATGGAATATCATGCTTGTTTCAAAGAAGACTCCCTTCATATTTCTTGCAAGACTCGCAGTGTTTCCAAGAATCTGCTCAGCAGGGAATAGCACTTTATAAAGGCCCTATGTTTTGCTGCTTCATTTGACAATTTCTGTGTTTACACAATGAGTGGCATGCAGATGGAGAATATAAATATTCCATGAACTTGGGTTGAGTTTTCTATTCTTTTCTTGTTTTATAAGTAAAAACTCAAATGACATTCAAATGCCTCTAAAATATTAGTTAACAGAGATGTGTTTATCTCCAGTTGATGCAGGCACAAAATTGTTTAAACATAAAACAAATGAGAAAATTCCAGTGAAGATATCATAGCATAAAAGCATCCATTGGTGATAATTTATAATATGTTTTAATATAAACTCGACTAATGTTTCAAAATAAAAAAAGTTAAGGTACACAAGAGTCAGTGAGAATGCCAAAAGAAATGATTTAAAGAGTCATAAACAGACATTATTTTATAAAGACAGATGTTACAGTTTTATAAATACTGTCATGATTGGTGTCATAATCAAGGACTCTAGAATCCTAATATGGTGCAGTTCCACTACTTCTGGGCTAATTACTTGAGTAAGATACTTGAAACCTTTATTCTTCACAATGCCTCATTCTAAACAGATCTTTTGGAGACATATATGTGTGTATATGAGCCCAGTCTTTTCACCAGCCTAATGATTATAATTGTTTTAAAGATTTCATCAGTTTTTGGCTAGAATTAAATTAGATGACACAAACATAAGTGCACTGAAGTGAATAAATATAATTAGGTGGATGGATAGACGATAGATAGATATAGCATTATTGCTGTTGTTATTACTATGGCCTTCTAAAGGTTTATTCTTCAAAGTTTTCAAGTTACTGGTGCTTGGAATAAGTAAAAAATGACTACTCAAATCTTTCAACCAAACACAGTGTAAGTAGTGTACATCTAGCAGATTACCCAAAGTCTTCCTGTCTCCCTTTTTGAAGGAGACCTGTCCTTTCTCTTAATCTGTAATACATAAGACTTACTGGCAACACCTCAGGGCACAGTTCAATAGCTGAGGTAGGGGCACTTGCTTAATCAAAAACCCTTTTCCTGGAACTGAAATTTATAAAGTAAATGAGGGAGAGAAAGAGAGAGATGGGATTCTGTTTCCCAGAGGTATTTAGATGCCATGCTTCTCACCATGTGGGCCTATTAGTTCAAAAGAAGCCGATTAGCAGAGACAGATAATGAAACAACAGAAGAGGTGGACAAAGAAATTCAAGGAGCCCTGTATCTGTGTATTTGTTCCCAGAACCTATTCACTCACAATGTCCCACCTCAGTTCCCTTGTCTTCCTTGACACACTATTGAATCTTTGATTATAAGTTGCATTCTGTTTTTAAGGTAGGTAAAATGAATTTTTCAACTTCTAACCAAGAATCCTAATGTAGAAAATTAATAGTCACAATTGGTTCCCTCTGTTTGTTAGGGCTCCAGCAATAACATACTACACACTGGGTGGCCTAAGTAACAGAAATTTCTTGCATTTTCTACACTAACCAGACTGCTACATCAAGGTCAAAGTCTTGACTGCTTGACTGGGAAAGAATATCAAAAAAATCTCTGGATGGGGTTGTCTGAAATCAGTACCCTTTACAATCTTGAAATTCTCGATCCTCCTGAGATCTATAGGTCTGCAAAAGAAGCCCCCCTTTTTTTTCCTGTTAAAAGCTACTTCCCCCTCTTGCTTATACAGGTTGCAGAAGCTTCTGCCATGCAATGCGTACAGGATCTATTTTCACCATCCTCCCCTGCCACCAGATCAATAATTAACATCAGGTAACAACATATAAATGGAATTTTGGAGTTATTAGAAAATAGCATTACAGAAGCAAGACAGAGTGACGTCCAACTGTAATATTTCTCAATCCTTACAAATAAAAGGTTTAAACGTGATAATACAAGGATTTATCATCAGGACTGATGGTAATGTCCTGAATAACAAGTAATGACCTCTTGCCCAGTTGTCAAACCTGAGTCAGTTATTAGAACTACATCGAAGGGAAGGTACGACCTTCTAACACCACAGGAATTATTTACAGTAAATATTTCAATGTTCATTCATCAGAGACTTATGGCTATTTACTATGGTACCTGTAATGTAAGAAAAGGTATACACCTAACCATTTTCAGAATATTTGGCACAGAATCTGAGATGTCATGGATATCCAGGCTCATATTACCATAGACCTTCTTTTATAGTGAAGACATGTAAGATCAAGTAATAAATGGAATCCTGCCTTATATCTGGCTTACAGGAAAGTCTGTTGGTCTACTCACACCATTTTTCTAGTTCCTAAATAGATGATTGGAATAGATACATTTGTTAGTTGATAGAAACCACACATTTCTTAGTTCCTTGGTCCATAGGGTAAGAGTTATCACAGCATTAAAAGCCAAGTGGAAACTTCTAAGACACTCTTCCTACCCCAATCTCCACACACATACATGTAGCCTGAAGAAAATTAGTAAATACAATACAATGTCACCTCCCTGGTAGAAGAGCATAGATGAATACCTCCTTTAAAAACCTGAATCAGGAGTAGTTGCACTTATCTCATCCAAATTTATTTAATAGTCTTGTACCTGCAAAAACTAGGTATGAGGATTACAGTAGGTTAATTCAGATAATTAGCAGCCCAATTTTAGCTATAGTGTCAGAGACGAGAAGATTTACTCAGAGTTGATTAACACAGCCTCCAATATAATGCTCGTACCTTTGAACTGCCAAATGCACTTTTCCAATCCTAATAAAAAAAGAAGGACCGGAAATGATTTGCATGTGTATGATAAGAGCAAAAATATATGTTTTCTGCCTTACCCTAGGGCTATATGAACTCTCTTGACTGCTATAATAATATAGTCCTAAGGAATTTGAAACATCTGAACATTATATATAATATAATTGTTTGTATGCTGAATTATCAAGTATACTTATACTTGGAGTTCCAGAAGGATAACAGAAAGAGAGAAGAGCAAAAGGAATATTAGAATAATGTGGTCTAAGAATTTTACAAATTAATAATGGCACAAAGCACAGATCCATGAAGCCTAGAAAAGAAATATTCAGAAATAAAAGGCACTAAACTATTGATATGTACACTAACAGGGATTATATTTTATAAGAAAAAAAACTAGTGTTAAAAACCATTAAGCTATTCAAAATAACTTTTGTATATATGACTTTTGTGAATTACAAAAACCATAGTTTTTGAGATTAGATCAGTTAATTTTTGGATTAAGGATGAGGAAACAGGTTAACTACAAAGGAGCAGCACAAGATCATTTTTTAGGGTAATTAAACTGTTACGTATCATGATTGTGGTGGTAGATATATGACTCTATGCTTTTGTCAAAATTGGTAAAATTATACATCACAAATATGGAATTTTATTGTTTCCAATTTAAAAGAAAATAAATTTAAAATTATAGTGTCCATTGCTTTACATTCTATTTCTAGTTTCTAAAGTATATATATACACACTTTATATATATATAAAGTATATATATACACACACACACTTTATATATATATAAAGTATATATGTATATATACACACACTTTATATATATAAAGTATATATGTATATATATACACACACTATATATATAAAGTATATATGTATATATATACACATATATATAAAGTATATATGTATATATATATACACATATATATACAGTATATATATGTGTATATATGTATATATATACACATATATATAAAGTATATATATGTGTATATATACACATATATAAAGTATACATATATAAAGTATATATATGTATATATATATACACACATATATATACACACACACACACACACACACACACACACACACACACACATATATGGGAGTATTTCTTCTTTACTCAGTCCGTGTCTTTGATTCATTGAAAATTTATATTTTTAGTAATGAAGAGTTAATGATGAATTTATCCAAGAGGTGGGGAAATATAGAGACATTTAAAGTATCTTTAGAAATTTAGTGAAAATTTCGATAGTACCAAAAGGCTTTAGCATCCAGTTGCTAATTTTATGTACCCTTTTTTAAAAAACAATGTTTATAAAGTGACAGGAGCAAGGAAGAGTTGTCATGTTCATGGATATTCACCATTTTGAAATAGTTTTCTATGTTTCAGGACATTCCTATGTTATGTATTTCTTTTCCTCCATAAAGAAATAAAAATAATCCAGTTGTGGGCCATTCTTTCATCTAAGATACATGTGGATTTTCTAGGCTCTAATCTCATTAAACACATCTATGAAACAATAAGAACTGGAAGTTAAGTAGACAAAATTTGGACAAATCTTCCAGGTTTTTTCTGGCAGAGTAGTGGAAATGACAATGATACAAAATCCACAATAGTTACAAGGTTGATACTTTTTATAAAATTATGTTCTACAGTTTAATATTACTTTAAGAAATTAAAATTATAGATTATAAAATTAAAACATGAAAAAAATCAATCTTAGGGATGGTAAAATGTGTTAAGAAAAATTACCTCTTGGCTCAGCTCTTTTGCCATTTTAATGAACTCACTACATATTTACACTAAAGTAATATTTTTAATACACTGTTTCCCTATATAAGACTGCTGAAGTATCAGATAACAGAGTTTAGAGTCATATTGCTATTTAATAGATCATCAAGAAACCAAAAGCATTAAATTTAAATAATATATAGATTTTATTTACGTTATATATATTTAAGTTTAAAAAGCCAAAATATAATTTATTTATGGTAGTAATCTTTACCCCCTCTCTCTTTCTTTCTTTCCTTCTGTCTTTCACCTCTGTTTCTGACAGTTTATCTATATTTCACTGTCAGAGAAATAATGCCTGAAAATATCTCTAGAGATTAAATAAAATAATTATTCACTAGAACATTGTTTTGTTTCATTTTTCAATGACTGACCATGGAAATTTGAGATCATAGAGCAACCTGTTATGTATGGATGGCAAAGATAATAAAATAGAACATTTAGTAGGGTTCCCTAAAATCGTGAGGTATATTTACTTGAAGGTGGTATGTGTTTAAATACAAAAAATATTCTAACTTCATAAATAGAGAAATTGTTCTGCCACAGCTGAACAGATATATTTTTCTTCCACTTTTTAGGTAAAATTCTCATGGGGAATAAAGTAGAAGGGATTTGATTTCTAGGTCAGATTCTTCTGTTCAGTAGCTTTTGTGATTTACCCTAATGTGGTCTCCCCACTTAGTAGAGAATCTGGAGATGAGACAATACAGAAGGCAGCAAAGAAATTCAAAGCAACCTGGCTATCAGCAGGGAGTGTTTCTTTCTCTCTGGGAGCAGTCGGAATTACTTGAAATGCTACTGAGCAAATGCTGTGATGTACTCTAATTCCTGTCTTCTCCACCCACTACAGATCCCTCTTCTTTTTGGTTGAATAATTAACAACAACAAGAGTATCTTTTTTAAAAAAGTGAGTATTTTTTCAGTTTTAGAGGGTATATTTACCCAAGAAAGCTTCTTTTGGCCTAACATGGGTTTGAGGTGATGTGTTGTTAAAAAAGGGAGGTGTTGCCTCTTCCAGTTATTAAAATCCCTTGTTCAATCTTGATAGTCTAAGAATTTAGGTTTACAGAGTACTAATAGAAGCCCGGGTTTCTATCATAGACAACTAACTTAACCACACTAATCAAATCCAAGAATGGTGCTAAATATTACAAAACTTCCATACGTAACCATTCAATCTGAACTCTAACAGTAAGTATAAAAACATAAATATTTGATATTTTGAATTGTGTCATATATGCTGGAAATATTTACACAGAGATCCAGGATGTGCACCAAGTAAATCTGAGCAGCTTACATGTCCCATTTCTTCTCAATTCCTATAGGAGGTAAAAGAGAATGGGGTAGCTTGAATTGTTTTCTTACTACTTAGGTTAGACAAAGAAGATTCTCTTTAGTGACAAACTTCTTTCTTAATCTCTTTGAATTTGGTCTTTTGGAAGACTAGAGAAAATATACTATTAAAAATATTACTAACAACAAACTCATCAAAACAATCTTGAAAACACCAAGGGAATGCAGAAGCTCAAACTTACCCCCTTTGAAAAGGTGAGCATGTATGACATAGTTCTATCAATCTTTGTTTTATAAGAATATTGTCAACTTATTGATTTCAGTTATCTGATATGTATGTTCTCAAAAAAAGTATTAATATTACTTTCTAATATAGAAGGCACTGGAGTTCTTCACTGGTACAAATTAAACTTTAAAATAAAAGTCAATAAATACACAATAACAGGTTTGTACTTTCAAACTTTGAGACTTTAGTGTAATTGAAAACATGGTTATTGCTGATAAATACCTGCAAATATCCCAATTCAAAGACAACAAGTTATTTTGCTAAAAAATAGAGTTTGAAGGATCAATTTGCAGGAAATATTAAACAGAGGGATGTTTCTTTGATTTCCAAACAACTCATTTATGCTAGATGAGCTTCTTGCATCATTTAATGGCACAAGTGTACTTCTACATTGTTTGCAATAGCTATCTGATTTATCACTTCATTGAAATTTTATTAAAAGGTTCAGTTTGATGTATTTTATCTTTCTACACCCACATAAAAAGGCCTTAGAAGTTCAAATAATTCAGCACTGGGGAAAATAATAAGACAAAATTGCATTGGATTTGGAGTTCTTTCTAGAGATAAAAAAAAAAAATGACTAATAGCCAGTTAGCAAATGTCAACTGAAAATAAAATCCTAAAGCAGAAACTAACCAATAAATGTTTCTGCAGTTGTTTTGACAAGTGCATAAAAATGACAAGAAATACTGTAGAATCTATACAATGACAATGAAAATTATTTGGAACATTTGTGTCTACATATACATGCATGCATGCTTAAAATGTTGAAACATAACACAATTTTTGATATATACATCCTAGAATATGCTAACCCTCTAATTATTGAGGATTTTCAGGTTACATTAGCAGCAAAATCTACCACTTTAAAATATTGTCTCTTAGGCACTGTTAAAATATATCAGTATATTTTGTTGCAGTGGAAACAGAAAACCTCATTTAAGCATTTTTCTTCTATATCCAAGTGTGGATATTTATTTCTAGAGAAAAACTGAAGATCATGGTTCCTGCTTTTTTTTTTTTTTTAATATCCAGTTGTACAGAGAACATGGGTGATAATTTGGCATCTCAATGATGAGTCTATAAAGAGGCTGCAGAGAAAAACAAAATAAGAAAGCCATCACAATTTTGTCATTAAAGAAAAATATAATAACTTACATATTATTTCAATAAGATACAAGAATAAATTTTACAAGTTTTAGTTCATTGTAAGGATGATAATATAAGAATTAAGTTTCTTCATCAGACACAGGCCAGCAGCTGTGGGATGGGTGGTTAAATAAGAGCTTTGTCTTATAGATTACATGTCCAGGTTACCTTTCAGACTTTACTATGGCAAAAAACTGAAAGAAGACAGAAACATGTTTAAAGTTTATGGAAAATATCTGGAGAATTAAGATCTCCCCTTCGCTTTCTCTCTTTCTTTCTCTATTTCTCTTGCATGCTCTGTTTTCAATCATTATTATTATTATAATACTTTAAGTTCTGGGATACATGTGCAGAATGTGCAGCTTTGTTACATAGATATAAATGTGCCATAGTCACTTGCCGCACGCACCCATAAACCAATCATGTAGGCTTTTAGCCCTGCATGCATTAGGTATTTGTCCTAATGCTCTCCCTCCCCTTGCACTTCACCCCCTGACAGGCCCCGGTGTGTGATGTTCCCCTCCCTGCGTCCATGTGTTCTCATTGTTCAGAATAAAATATCTAGAAATACAACTTACAAGGGACGTAAAGGACGTCTTCAAGGAGAACTACAAACCACTGCTCACAGAAATAAGAGAGGACGCAAACAAATAGAAAAACATTCCATGCTCATGGATAGGAAGAATCAATATCATGAAAATGGCCATACTGGCCCAAGTAATTTATGGATTCACTGCTATTCCCATCAAACTACCACTGACTTTCCTCACAGAATTAGAATAAACTACTTTAAATTTCATATGGAAACAAAAAAGAGCCCATATAGTAAAGACAATCCTAAGCAAAAAGAACAAAGCTGGAGGCATCACACCACCTGACTTCAAACTATACTACAAGGCTACAGTAACCAAAACAGCATGATACTGGTATCAAAACAGGTATATAGCCCAATGGAACAGAACAGAGGCCTCAGAAATAACACCACACATCTACAACCATCTGATCTTTGACAAACCTGACAAAAATCAAGCAATGTAGAAAAGATTCCCTATTTAATAAATGGTGCTGCAAAAACTGGCTAGTCATAAGCAGAAAACTGAAACTGGACCCCTTCCTTACACCTTATACAAAAATTAACTCAAGATGGATTAAAGACTTAAATGTAAGACCTAAAACCATAAAAACCCTGGAAGAAAACCTAGGCAATATCATTCAGGACATAAGCATGGGTAAAGACTTCATGACTCAAGCACCAAAAGCAATGGCAACAAAAGCCAAAATTGACAAATGGGATCTAATTAAACTAAAGAGCTTCTGCATAGCAAAATAAACTACCATCATAGTGAACAGGTAACCTACAGAATAGAAGAAAATTTCTGCAATCTATCCATCTGGCAAAGGTCTAACATTCAGAATCTACAAGGAACTTAAACAAATTTACAATAAAAATCAAACAACCCCATCAAAAAGTGGGTGAAGGATATGAACAGACACTTCTTAAAAGATTTCTGCTTTTCAAGAGGTTACAGTTTCTTAAAGGTGATAAAGTCATGATCACTTATGATTATTTTTAATGCAAAGATGTTTATGCGGGTACTGAATTCAAAGGAAGCATATAACTCTCACAGAATGAGGAAGTGGGCTAGAGAGTAGGTAGCCAGAGAAAGGTCTTTAATTTTATGTTCTGATTAGGAATTTAATATGGAATCTCCATATAAACATTTAAACATTCCAGAAGTGTATAAAGAAAGAAATCTTATATAATCATATGAATCAGATATACAACAAAATATTTGTAATGGCTGCTTACTCTATCCATATCTATATGTTTACTTATCTATCTATAATTCCACCCACATTTCTTCATACTCCCTTATCTACTTTTCTATAAAAACATCAAGTAGGAATCACACTGTTTATATATTTACACACTGTGTTCACCTCACAATATTATTGTGAATATTTATTTATCATTTAATGTACCTGAAAGCATAATTTTAATGTCAGCGTGTTCAATCTTATTTATGCAGTTCATAAATTTTTCCATGTTGAATATTAAATTACATATCTATATTATGAATAAGTTTCTTGTAACAACCTTCTTGCCTATAACTCTAATTATCAATGAAAAATAAATTACCAGAAATAGAATTGTTCTTGAAATGCCTTGCCTAATCACACTATTGAAAATTTAAACGACTTTCTTCCTCTGTCTGCAGTATATGTATACACAAAAGAATATTTTTTTTAAAAAACATATGCAGTACTATACATCTCATTAACCATGGCCTTTTCACATTTATATGTCTGTTGTTTAGCAGAGTGCCTGGAACATAGTAAAAGTTTAACAAATGTTTGTTTTATTAGGTGGTTTCTTTAACTTAAACCTCTATTTTGGAGATGATATAGCTAAGTGGTATTTATTCTAATAATTTTATCGAAAATTCTTCCATTTAACAATATTCTTATAAATTGGTTATAAAAACTGACTAATTTTTATTTATCAATAAGTCATTCTGCCTTATTTCTTGAGGAATGTAAAACCTAATATTATGCTAACTCATAATTTGGATTGAGCTGATTTTGACAGCTGTCTAAAATGTTACAGTTCAATTTCATTGACTACATGACATTGAGATGTTCATGAGGATACATGTTTTTGAAGCTGCTCGAAAAAATATATACATGTCTATATTAGAGGTGTAAAATCTGGTTAAGTATGTGTGTATCTATATATACACACTTAGAAATATACATGTAATGCATTTTTTTCAGGACATTTCACATTTTAAAGATCTGACTTACTGTCTTCTCATAAAATAATCAGATCTCTCTAATAGTGTGACAGGCCTCTTGCCTGAGGAAAAGTATTCAGAGCTGAGTTGTAGTTGCTCTTTATAGGAAATACCCTCTGTGTTCAGTATTATTCATTTTATTTACATAGTTGAACCATGTATACTTTAAAATTAGAGTTTCCTAAACTATATAATGTTAAAACAACTACTGTTGCAGTTTAAATTTATTTTCTTTTTAAAGCAAAATCAAGAAGATTGCTTTTTTTTTTTTTTTTTTTTTTTTTTATTCTTGCTCTGTCGCCAGGCTGGAGTGCAGTGGCACGATCTCGGCTCACTGTACCCTCTGCCTCCTAGGTTCAAGTGATTCTCTTGCCTCAGCCTCCTGAGTAACTGGGACTACAGGTGTGCGCCACCATGCTCAGCTAATTTTTGTATTTTTAGGAGAGACGGGGTTTCACCATTTGGCCAAAATGTTTTCCATCTCTTGACCTTGTGATCTGCCCCGCTCAGCCTCCCAAAGTGCTGGGATTACATGCGTGAGCCACCGGCCTCTTGATTGGTTCTTTTATTGTCTCTGAGTCACAAAGATTTGCCTTCTAAATTAAAAAAAAAAACTTTTGACTTGATGCTTTAATGTGCATTCTCTGTAGTTTATATTCCTATCTTCCTTATTTCATGTTATTTCAGTAATATCCAGAGCCAATGTGACATTATTCAATTAAAGTACATTTGAGCACTAGTAAAAATAGTTATTATAATTATTGTCTCTAATACTGTAATGCAATATTTATAGTTCTATCTTTAATATCACTAAATCTTCACTTTGTCATGAATCCCTCACCTATGATTAAAAGATGTCAGTTGTGTTAACTCAGTGTAAGATACTTTAGTTCTGTGAAGCTGAGGATAATACAAATTTGAGATTACTTCCCTTTCTTTGGTGATGAAATGGAATATTTCAAGTGTGTTTTAGCTGGTGTTTTGACAGGACTTCTGGATTAGTGAGGCGAAGGGTTGGACAATTTTGTATCTCAGAACAGAATTATCAAACCAGACCAAGTTGTCAAAAACAACCATTTCAGAACTCCAGAAACTGGCCGGATATTGGCCGGGTGCAGTGGCTCAGGCCTGTAATCCCAGTACTTTCGGAGGCCGAGGGTGGCGGATCACCTGAGGTTAGTAGTTCGAGACGTGCCTGGCCAACACGGTGAAACCCTGTCTCTACTAAAAATACAAAAATTAGGCTGGCATGGTGGTGGGCACCTGTAATCCCAGCTGCTCAGGAGGGCTGAGGCAGGAGAATCGCTTGAACCCAGGAGGTGGAGGCTGCAGTGAGAAGAGATCATGCCACTGCACTCCAGTCTGGGCGACAAAATGAAACTCCATTTCAAAAAAAAAAAAAAAGGAAAAAAGAAAAGAATTCTGGAAATTGACTAAAAGAACACAACAAACTAAAAAGCATTTATTCAAGAAAAACTACTATACCTTGGGTAAGAACCATGGGAGTCATAGCATTCTTAGCAGGACCTTTCCTTACTCTCCTACACCTCACTCTGTGTGTTTAGAATTCCTGTCAGGGAAGGACAAGCTATGAAAACTGGCATCTCTGCTGCTGAGGTGTGCTTGCTTGATTTGTAGTGAAGAATGAAAATAATCTCATGGCTGAGGAATTGCCTGAAAATGTAATAATATCAGTGGCAAACAAAAGGGGAAAGGGCCATCACAGTAATTCTCCTATTGCAGTCCTGGTTGGGGAAAGTAACAACCAGGCAGACTGCGCTGAAGCTTAACAGGGAAATCTGGGAAATGAAAAAGTAAAAAGGAGCGTCTACGAGATGCTATATATCGCTGGCAGTCTGGAATGCTGCATGAACAAATAAGGCTACATAGGAGAGATTTGGGAGTGGTCTTGCAATCTAAACTTCCTCAGCTAAACTTGAAGCCGTGCACATACGCAGAGGGGATAGAGAGGGCCTGAAGGAGAGCAGAAATCAAATTAGATATGTAAACTTCCTAATTTTTTATTGTAGTTCCATCCTAAACAAGATTTATCAGCAGAGAATGGAAACTTTACTTGTTCATGGTATTTAAAGTCAACCACAAATCATGAACCGACCACTAATTTGTACTGACACTGAAGTGACCCGCAGGAAAACAAACTTAAAGTTAAAACAAGAATAATAAAAAATAATCAGTGACATTGGCATTTTTACTCTGTGAGAAAGGCACAATTCACAAATGGAATCCAGGCAAATTACTAAACAAAGAAACAAGTAAAGCAGCAATGAACACAACCCCCTTAGAGAAAAATCAGAATCCAGAGTGGCTGCACTATATAATAATAATAAACTACTAACTAACATAAGATGGTATTTGTAATTACTTCACCAACAGAAAATTATGGGGTTTTTTTTGAGAACATACGAAATATTCTCCAGGATAGACTGATAAGCAGTAAGACTGATGTAAAAACACTTAATAAGATTAAAAATCAAGCAAAGCATGTAATCAGACAGAAAGGTAGTTTATTAGATAAAGCATTTGACAAAATTTAGTTCACTTTTGTGTTTTTTTTAATGCCCAACATACCAGGATTACAAGGAAACTTTTTCATTATAATAATGAACATATATGAGAAGCCTACAGGTAATATCATATGCAATGATAAAATTCTGAAAGCTTTTATGCTAGGAAAAGGAAGAAGATAAGGATGCCTGCTTTCACCAGTTCAGTAACACAATATGGAAAGTTTCTAACACGGTATTGAAAGTTATAGTCACAGAAATTCAGAAAGAAACAAAAGTAAAAGGCAATTAAATTGGAAAGAAAAAGTAAAATGATTTCTGTTCAGAGATGGCATGATGCTGTACGAAAAAAACTCAAAGGTCCACAAAAAACCAAACTGTTAGAACAAATTTAAAAATTCAACAATGTTGCATGATACAATATTAACAAAAAAGTTGTATTTCTGTATAGTAACAATAAAAATAAAAATAAGAAAAAAGTCCATTTTATATAAAAATAAAAAGAATAAAATACCTAGAAAAAACTTAAGGAGATAAAATACTTGTACATTGAAAATTACAAAATGTTGGTGAAAGTAACTAAAGAAGACACAAGCTCAAAGACATTTGTGCTCATAGATGGAAAGACTTAATATTGTGAGCATGACCAAATGCATTCTACAGATTCAATGCAATTTCTATCAAATCCCAAGGATAATGTTTGCAGAAATAGAAACATTCTTCCTAAAGTTCATTTGGATTCTTAAGGGACCCAGGTAACCTTAACAATACTGAAAATAAATAACAAAGTTGGAGTACTCTCACTTCATGATTTCAATACTTACTACAAAGTTGTTATAGTAATCAAAACAGTGAATTACTGGCATAAAGAAAAACATATAGACCAATGAAGCTGAATAGAGAGCCCAGAAATAAAACCTCACATATATGGTCAAAGGGTTTTCAACAAAAGTGACAAGAACATTCAATAAGGAAAATAGCAATCTTCTCAGAAATGGAAAATGATATAACCACATGCAAAATAAGAAATATGAGTCTTTTCCTTATATACAGAAAACTCAAAATATTTTAAAGTTTAAGCATAAAAGTTAAAAGTATAAAAATCTTTAAAAATAGGGAAAATTATTCATGTCATTCGATTTGGCAATAATTACTTCTTGAAAGAATATCAAAAGCACAGGTAATATAAGAAAAATTAGATATATTGGACTTGATCAACATTTTTTAAAGGATACTAAAAACAGAGTGAAAAGGCAACACATGGAATGAGAGAACATATTTGCTAATCGTATATCTTATAAAGAGTTAATATTTAGAATATATAAAAAAAGCTCCTATAGGTTATCAGCAACACAAAAACCCAAACAACCTATTTTTCAAAAGGGCAAACAATTTTAGTGATCAGTTCTCCAAAACCATAGAGTATATATATGTGGACATAAACATGGAAACAGTAGACACTGCAGACTACTAGATGAGAGAAGGAGGAAGTGGGGCATGGATTGGAAAACTACCTATTGGGTACTATTCTCATTACCTGAGAATAATCCACTACCTCCATGCCATAAACCTCAGCATCACACAATATACCCATGAAAAAAAACCTGCACATGTATCCCCTGAATTTAAAATAAAAGTTGAAATTAAAACCAATCAACAAACCAAAAAAACAAACCAAAAAACCCAGAGAAAATTCCAAAAGCATATTAACCCTTTAAGATCTCAGGAAAATCAGTAATTGCAAAATTAAATTATTTAGAATTCAGTTTTGCACACAAATATAAAATCCACAAAGACTGCTAATCTTTTAGTGCAAATATTGAACATTTTCTCTCAACAAATGTTCTTACCAGGAAAAAACACAGAAAAATACATAAATGTTCAATAAGCACATGAAAAGATATTCAGTGTTATTAATCATTAAGGAAATGCAAATCAAAGCAAAATGAGATACCACTTCACAAGTGGATTGCTATTATAAGAAGAAAAACAAATGGAAAACAAATGTTGGCACTAATGTGAAGAATTTAGCAGCCTTGTGCATTGCTGGTAGGACAGTAAAATTAGGCAGCCACTGTAGAAAGTGTATGTTTCCTCGAATAATTTGTTTGCTCAAATAATTATAGAATTAGCATATGAGCCAGCAATTCAACTTCTGTGCACATACCTAAAAGTAATGAAAGCGAACACCTGAATAGATATTTGTATAAAATGTTTATAGCAGCATTATTCATAATAGCTACAAGGTGGAATCAACCTAAGTGGTCATGACAAGATGAATGGATAAATGCATGTTGTGTTGTGTGTGTATATGTACCCCCTGAATTTAAAATAAAAGTTGAAATTAAAACCAATCAACCAACCAACAAAACAAAGCCAAAAACCCAGAGAAAATTCCAAAAGCACATTAACCCTTTAGGATCTCAGGAAAATCAGTAATTGCAAAATTAAATTCTTTAGAATTCAGTTTTGCACACAAATATAAAATATTGTATACATACACACATACACACACACAGGAATATAATCCAGACTTTAAAAGGAATAAACTTCTAATACATGTTTTAACATGGATGAACCTTGAAAACATTATGCTAAGTGAAATTAGCCACAAAGAAAGAGCAAATATTGCATAATTTTACTTATCTGAGGTACATAGAAAAGGCAAATACATAGAGATAGAAAGTAGAATAGTGTTTACCAGATACTGGGAAGAGAGAGGGATGAAGATTTACTGTTTTTTGGGTGTAAATTTTCAGTTCGAAATGATAAAAATGTTCTAGAGATGGATGGTGCTAACAGCATATTCAAAAATGTTGTGAATATACATAATGCCCTGAATTGTAAATTTAAAAATGGTTACAATAGTAAATTTTACATTATGACTATTTTACCACAATTAAACAAAGTTAAAAATACTCTAGGAAAAAAATTATTCATTCCAGTGTATTTTAAACACATACTTTTCTAGTGCTCCTTCCAATTCAAGACCTAATTTCCGAGTGATGGCCATGTGTGGTAGGTTGAGGTTATACTGGAGCCCTACGGAGCCCTTCAAGGGCACCTTCCTATAATAGTCTCTTACTTGAGCCTATCAAAGGGCATGCAAGCAGGTCCTCACATTTAAATTATGCTATTATCTTTAAATAATGTTGCATATAATTTAATTTAAAATGAGTAAAGAATGTGTACGTCACACAACTTTTGCTTAAGTTCTTTTAAGCGAATGAAAAGAACTTTATTTTCATGAAGGTGCCTAAGATGACAGGAGCCCTTTCTCTTAAACATTGTAAATATTATAGCTTGTGAATAACACAATTATTTTGCATTGTGATTTTCTGTGTCAAATCTTTTATTTTGTTAGTGACAAACATTCGAAGTATATCACTATTTTTCAACCGTAAAAAATATTGCTGGACTAATTCCAGCAATATTTCTTCAATTAGAGTTCAAAGTCTGCAAATAATCTTCATTAGCTCTAGTCTTTGGCCACTGGGATTTTGACTCCATCTGCTGAGTCATCTTTCCTTTTCCTTTTCCTTTTTGTAGCATTACAGCTGAGTGGTTTTATCAGTTTGCTTCCTGCCTGTAGAATTTAGGGTATCTAGTAGCCTTCCTTCGTTTGGTACTCTCTCTGTCCCTTTCAGTCTACACTGACAGTATGTCTACTTCAATAAATTTCTCAAGAATTTTGGGGTATTGTATTAATTACATTGAATTTTATTTTATTAGACATAAGCCATATCTACATGTTTGTCTGATATAATTTATATTATATTTTTGGCTTCTGTTCAGTTGGCAGAGGGACAACACCTTTTACCTTCTCCTAGAGGTTCCCTGATTTCATTGAGAAGAACTCTGAAAAATATCCTTAATCTCTTAAAACAGAGTGTGCACTCTAACCTTTTGGTCTTTCTGAGATCTCAGCAAAAGATTATCATAGTCACACACTCAGCCTTTTCTCTATAACAAACTTTCGGCAGCAACTTTTGACTTTTGGCCCTTTGCCATCAGAAGAGTCTGAGATTTATAAAATATTATATCCTGGCTTATTTCTGCTCAAAAGTCCTCTCGATTTTCTCTCCTCTGTTGCTTTATACCATGAGCAGTAAGAAGAAACCAGCTTTGTTCAGAAATCTTTTTAGCTATATACCCAGGTTCATCACTCACAAGTTTAGCTTTCCAAATAACTGGAGAACACAATGTTACTAAGATTCTGCCACTATAAAACAAAATGATTCCTTCCTTCAGTTTCTAATAATATGTTTCTTACTTCCTTCTGAGCCATCATTGGCAATGTTCTTAATGTCCAGATTTGTGGTAATATTCTGTTCATTGTGATTTAAGCTTTCTGTTAGGCAATTTATGATTTCTTCATAATGCTCCTTTACTTTCTTCTGAGCCCTCACCAGCATGGTCTTTGATGTCTACTTTTCTACTAATAGTCTGTTTGAGGAAATCTGTGATTTTTCTAGTAGTCTCCCCAAACTTTTTTTTCAAATTTTCTTCCAGCATCCACCTACTTCCTGACTACAAAGCCATTTCCACATTTTTAGATATTCTTAAGCATAGTACCCAACTCTTGGTAACAAACTCTGTATTAGTCTTCTATTGCTGCAAATTTGCAAAACAAATTACCATATACTTAGAAGCTTAAAACCATGTATTATCTTACAGTTTTGCAGATTAGCAATCGAGGTGTTCTCCACAAGATTCTCTTCTTAGTGTCCCACAGGCTGACATTAATAAGATATGGCCAAACTGGATTCTTACTTAGAGATTCTGGATAAATATTTGCTAACAAGCTCATTCAGCTAGTTGTGAGAATTTAGTTCCTTGCTGTGGTAGGAATGCAGACTCCTTTTTCTTGCTGGCTGTGAACTGGAAAACACTCTCAGCTCCTGGCTACTTGCAGTTCTGGGCCATGCGCCTTCTCACAGGCTCTCTCACATGCTTTCTCATGCCATAGTCTGTAGCAGGATGTCTCATGTCAAATTTCCATCATGCTTCCTACCTCTGACTTTCTCTCTGTGACCCCAGAAAACTCTACTTTTAGTGTGTTCATGTAAATGTCTGGCCTATGTGAATAATCTCCGTATCTTAAGGTTAACTGATAAGCGAGCTTAAATAAAAGCACAAAATCCCTTTTGCCATACACATTATATAATTATGGTACTAACAACAGAGAATAAATATCATGGGGCCATCTTAGAATTCTACCTAAAACAGAGCCCAGAATAGGAAGATACAGAAATGGAAGCAGAAACAACTGATGACATGATGTCAACTTATTATCCAAAACTGCTGAAAGACTTCCATTCACTAATTTTTAAAGAGCTAGGAATCATGAGAAAAATAAATTTTAAAAAAGCAACAAATAGGAACATCATAGTAAAACTGATTTAAAAATAGTAAAAAGGTTAAAAAACAATTAAAAGCAACTAAATAAATGAGACAGTTTACTTCAATATGACAATGTTAAGGTTCCTTGCAATAGAGAAAAACAAAAAAGCCTGTCCTCACCCCAAATGAAATGGTATCTTAAAACTACTATAAGACACCTGACTACTTATATATCTATAAAATATCCTTAAAAAGTATAATTTCTCACATAAATTTTCCATGCAAAATGTGTGTAATAATAGCAATATATTAATAATTGTTTTTGCATTAATTAATTACTATATTTAATAATAGCAAGAATAATCTTAAGGGGTACTAGACAGTTATTTAATATTAAAATAGTACACTATTTAGGCTACAGTTCCCACAAGTGACTGACGGTGCATTACAGCCCAGATATTTGCCCTCACAAATATACCATCTATCCTGTCAGTTTCCGATGGAAAGGCTCTCTGTGAAGTGGGGCTTACATGGGAGCCTTGGAGACTGGTGGTAGTTTGGGGGTATAGCAGAAAGCAAGGATCTTTGCAGGTGATACTCATCTAGGGCCTTCTGATAGGGAAGCCACTGAAAAACCTGGGTAGGCTTTGTAGGATTCAAAGCAATGATGACTACCAAATACTGTAGAAATTCTCAAATAGTTTAACTATGTGTTTCCGTGTTCATGAAATAGTTTTTATATTGTGAATATAACCATAGCTGTAGCTCACATTATTGAAAACGTAGTATATTCCAGGTCCTGCTAAAGTACTTTATTTGCATTGTATTTTCTAATTGTCGAAAAAAGTATGAGGTATACACTCTCATACTGATTTTTACAGACTTTACTGCGTATCAGTGAAGTCTGAATCTGGAGCCCATACTCTTACTCGGTACACTGCATTATATAAGAACATTTATTAGATATTATTTGCAATTTTTGAAATGTCCTAAAATAGTAAAACTTAAATTACTTATGATTTATCGTTACTATGGACTCCATATTTATGTCCTCACAGAATTCATATGTTAAATTTTGGAGGTGGTACTTTGGCAGGTAATTAAGTCAGAGGATAGAGGCTTCATTAATGATACTAGTGACACTATAAGAAGAAACTGGACAGTTTACTTCCTCTCTCTGCTCTCTGCTGTGTGAGGCTCCAGAAGAAGATGGCAATCTGCAAATTAGTACCAGACACCTGATTTGCCAGCACCTTGATCTTATACTTCTCAGCCTCCAGAACTGTGAGAAATAGATGTTTGTTGTTCAAGCCATCTAGTCTATGATATCCTGTAATAGCAGTAGAAATTGACGAAGGCAATCCTTAATATGAGAAACCGTGCAGCTATTTGAATGTGGTAGACTTAAATGTATCCACATGCAAACACTTTTGACATACTGCTAAGTGTAAAACTAAAAGCAAGTTGCAGAGCAATATGTAATGGAAATAACTAGATATATGTATGAGAAGTAAATATGTAAATTCATAGCAAAATTTCTGGAAGGAGGCCGGGCACGGTGGCTCATGCCTGCAATCTCAGCACTTTGGAGGCCAAGACGGGTGCATTACCTGAGGTCGGGAGTTCGAGACCAGCCTGACCAACATGGAGAAACCCTGTCTCTACTAAAAATACAAAATTAGCCAGGCATGGTGGCGTATGCCTGTAATCCCAGCTACTTGGGAGGCTGAGGCAGGAGAATTGCTTGAACCCAGGAGGTGGAGGCTGTGGTGAGCTGAGATCGTGCCATTGCACTCCAGCCTGGGCAACATGAGCAAAACTCTGTCTCGAAACAACAACAACAACAATAACAAAAATTTCTGGAAGGATACATTGGTTACCTGAAGGAGGGTAGTAGGATGCTGAGTTTAGGGTACGGGGGTCAAGAGAATAGAGGAATGGAAAACTGAGTTATGTTACTCTAATACTTGGTTTGGCTTATTTATTTATTTATTTATTTATTTATTTATTTATTTATTCATTCATTTATTTTGAGACCGAGTCTTGCTCTGTCGCCCAGGCTGGAGTGCAGTGGCGCAATCTCGGCTCACTGCAAGCTCCGCCTCCCGGGTTCACGCCATTCTCCTCTAACAGCCTCCTGAGTAGCTGGGACTACAGGCGCCCGCCACCACGCCCGGATAATTTTTTGTATTTTTAATAGAGAAGGGGTTTCACTGTGTTAGCCAGGATGGTCTCGATTTCCTGACCTCGTGATCCACCCGCCTCAGCATCCCGAAGTGCTGGGATTACAGGCGTGAGCCACCGTGTCCGGCCATTTTTTTTTTTAAGAAAGGCTGTTTTCCTATTTAATGTTTTGATAAAAATAAAATGTAAGAAAAATTATTGATGATATTTTTGCTTATTGATAGAGAAAAGTATTTCATTGTTTTTAAATATAAGACAGTTATGCTTTACTTATGAAATAATAACATACATATTTCTGTTGCTTGTGGGACCTAGAGGATGAAGAGGATAAGTAGTTTTTTAATAGCATACCTGTAAGCTCACTTTTCTAGAGTGTGGGCAGGATTGCTTTAAAAAATTTATATTACATATTCTGATGCTATCTTTACATAATTTATACATAAGATAATAAAGTAAGGAATATGGATTAGAAGAACAAATAATTATACATGCATATATGTTTATAAACTTGTTTTATATAATTTATTTACATGCACAACAAATTTTTAGCTAAAACACAGGTGCAATTTCAAAACTCATACGATTAGATCATGCCAAGTTGTACGCAATTTCAATTGTTGACTGACCTGAGAACGTAATTTGATAAAGCAGAGAAAAAAAACACAAAAAAATTTCACAGATGATGAAAACGAAGTTTCAAAGAGGATGTGCAAGAGTGATGACATTGCTACTTTACATTTTTTGGAGGGATGCAAATTTAGTCTTTATAGAGCTTTAATAGAATAATATACATTTTTACTCTCATGAAAATTGGATATAGTTAAATTCTAGATCCAGAGTTTCACCATTCCTACAGTGAAATAAGAGAATATGCACATGGGCAAAAAAGAAATCATAAAGACAGCATTACTTAAAAAAATAGGTAGCAATGAAAAAAAGCAGATCAGGTAACATTTAATGCATTTAGTAATTTGGAAAGGCCTAAAAATGGCCTGAAAATTGTAACATAAGAGAAACAGACTGGCAATTAAAAATGCTGAAACTGACTATTGTACTTTCATATCTGTATCTTCAATTCTTCATATCAAAACTTCCTTTAAATGTGAAATTAAAGAAATTGGAAGTTTCTAATGTATAAAGAGAAGAGATAGTAAACAACTGAAAAAATTGTTTTTTTATTACACTGTAGCTACATTTATATTTGAAGTCAAACATCACGGTAAGGTGTTAAACTTGAAAAAGAATACCTTATGTTCTTTGCCAGTTTCACTCCCTGAAATTGTTTGTCATCAAAGTCCTCTATGTTGATGCTAAATTATCAACCTAAAATGCAAAGTGGAGGTGTGATGATAGTTTGATGGACATCTATATGACACCTAGACTGGTTATTTTCCCTCTTAATAAGCTTTGACATGTAAGTGTTCCTAAAGTTCAATGCCATACAATTTAATAAACAAAAATGTTAAATTTTTTATGATATCTTTATTTGAATCAAAAGCAAATGTATGTGTGACATTTCTATGTGTATTATGCTTTTATATTTATACAAAATATACATAGTGATATATTAACTAAGCTATTTTATACTGAAATAGAATTGCATTATATGGATTTCAAAAAGATGTAAATGACAAATATATATGAATATTAATTTCCCATTCTTTTATGAATATAATAGCATGTAATGTGCAAATTGTAGCAAACTGATTCATTCATTTCACAATCATTTATTAACATCTACCTTAAGACCTTCAGTGGGCAGATTACCTGTTATTTTAAGTAGATTACCCTGCATCATTCTTTAACTTTAAACCCCTTAAAAGGAACACCTAATGAATTTGTATGCATGTAGTAAAATTTTCATAACTCTTTCACAGAATTTTGTTTAGAAAAAGGCCAGTGATTACCAAGATGAACATATGATTTTATTTGTGAGAAAGTCAAGAATCAGAAAGTTTAAACAATTTGGTCAAAGGTTTGTTAGTTTTAGAACTTTAGAATTACCCTCCTCCTATCCTACTCCTCATATCCTACTACACAACTGTTTCTCAAACTGGGATCTGTGGACACGTAGTCTTGCAGACATACTCAGGGAATTATCCTATATTCTACTGAATCTTTTAGTCTTCATCACCCTGACTTTGTTGCATTCTAAGTGATCCATGTTTCAATAAATGGCAGTAAATGGTAATTCAAATTTCAAATTTGCTAGTTGCTCAGGCTAAAAATGGCAGTGTTATCCTTTACTCTCATCATTATTTAATACCACGCAAGCTGTTCATTGGAAAATCCTCTGGTCTATATGAGGAACCAGCAAATGTTTTCTCTAAAGGGGAATATTCTAAGTGTTATAGTCTTTGTATGCAATATAACCATTGCTATAACCACTCAACTCTACTATTACAATGTGAAAGCAGCACTAGACAATATGTAAAAGAATGGGTATAGCTGTGTTCCAATGAAATCTTATTTACAAAAATTTAGACAAAGTTATGGTTTCAACCAAGAGCTATAGTTTGCTAACTCTTTTAATGGCTTCTTAAATGTATCCTGAATGTGAAAACCTCTTCTTAACATACACATGGTTAACTCCCTCATATTTCAAAACAAACACTATGCTACTATCCCATCTGGTCTCTCTGAACCCAATACACCGGTGTAAGCCCATCAGAACATTTTTAAATGAGATTGGCTTGGATCTGTGTTCTCACCCAAATCTCATGTCAAATTGTAATTCCCAATGTTAGAGTTGGGGCCTGGAGAGAGTTGATTAGATCATGGGGACAATTTCTTATGACTGCTTTAGCACCATTCTCTTGGTGCTGTTCTTGTGATAGTGAGTGAATTCTCATGACATCTGGTTGTGTAGAAGTATGTAGCATGTCACCCCATCTTGCTGCTGCTCTTCCATGTGAGATGGCTCACTGCCCCTTTGCCTTCTGCCATGACTGTAAATTTCCTGAGGCCTCCCAGCCATGCATTCTGTACAGCATGTGGAACCATGAGCCAACTGAACCTCTTTCTTTTCTTTCTAAATAACTCTGTCTCAGGACCTTTCTTTCCTTCCTCCCTTCCTTCCTTCCCTTTCTTTCTTTTCTTTTTCCTTCCTTCCTTCCTTCCTTCCTTCCTTCCTTCCTTCCTTCCTTCCTTCCTTCCTTTTCTCTCCTTTCTTTTTTTTTTGAAACAGAGCTCGATCTTGTTGCCCAGGCTGGAGTGCAATGGTGCGATCTTGGCTCACCACAACCTCTGCCTCTCAGGTTGGAGCGATTCTCCTGCCTCAGCCTCCCGAGTAGCTGGGATTACAGGCATGCGCCACCACACTTGGCTAACTTTTTGTATTTTTAGTAGAGACCATGTTGGTCAGACTGGTCTTGAATTCCCAACCTCAGGTGATCCGCCTGCCTGGGCCTCCCAAAATGCTGGGATTATAGGCGTGAGCCACCACACCCGAGCAGTCTCAGGTGTTTCTTTATAACAATATGGGAATGGCCTAACGCATCATGTAATGACATTTTAATACAATTTTCTGAATAGGTATTACAGAATATTCTCATGATTCTCAAATCAAAAAGTAGAAAAAGGCATATGCAGTGAAATATTGATACCTATATAAGATACTTTATCTTGCAAGCTGATAACCACTGCTATTATTTTACTTCTTATGTTTCCCTCTAAAAGTCTAGATAAATAGTTCAGTGGATATTAGTTTTTTTGGCAGATTATGGCATAAAATATTGAATAATCTGCTCTTTGCCTTTTCATTTATTAATGTAGCTTATATACTTTCCATTTTGTTACATAAATAGAAAATTCACCATTTTATTATGTTGTGTTATATTTTATTTCATTGACATTTAGCTAACTAGTTTCATACTGATGGGCATTTAGGATATTTTTCATATTTTGCTATTAATGTTAATACTACACTAAATATCATTATATTTATTTATACATGGGCACAATACATGAGCAATTATAACTGTTGACACTAGCATATCTCACAATGCACCCTGGCGTTTCCACCCTTCTTCACCCTTTACCCTGACTTTTTCATTCAACATCCATAGATACAGATGTGGATATAGATATACATAGACACAAACGCAACACAAACATACAGATATAAAAACATACACATATCTTCCTACATTAGAAGGTAAGCTCTATGAAAGTATGGGCATTGCATAAATTATCCTCTGTAACCAGTAGGACATTGTATAAATTATCCTCTGTAACCAGTGCTTGGTATATAGTAGGCCATTATTAAATAATTTTTAAATACCTTTATTTAAAATTTAAATATTTCACAAACATTTTTTCTTAAAACAAATAAATTTTAAATACCTTTAAAAATAGAAGCTGAAAATTGGTAGCTTGAGTTTTGGCTTTAAAAATACTATTAATCCACTCAATATCCATTTAATGAGAGAGAAATGATACCACACCCTACTATTAGTGATACAACAACAGGATCATATTAAATATAAATTCTGCATTCTTGCCAAATGATTTAGATTAGTGAAGTATCCACCAGTGTTTGAGTAGAAATATGGGTATGAAAATTTAGCTATCATAGGGCATAACCTGTAGGCATCTTGAATTAAAAAATAAACTTTACCTATCACTGTTGGTTAATTCAATTATGTCCTTAAAATATTATTTCTGACATTAAATTAATGTTGGTAATTTGAATAATATTAATTTTATAGTGTTTATAATTTATTTTTAAATTAGCTTTGGTTGTATATCTTTATGAGCAATGGGAGTTTATACATAGGCCTATGTTTTAAATTTCTTAAACCATTATAAAATGAATAATTTAATTCAAGATAAGAAGTATGTGAGTTTACACATAGCTATATATATATGTATATATGTATATATATACATATATATATATAGTTTTTTTCCATTAAAAGAATACTATGCTGTATACTACATACATTTGAGAAATAAAGCCAAAAGTATATTTTCTTTTTATGGATGTATTTTTAGAGCATTTTTTCCACCAATACACTTTAAAACCCCATAAAAATATTAACTTGAGATTTTTTTAACTTCTTGGTGTAATCATGTAGTGCTATAAATTTTCCTCTTAATGCTGCTTTAGCTGTGTTCCAGAGATTCTAATATGTTGCTATTTCTAGTAATTTATGTAGCACCAAATAAACAATATCCTCCCCCAAAAAATGGGGAGGGGAAGAGCCAAGATGGCCTACTAGATGTAGCCAGGAAGAGCTTTGCCCACCAAGGGAGAACAGACCATCTAGTACACTGGCATTCTCCAAACACATCCATGGAGAATTAAGCAGATCCATGGAAATTAAACAACCTGCTCTTGAATTACTTCTGCATAAAAAAAATTGAGGCAGAAATCAAAATAATTATTTTAAACAAAAAAGCAAAGGCAAAACATTCTAGAATCTCTGGGACACAGCTAAAGCAGCATTAAGAGAAATGTTTATAGCACTACATAATTACATCAAGAAGTTAGAAAAATCTCAAGTTAATAACTTAATATCACACCTAGAGGAACTAGAAAAACCAAGAGCAAACCAAGCCCAAAGCTAGTAGAAGAAAATAAACCACCAAAATCAGCTGACCTGAAAGAAATTGTAGTGCAAAAATCCATAGGGAAAAATCAACAAAAATAAAAGTTGTTTTTATGAAAGAATAGATCAGATTTATAGACCACCACCAGATTAATAAAGAAAAAAAGAAGATCCAAATAAACATAATGAGAAATGACACAAGTGACATTACCACTGATGCCACAGAAATACAAAAATCCCTGAGAGGCTTTTATGAACACTCTGGACAACAACTAGAAAACCCGGAAAAAAATGATAAATTCCTGGAAACATACAACTGCTCAAGATTGGACCAGGAAGACATAAAAATACTGAGCAGACCAAGAATAAGTTCCAAAATTCAATCAGTTATAAAACACCTACCAAGAAGGAAAAGCTCTGGAACAGATGAATTCACAGTCCGAATTCTACCAGATGTATAAAGAAGAGCTGGTACCAGTCTTACTAAAATTATTTCAGAAACGTGAGAAGGAGGGACTCCTCCCTAACTCATTCTAAGAGACCAGTATCATTCAGATACCAAAAACTGAGAGAGATAAAAAGAAAAAAAGTCAGGCTACTATCCTTGATGAACATAGATGCAAAAATTCTCAACAAAATACTAGCAAATCACATCTAGTAACACATCAAAAAGTCGATACACCACATTTAGGTAAACTTTATTCCTGGGATGCAAGGTTAGTTTAACATATGGAAATCAATAAATATAATTTATCACATAAACGGAACTAAAAACAAAAGAAATCAGAGATAACAAAAACAAGTGGAATAACATTCCATGCTTATGGATAGAAATCATCAATATTTTAAAAATGGCCATACTGCCCAAAGCAACTTACAGATTTCATGCTATTCCTATCAAACTACCAACATCATTTTTCAAAGAATTAGAAAAAACTATTCTAAAGTCAAATGGAAGCAAAACAGAACCTGAATAACCCAAGCGATCCTATGCAAAAAGAACAAAGCCAGAGACATCATATTACCCTACTTCAAACTATACTGTAAGGCTACAGTAACCAACACAGCATAGTAGTGGTACAAAAACAGGCACATAGACCAATGGAACAAGTAATAAATAAATAAATAAATAAAGCCACAAACCTACCACCATCTGATCTTTGACAAAGTCAATAAAACAGGCAATGAACAAAGCACTCCCAATTCAATAAATAGTGCTGGGATAACAGGCTAGCCATATGCAGAAGATTGAAACTGGACCCATTCCTTTTACCATATGCAGAAATCAACTCGATAGATTAAATATTTAAATATAAGACATAAAACTATGAGAACCCTAGAAGAATGGCTGGGCCTAGTGCCTAGAACCCTAGAAGAATATCTGGGTGCAGTGGCTCACGCCTGTAATCCCAGCATTTTGTGAGGCAGAGGCAGGCGGATCACTTGAGGCCAGTTCAAGACCAGCCTGACCAACATGGTGAAATCCCATCTCTACTAAAAAAATACAAAATTAGCCGGGCATGTTGGCACATGCCTGTAATCCCAGCTACTTGGGAGGCTGAGGCAGGAGAATTGCTTGAAACCGGGAGGCAGAAGTTGCAGTGAGCCGAGATCACGCACCATTGCACTCCAGCCTGGGTAACAAGAGTTAGACTCTGTCTCAAAAAAAAAACAAAAAACAAAACAAAACAAAAAAAAAACCTAAAAGAAAACCTAGGAAATAACATTCTGAACATAAGCATTGGCAAATATTCCATAACGAAGACTCCAAAAACAATTGAAACAAATACAAGAAAAAAAAACAAGTGAGACCTAATTAAACTAAAGAGCTTCTGGACAGCAAAATAAATTGTCAAGAGAGTAAACAGAAAACCTACAGAATTTAAAAATATGTTTGCAAACTATGCATCTGACAAAGGCCTAATGTCCAGGTACTAAAATTACCTTAAACAAATCAAAAAGCAAAAATCAAACAACCCACTTAAAAAAAGTACAAAGGACATGAACAGACACTTTTCAAAAGAAGGCATACATGCAGCCACTAAGCATATGACAAAATGCTCAACATCACTCATCACTACAAAAATGCATATCAAGACCACAATGGATATCACCTGACACCAGTAAGAATGGCTATTAAATAGAACATAACTGATATTGGCGAGTTTGTAGAGAAGAGGAACGTTTACACACTGCTGTTGTGAATGTAAATTAGTTCAACCACTGTGGAAAGCAGTTTGGACATTTCCCCAAGAATGTAGAACAGACTCAACCCACCAATCCTACTACCGGGTATATATTCAAAGGAATATAAATCATTCTACCAAAAAGACACATGCACTCCTGTGTTCATCCCAGCACCAATTACAGTAACAGACATGGTATCAACCTAGATGCCCATCAACAGTGGACTGGATAAAGAAATATGGTATATACAAACTATGGAATACAACACAGCCATAAAAATAAGGAAATCATGTTCTTTCCAAATACATGGATGGAGCTGGAGGCCATTGTCCTAAGTGGATTAACACAGGAATAGAAAACCAAATACAGCTTCTCCCTTATAAGTGAGAAGTAAACATTAAGGACACATGAACACAAAGAGGGGAACAACAGACACCAGGGCCTACTTGAGGGTGGAGGGTGGGAATAGGCTGAGGACCAAAGAACTGCCTATCAGGTACTATACTCGCTATCTGGGTAACAAAATCATTTGTACACCAAACCCCAGTGACATGCAATCTACCCATATAACAAACCTTCACATGCACTCCCTGAACCTAAAATAAAAGTTGAAAAAAAAAAAAAATGCCAGCAACTCCCTCAATTCTGCCTGTTAAATGTCCATACAAGTCATTAATCTAAAAATATAATCAATTCATTCTCTAGTTACAGACACAAAAAAGGTATGAGTGGTTATATAATTTTAAAGTTCATGGAAACCACCTTTTAAAACTATTTAGTAAGTTATTGTATAATTTGAATAAATGAATTATACATATAAATTCCTAATAGGAAGAGAATAAATGCCATATTATTAATTCTCACTTCAAAGTTTATTTTCTGAAGTGAATAATATTGATAATAATATGTTGCTACATTGTGTTTGTGTTCACACATTTAAAGTGTAAAATAACTTGCAAAAAATAAAATGCCATAGAAACTCAAATTTCATTATTAAGGCAATTAGGTGGAATACAAAAATGGCAAGCCATTTAAATGTGTTGGACATTAATGCAAGATATACAGCTTTCACCATTGTACAATATTTAGACATTCAAGTGGTGGAACCCCATAATAGCAAATATTTATTTATTTTTTCTGATCTTTAATTTCTTCTTGACTTTCACATATTACTTGAATATTTAGAACTGTGTTAGCTTGAACAAATTCTTGAATATCTCCCTGGCTTATTTTCTTAATTTATAAAGAGGGTAATAACTTGCTTAACTAATAGAATTATTATAAAGTTTAAATCAGTTAATAAGTGCAAAGTTCTTAGCAAATTGTTTGATGCTGTGGAGAGAGGAGAACTGTCAGACCAGGGAACATGACAGAGCTTGATTTGACTCTTGAGCCTCCCAGAATTGTAAATTGAAATAAAGTTGTGATAACATTTTTCTTCCTTGGTGAAGTACTGTCATTCCACATTGTCACCTTCATTCACTAATACAAATGAAAGTTCCAGAATCACTTGTCCTACCTGTATTATATTCTGAGTGTTATTTCCTAAGGAGAATCATGACAGTATAGAGATCTGGACAATATGTAGTGGTCTCCCCTGTGACTTAGCCAAGAAAGGACAAAGGGAGGGAATGAAAACAAAGAAATTCCACACTTGCTTTAAGACATTTTTGTACCTACATAGAAATCTATAAATTCTGCTTTCCTGAAGGATATGTCTCATATTCGCCGGAAGCTGCAAGTGTGTTCAAAGATTTTTTTTTGCATTAAACTTTTCTCAATGAGTTGGTGCCCTAGGACTGCACCACTCTGGATTTTAGAATGTATTATTTCAATAATAAGCTCTAATCAAAATACTGCTTTGTTTAAATATAATTCAAGCTCCAGTTTTCTTCCTAATCCTAAATACCAAAATCTTTTCATTTTCTTTGTTCAGTGAGGAGCTGAATTTTTATATTTACAAACAGTTCTCCCTTAGTCAAGAAAAAAACTAACAAATTAAAAATAAATTCAGCATTTTGTTTTTCATATATTGGTGATTTGAGATTTCCATCAACATTATTCATGTGCAACATCTGTCTTTTGCTATTATTAGTTGATACAGAAAGAAAAAGAATGTAAATTAACAGTGGTGCAAAAGCATTATTTGTTCCACTAGATTTCTATCTCAGTTATTTTGTAGTCCCTCTTTATCCACTAGGGATATGTTCCAAGACCCCCAGTGAATGTCTGAAGCCTTGGATAGTACCTAACCCTACATATGCTATGTATTTTCCTATACATAGACACCTATGAAAAGTTTCATTTATACATTAGGCTAAGTAAGAGATGAACCATAACAAACAATAATAAATACAATTACAGCAATAAAAGCTACATGAATGTGGTCTCTGATTTCAAAATATGTTAATAGAATGTACTCACTTATTTTCTGAATGCAGTTGGCTGTGCATAACTGTAACCATGGAAAATGAAACCACCATGGACAAGGGGGCACTACTGTACTCAGTTGCTCTATTTTAGTGACAGGACATGGGTAAGGAAGCTGTTCTCCATTCCCCTAAGGTGAGAGGTACAAGCTTCTGGATACAGGTAGTAGGGCATCCCACCTGTGAACAAAAGGATTTCACACATGACAGTTCAAAGTTCCAAAGTGTCTTTGAATATCTGAATTTTGAAATAATTCGAAGATTTCCAGTAGAGTTTACCCAGGACAGACATAAGAGAATACTACTCTCAGGAAATGGGTGCAAAACATTCTTGGCTGAAATGCTGAGATGAAAATTTTTATTCACCATAGACCCTGAAAACTCAGATTGTGTTCCTCAGAGGAAAACTTTTTTTTCCATCTGCTGGACTTGGTGCTTCTTAAGCTTCAAACTGATTAAATAAATAGGGTTCCTGTCACAGAAAGGATTCTTGATTCTAAACTCTAACCCGATAGCGCACTTCTCTTCCCTCCTTTTCTCCTGAGACTCCTCCTTTTGATCCAGCTCCTCCCAAAACATTCCTATATTTCATTTTCTCTTCTTTAGTTAAGGCTTAAATTATTCTTCAGAAAGAACTTAGCATGACCCTTCCAATTGCAGCCCCAACACTTAGTCACATAAACAATTTGTTTAGATTATCTGAGGATGTGGATATTTATTTCTCTATAAAATTATAAATGTCCTTCTAGACAAACATCTCCCGTAGACTTATGAAATAATTTCTGGCAAAATAACCTAAAAATTAAAACCACAGTTGAGCTTCAATGCTATCATGCCCCATAGTTTTCTTGCCCATGCCTCACGTGCACAGTGATCCTTCTGGCCTATATCCCTCTATTCAAAATCTTAGAGCAGAAAATTTGATTGGTTTTAAAAGTTTTTAAAAAGTGCCAACTCTATAAAATGCTTATTTCTGAAAATGAAAATAAGTTTTCACTCACATACATAAATAAAAAATACTTATTGAAACTGTCATTTATTCTGAGTTTTTGGAAACACTTAAATTACTTTATGTTTCAAATGAGATAAAGACATTTACAAAATCCTTTTCCAAAGTGAATTTTTACTAACAAATTACCAGTATCAGTTTTTAGGAATGCTTATGTGAATTCAATTTAAATTAGAGAACCAGAGAGATAAAGGCCAATGAGTCATACAATGAACTACCTCTGAAATTCATAATTTAATTAGGGAGTACAAGATGCTTTTATGAAACAGTCCTTTTCCTTTTAAACGCAAGAATTCACAAAACATAGATTCAACGTTTGCTCAGTAAAATCTACCATTAGTAGATGGGTAGAATTCATGAGCTAGCTCTGTAAATGTGAGAATGTGTTGTGTTGTTTCCTGTTTTTCTTCTACTTAATATTATTTCCGTTAATGAATAAATCACTTCATTTGAATAAATCTTAATGAAAAATTATATGAAGTATATACACATTTTAATGTTTTGATCAACAAATATAGCAGTGCAGTAAATTATGGTATTCATTGGATCTAATGGGATATAACAGAATTTTTCACTTCCTTCAGACTTCTGAAATGTGGGTGTAATAATAGACTCCTATTGCTAGGGTTGACTCATGGGAGGAGTGTTTATGGGACTCCAGAGGAAATAAGCTAGTGGTAAGTAACATATACGATATAACTGTTTCATCTTTAGCCTTTAGTCTGCAAGTGTCAATGCCTATTTTTTTGTGATTGTTTGCAAATATGCTCATACATCTATAATGATTATGTATGACCTACATGCAGATACAATAAACACATATGTGTATGTAACCATGAATCTTCACTGTGACCATCAAGACAAATTTCCATGATTCCATTGTACATCATTCCTAACCAATAGACCAGGAATCTCATATTATTCATCATCATGGAGAATCTATTTGTCCTAAAGATGTGCCTGTCATTTACTGTCAGCTGCTCTTCAACTTTGAAATTTTTCCATTATATCTTCAGGGAATCATGCTCGGTCATCAGATAAATACATTACATTCTAAGTATCTTTTTTGAAAAATTGCCTTCACCTTCTTAGTGGAACTGAAACCCAGATCTTACTGAGGCTACTGCTTCCCTCATAGTACTCCCAAGTGACAGTCGTTTTCTTCCACACAAACTACATATTAAAGATCTTGAAGGTGGACTTGGTAACACTCATGCTCTCTGTTATGGTTTGCAGAATATTATTCCTCTCTTGTCACTAAATTACTCCAGTCATAAATTTTGACACCAGATTACACCACTCACTTTCTATCCTTTTTTGCTGTCATGCACATAGGAATACATACACGTGTAACTCTGAGTGTTCTTGTAGAGACTTCAGTCCCTGCTCCCCTTCCCACTATATTTCAACCTCACCATCACAATCTACCAGCCCATTTTTCACCACGAATAAAAAGCTTTAGCACCTGGCTGTTATGCCATCTAAAGTTAATATTGCTTTATTCCAGGTTACCATAATATTCATGGAAATTATCTAATAACTTCGCTACTCAGTTTCTTGACCTCCATTTATCCAGTAATCATGTTCTTCATTCTACTTCAGTTGTCCATTCCCACAGAAAAGTCTATCCTTTGTTGTTAATAACATCGTCATCATTTGTGATCTCAATTTCAAGCATTCCACTCTGCAACAACCACCTTCTATCTTGTCTTTCCAGCTCAGCTTCCTATCTTTTAGTACCAAGCAATTATAACCACTTATCAACCACATCATTTTCCTCAATTATTGTTATTATTTAAGTGTCATGTTCTTATTGAAGCTTTCTTTGGCCACAGAGTACAAAATTGCAACTGCCCACCCACGTTGAGCTCCATAGCACTCTTCTGAGTTTGTATTCCACAATAGCAGAAATGGTGGATATATGGTGAAACTGATGATGCTTACAATTCCTAGTTCCTCATTTGCACTGGCTCTTTCAAAGAACTTCTAATTTTGTATCCACAATATTTATAATTTTTTAAAAAATTGCCATCAAACTATAGAAGAGTTATATAATCCACAAAATGTGGATCTTCTCCTGCTTAAAACTTATCAATACCAACTATATAGTTATCTTTTTGTTTTTTCACATATGTATTGTCTAACTTCCCTCAGTAGAATGCAAACTTCATAAGGTGCATTAGTCCATTCTTATGCGGCTATAAAGAATTGTCTGAGACTGGGTAATTTCTAAAGGAGAGAGGTTTCATTGGCTCAGAGTTATGCATGGTGGAGTAGGCCTCAGAAAACTTACAATCATGGCGGAAGAGGAAGGAAACGTGTTTCTTCACAAGGCAGCAAGAGAGAGAAGTGCAGAAGAAAGGTGGCGTGGCAGGGAGCCCCTCATAAAACCATCAGATCTTGTGAGAACTCACTCATTAACATGAGAAGAGCATGGGGAAGCCATTCCTACAATCTAATCACCTCCCAGGAAGTCCCTACCCTAACAAGTGGGGATTATAGGAACTACAATTCAAGATGAAGTTTGGGTGGGGAAACAGCCAAACCAAATCATAAGGGAAGGGATTCTTGTTTGCTTTAGTCACACTGTGTTCTCTGTCTCACAAGGAATAACTTGAATATGGCGAACATTTGATGAATTATTTCTTGTTTCTCAAACTTATCTCCATTATTAATGTTGTAATATTTTATTATTAAATGAAGAAACAACTGGCCAGGCGTGGTAGCTCATGCCTGTAATTCCAGCAATTTGGGAGGCAGAGGGAGGCAGATCACGAGGTCAGGAGTTTGAGACCAGCTTGGCCAATATGGTGAAACCCTGTCTCTACTAAAAATACAAAAATTAGCTGGGTGTGGTGTCACGCACCTGTATTCCCAGCTACTCGGGAGGCTGAGGCAGAAGAATCGCTTGAAACCGGAAGGCAGAGGTTACAGTGAGCCGAGATTGCACCACTGCACTCCAGCCTAGGTGACAGAGCGAGGCTCAATCTCAGAAAAGAAAAAAAAAAAAGAAAAGGAAAAGAAAGAAAGAAACAACTAAAATCCTGCTAAACTGAGAATAAAAAGTAGATATAAACGCCAAGTTCCAAAATTTACAAAGTAGAAAAATTGTAAGGTATAAGATGTAGAATGTAAATAGTTTGTAGATTCACCAAGGACGCAGATATAATAGATAAAACTGCTTTAAAAAGAAAAGTTTAAAAAAATTCTGTATGCTTCCACAAACAGATCTTGAGGGGAAAAAAAGAAAAAAATGTGCATTATGCTTTAAAAAATGCAAAGTGATCATGTGGCCCTGTTTACTCTTAGCGCAAAGGCAAAGTAGCAATCTGAACTTGGTTGCCTAGCAACGAAGCGGCGGAATCCGCGTTAGTGGAGTAAGTTCAAAGCAGTTTCACAGAGAACGAAATCATGCTTCATTCAGAGTCATTTCTAATTTTAAAAAAAATAGTAAGACGTTAAAACTTTGTATAATTCCCCATATTTCCTGAAGATAGTGCAGGTGCATTAAGACAGTTTTTACAAAGGTGAGAAAATAGATGTCAATTTTTCTTTTTTTTTTTTTACTTTGAGTTTTAGTGGTGACATCAGTTGGAGAATACATAAAATAATACGCATTTCCTTAAGCTTGAAGTGACTGTTACAATTTTCGAAGGATGTCAAATTGGCAATAAGAATTTAAGTTTGTGTGTTTGTGTGTGTGTGTGTGTGTGTGTGTGTGTTTCCACCCAGAAACTATACCCCATTCATTTAAAATCAAATGCTTCCTCGGTTGAAGCCAAAGGTCAGAAGCCTTTATTCTGACTTCAAAGGACCCACAGCAGTGACGATGAAGGCTCCTGCGTAGAAGATGCATTATTTATAAAGATATAAATCCTCCAGTCATTAAAAAGAGAAGCTGGGCAGAAAGAAAACTTAACAAATATGCATTATATCATGTATCTTCTTAAATGTCTATTTTAAAAAATCATTTCTCTAGTCCTTTTTACATTTCTGGAATGGAAATCATGGCAAAATATTTCAAATAATTTACTCATTTGGGAAAACCGTAGAATAGGGTTAGAACTTCTATTAGCCATTTAAATATGGGTACATTTTGGACATGTGTAGATTCAGGGTAGAAGGGAATTTAGGATAAGAGAACAAAAAGAGCAAAATCTAAGATATGAAGTGATGTAAAAGAACACTGAATACATTATTTTGACTGAGGTAAGTGGAGATGAAGGGGAATGCTAAAAAAATATGGCTGGAAATGCAGATTGCCATAAGAACAAGTAAAGATTATAATGATAGTCTACAGAATTTGGTTGTGACACTACAGGCTGACAGAAAATAATGAGAATATTCAAACAAGTGAATTAAATGGTAATAGTCATGCTTCAAAAAGTTAAGTCTGTCAGATGAGTAAATGCTAAAATGGAAATGAGAGAGAATGAAGGTAGAGAGATCAGTTAGGAAACTACAAGAAGATTTATTTCCCACAATGAAGTCCAAGATGAGAAAGATGGAAATAGGAATAAAAAGAATTTATCCCCACAGTGCTTGCAGGGGCCTGTTTCTTCATGTTTCCTCATGTTTCCTCGCCCTGGAATGAAATCTTTACGTGACTGGTTCCTTCCCAGCACCCATGTTTTATCTCAAATGTTGTCTTGAAAAGCCTTTTCCTTACAACTGCCATCACAACTTTCATTTTATACAAACTACCCTATTGGATTGAATTTGTAGTAACTACCATTTTCTGAAATGATCTTGCTTCTTCAGGTGTTATTTACCAGCCTTCTCCCCTTAAACCACTCACTACAATATAAGTGCCATGGAACCAGGGTCCTTTTTTCTTTTATTCACTTCACATCCACAGTGTGTTGAAGAGTTCTTGGGATATTCTAGGCACTCAGCAAATTACGTTGAAGAATAAATGAAAGAATGAATAGCAAGTGTCAACCAGTGATTGTTGAATAAATGAAGAAACCACTGGGATGAATAAGGTCTCTTGAGCTCATGAAGCTTAGATCATAACAAATTTTTTATGATGTATCCAACAAAAAGGAGTTGTCAACAGAAGTTTTAAAAGAGGAATTTTTGAATGTTTGTTTTACCAATGTTGTTGTTTTATCTGAACCTAGGGTTGTAGAATTTAAAATAAATTTTGAACTATATAGCATAATTGTGTCTGTATTTGGTTAGGAAAATCACCAGTTTTATAACCTGTGTAAATTGCTTAATTTGCTTTAATGCCCAGTTTTCTTATCTGTAAAATATGAATAATACTGTTTTAAGTATTAGGTATACTTCACTTTTTAAGTATTAAATGAGATAATTCATGTGAAGTGTTGAGTGCAGTGATTGGAGCATCATGACTTCTGATTATACATTAGCTATTATTATGAAAACTATTATTAGCCACTGTGCATGGTTAAAAGAACAAATTTGGGAATGAAACTGCCTACTTTAGAGTTTGCTTTTTAACGCTACTGATTTATATTGGCCTTGTTCTTCTTGTTTGTGTTAGAATTATTTTTTCATAGGACGTTTGGCATAGGAGTTATGTGAACAGAGTTTGCAGCCAGACTGCTGGTTTTGAACTCTGGCTCTCACGTTATTAGTAGTGTGTGAAGCATGTTACCTGCTCAAACCTCTGTGGCTCCCTTTAAAAAGGTGCAAAATACATATAACAGTACTACCCAACAGTGTGGTTATGAATATTGAAGGGGTTTAGTGGCGTAAAGTTCTGAAAACTGTGCCTAGCACATGGTAAGTTCTATATGGGTTGTTGAAGAAAAAGAAACCTAATACTGTTGTTATAAGAGATAAACAAATTAATCATTAAAATCACATAACTTAGTAGCAGTTTGTAAATCCTCAATAAATATTGTTACCAGTACAAACATCTACATTACTTAAATCATTATAGCTTGCAAAGATATTCTAGCATTGTCAGTTCATATAAGAAAATTCAACACCTCTAACAAGAATTATGATCTCAACCTCTGTACAGACACATGCATTTCCAAGACACCCACAAAATTATTCCAAAATGTGTATGAGTAATAATGAATATAGCACCAACCATGTCTTATTTAGTATTTTAGAGTTCAACTTTTACCACAAAGCTTGATCTTAAGACTAAACTTGTTCATTGAATTTATGTAGCTATGCTTATTTTATAAATGTAGTACATCAATGAAAATTTTAAATTATTTAACAATCATTAGACAGTCATCAAAACCCAACAATTAAACCACATTGAGATATCACTACCCACCCACCAGAATGGCTAAAAAATAAACAAAAAACTCTCCCTATGTTCCATTAAAGTTATAATTCAAGTAATAATCCTACTTGCAATATTAAAGTGTTTCTCCTCATTTTTATCAATACTTGATGTAAAAAAAATTTGTGAAATTTTCACTGATCTATGAATGTGGAGCAGTGTCTTGCCACTTTAGTTTGCATTCTTCTTATTAATGTGATTATCTCTTTAGCTTCGTAGAAACTTGGGATATTTACTCCTATATATTTAATTTTTATATTCATTTTCTATTTTTCTATTGAGTAATTGATAATTTTGTTTGTGACATATAAGTTGGGTCTCTATTTTGAATATTATTCTACTGTTAGTTATATGTGTTGCAAATATTCACTCAATACTTGAAAATGTCAATTCAATTTAATTATGGAAAACTTTATCAAGCAGAGTAGTTATAATAAAAAGGTTAAATTGGTCAGTCTTTATATTTATTGTGTCTTATTTGAGAAAGAAATGTAATTTTATATCATCAAATATCCTGTTACATTTTTTCCCCATAGATTTTTCTGTTTTGCTTGTCTACTTGACTATCCCATATCAATATCCTTATATAAGCAAAGCCTTGGAGTTCATGGCTGATAGCATAAACTTTAGTCAATGAGAGACAGGAGTATGTGGCCACTTTTAACTTAAAATTCTGTAGTAAGATTTCTTAAGGTACATGTCATTGACATTATTTTAGAACAGTAGTTTCCAAGGTTAAATTGGCAGTCCAGAAACACCAGTATCCTCTTGGAATTTGTAAGAAATTAAAATTCTTGGCCCCATCCCCAAACCTACTGAATCAAAAACCCTGGGGACTAGGTTCAACAATCCATGTGTTAACAGTAATCCCTGATGATTCTCATATACGCTTAAGTTTGGGAAGGATTTTATTAGAGCTCTACAATTATGTAATCAGGCAAAGCCAAGTGAGAATCTCAAAGATTTATAGATTTTATGGCTTTAACAGGTAAGAAAATAAAAAGAAAAGCGTTTTCACCAAGAGCAAGCATGTTTTTGAGCTATGAGAGAAGACTTAAAATATCTAAAAATCTAAAGAAATATAAATCCAATCAAATAATACAGCAGCCAGGGTTAAGAGAAGAAAAAACATAGTATACATATATGACACGCAGAGGCATGGCTGTATGGCCACTACTTTCTTTGAATTATTGTTTATCCGTTATAGACTATAAATTTGGCTAGTAAATCCTATCAGTGCTAGAAAACCAGAATTTAATCCAGAATTTAATCTTCATCACGGTTATCAAAAATGGTCTTCAAGGAAGTCATGCAAATTTAGAAAGTAATTCCCCAAAATATATGGTAAATGTTCCTCAAAATGTGGGTGATCATAAGAATGATCTGTGTAGTGGTTAAACATATTTTATCCAGAAGAAAATTTAGATTTACATATACAAATACTTAAGAGAATGAAAGTTAAAACATTTTTTAAGAAATCTGTGCAAATATGGAATTTTACGTGCATGTCATATTTATGACATTCTTGCTGTCATAGGATTCATTTCCCAGAAAACAGACTTGAGGCATAATCTTAGGGGATAACCCTGCGGCATGGACTGCATTATTTAGGAAACAGAAATAAAGGAAAATGAAAGTGAGATAGAGAAAGAGAAAATGTTATGTGGAGTTATATAGAACTACCATAGCTCCAACCAGTCTATCTGGCAATTGGAAGGGAAAAGAATTTATCCACAGACTCCTGTCTCTCATTGCCCAAAGTCTACTCCGCCAGCCATGAACTCCACTGAGGCTTTGCTTGTAGGTTCCAGAGGGTATTCTTGGCATCTGCTGCCACAGTCCAAGGAGAGCCTGAAGGCAGACGGCAAGAGTTGGGGGACTGTATTCTCAGAGGAGCAACTGGGGGGTGTCTGAGCAGCTCCAGTAGTGGGCTCCTCAATCTGGCAATGCAGTGATTAGGTTTCAGTGTCATGGGAACAGCACAAACTGTTGCTGAAGCTGCTCAGGCTAGAAAGCAAAGCAAGCATGCAAATCTGAGCTGATGGAAAAACCGAGCACACAGGCCTATTACACTAATTCAATCAGTCTCATTATTAAAAACATGGGAGTTAGGCTGTAGGCTTACTCAAAGTAACAGTGAATATTAACAGTGAATGTTAAAACTTGCAAGATTCATAAATAAAAGCATACGATTTCTATGTTTAATTAAAGACCTTTATGTTTTAAATTTGTAAGGTTTATTAATTTTGAAAAAAAGACTAAAATTTTGTTTATATCAATACAAAAACACATTCTGCTCTTTTATTTGAAAGAAAAAAAGGGAAATAAATCTCTCTTTGATATAACTTCTTTCTTCAACTCCCGCGCAATCTCTTTGCTCCCTGTTATGGTTTGAGTGTGTCTCCTCTAAAACTCATGTTGAAATTTTACCCCCAGTCTGGCAGTGGTGGAGTAGGGCATAGTGGGGTTTGTTTGGATTATGAGGGCACTGCCCTTCTGAATAGATTAATGCCATCTCACAGGTGGAAGAGAATTTTTCTTCTTACCGGAATGCATTGGTTCCTGTGAGAGCAGGTTGTTATAAGCAAGTGTGCTGCTCCTGTTTTGAACTTTTCCCATGTGGCTGGTTCCCCTTCCATTTCTCTGTCATATTTTGGCACAGGAGAAGGCCTCACCACCAACTGCCAAATGCTGCCACCCAATCTTGAACTTCCCAGACTTCAGAACCATGAGCTAAATACACTTCTGTTCTTTATTAATTACCCAGTCTAAAGTATTCTCTTATAGCAGCACAATTTGGACTAAGTCACTCTCCTTCACAGAAAGATTTCTCAAAAAAGTTTGTACTCAATGTCTTTATTTCCTCAATTTCTTTTTCCTTTCTTTCTTTTTTTTTTTTTTTTTTTTTTTTGAGACAGAGTCTCTCTCTGTCACCCAGGCTGGAGTGCAGTGGCACGATCTCAGCTCGCTGCAAGCTCTGCCTCAACCTCCTGAGTATCTGGGACTACAGGCGCCCGCCACCACGCCTGGCTGATTTTTTGTATTTTTAGTAGAGATGGAGTTTCACCGTGTTAGTCAGGATGGTCCTGATCTCCTGACCTGGTGATCCGCCCGCCTCGGCCTCCCAAAGTGCTGAGATTACAGGCACGAGCCACCGGGCCTGGCCTGCATTTCCTCAATTTCTAACCTCATGTCAGTACTCATGAAACAAGTCAAACATCTTTTTTCAAGATCAATGCTAGTTTACAAGTTGCCAAATTCTATATATTATCCTCATTTTAGGTAATCTTTTAATTCAGTGTTTGTAAGCCATAAAAAATTACCCAGGTGATTTCAGCAAAGTGCAAAAATAAATATATTTCATAAAATTAAAAGAAATGTTAACTACCTATGTTCCAGAAAAGAAGTGAAACCATGGATGCTTGTTAGATATAAGTAGCAAAAACTAGTAACTATCTGTTCAGTACATTGTCAATAAAATAATAAAGAAAAATTAATGACAATTTCCCATCTACATGTTTTTCTGGAAAGGTTTAAAGTTACAGGGGCAAGGTTGAATTGACCTTTCCAGCCTTTGTAATCCAGTTTGGGTTATAAAGCCATACATTTCCTAGGGTAAGGGCATGATGAGCACCTTGAATAACTGCCTGACTACTGGTTGTACAGTACCAACTGCAGGGTCATCCTCAATGAAAAATCTTTAGGTACCTAAAAATGGTGAATCATTGCTCAATAGGAAAAACAAAATCTTCCATACTTGACCACCACTTATTTCTTTAAGCTCCTCCCTCCTTCTTCCCTCCATCCCTCCCTCCCTTCCTTCCTTCCTTTTATCACCTCTCTTTCTCTCTCTCTCTTTTTCAGTTAAATCTGTAGTTCTCTCAGCCTCCTCTGCTGACAGTTTTTCCTATTCCAGCGATATAACAAATACATACCTGAAGCTTGGTACCCTCATTAAAGCATTCCTCTTTGGGAACTAAAACTTCAAAATCAGTAGACCCCCAAATTGTGAAAATGGGAAGCAAACATTTCACAAAAATAAAATAATCACCAATAGTAATAGTGAGAATAGTGACATCTTGATTCCTTTACCTATGATTTCTGTCTATGGAAGAAATTATACCATATTTGATGCTGATTTGGAGCATATAGCTCTTCTGGGAGAACATTTGACATTACTTCGGCCCCAAAAGGTGTTGCCAATACAGCTAGCATTAAAACTATGCCTTCTTAAGGCCGTTCTATTTCCATCTCAGGCTACAGATGGGAAACATGGTAAGACCACTAAATTCCATGATTTTGAGTCTATTGCCGTACATGATTTGCTCTAACAGAAGTTTCCCAGTCAAAAGTAATGCTATGTGTAATTCTATAATGTTGAAAAAGATATTTCAAAGACCACAGAAGGTGACTTGTGCATAAGCATTGCTAACAAAAAAGGCAAATTTGTATCCAGAGCAAAGGATTATTTCAAAGAAAAGTAAGCATTTCTCTTTTCATGATAGAAGTGGCTGGATGATTTTTTTCCCATATTTCCAGGGCAGTGATGCCATGTTGGGAATGCAGTATTTGCCTCTGCCCCTGGCAGTGTGGGAAGGGTTTAGCAAGTGAATATTCCTGTTGCTGAACCCATGCAAAACCTCCATTCCCAACACCATGCTGCTTTGTTTGTGAGTCTATATGACAAGGAAAAGATCAGCACCTATTACAGAACATTTCAACTTGTCCACCTGATTATTAACATTTTACTCTTCTATGGTTGCTTCTTAGTGAGCTGCTCATGAAACCCAAGTAGCTTCACACTCTATGCCCATTCGGAGATGTCTAATATGTACCTCTTCCCTAGACCTTCTTTCCTAGACCTCCAAACTTTCCAACTTTGTTTTTTCAGTTCTCTGATTATCCAGCCAAAATATTAGCCACTCTCAATACTCAGTGTAAATTCATTTGCTAGTTCTCTCTCTCTGTGAGCAAAATGCTTAGCTTTCAGCAAGGCTTAAATCTCTGATCCTTTTTCTTGGAGACATCATGAAGAGGCAAATAATACTTCAGCCACCTATTTACAAGAGGTAATAGCATATTTGTAAAAAATAATCTGTCAACCAGACCTATTATTTTTTTCCCAGTCAACCTATTATAGGTATCACCTAGGAGTCCATAGTTGCAGATTTATAGGGAGGAGGCAACTTAGAGTAGGAGGCATGGGAATTTGGTCATGTGCCATTTGGTCACATGACTTACTTATTCCCTCAGAATCTCTTCAAGCCCAATAGCATATATAGCACTTCCATTTAATGATGGGATGCTACTGAGTCTGCTTGCCAATCTTACAGTATATTGGATTAGACAACACTCAGTTTATGCTGAGCATATCAGGTCCCATGGTAACCTGGCTGGCTCATAGTCAAGCCAGCGGCTATTTTGTAGAAGCAGAATGGTACAACTTTGCTTTGAAACCCTAAAAATTTACATTTATTTCCCTTATAGAGTCCTGCTCATGGCTCCTTACAGCATTCTTATCTACAATAGGTACTTTCAATACCATTAGATCTACTGTGCCACAATGACAAACTGGCAGAATAGCTTCATGGTAGCCTAGATCTCTTTCAGTGACACTATTAGCTGACCACAACAGGAAGCTAGAAATCAAGAGAAATCAGTTAATGTCATTCATAACGTCACCGCATTCATACCCATGAAACAAGGAAGGTAAGAATGGTGGATACTAGATTGGAAGAACAAATAAAGAATATCAAACACACTAAAACTGGCATATTTTTAGGATCCATCATTGAATCAGTCCAACAAACATCATTCATATTTTTTGTATTGAAGTGGGCAAGAGTGTTTTTGTGATCTTAGAAAATTCACTTTACCCATTTAGCCCTACGTATCTTTTTTAAAAAAATTTCCAACTTTTATTTTAAGTTCAGGGGCACATGAGCAGGATGTGCAGGTTTGTTACATAGGTAAATGTCTGCCTTGGTGGTTTGCTGCACAGATCTTCCCATCAATGATGTATTAAGCCCAGCATCCAATAGCTATTCTTCCTGATGCTCTCCCTCCTCCAACACCCCAACCTCCGACAGGCCCCACCCCTGATGTGTCCGTGTGTTCTCACAATTCAGCTACCACTTATAAGTGAGAACATGCAGTATTTGGTTTTCTGTTCTTGCATGAGTATGCTGAAGATAATGGCTTCCAGCTCCATCCATGTTTCTGCAAAAGGCATAATCTTGTTCCTTTTTATGTCTGCATGGTATTCTGTAGTGTATATGCACCACATTTTCTTTATCCAGTCTATCATCAATAGGTATTTAGGTTGATTCCATGTTTTTGCTATTGTGAATAGTGCTGCAATGGACATACACATGCATGTATCGTTATATCAGAATCATTTATATTCCTTTGGGTATATAACCAGTAATGGGATTGCTGCGTCAAATGCTATTTCTGCATCTAGGTCTTTGAGGAATCGCCACACTGTCTTCCACAACAGTTAAACTAATTTACCCTTCTGTCTATGGCCATACCACCATGAATGTGTCTCATCTTGTCTGACCTATTAGTCTTTATATGTACAATGGGAATGATAATAGTTCTTATTTCAAAGAGTATATAGCATATAAAAATAAAACACTTAACCCATTGCTTGGCAAAAGTAACACATTTAATAAATAGGGGATGTTAAATTTGCTGATCATTTAAGGTAACTTTTTTAAGTAGATAAAAAATAAGTTTGGATAAGTTTACTGGCAACAGAATATGAAGATTCTGAAATCTTGGCTGAGGAATTAGGACTTTTTGATGCATACAATCGGCACTTAGTAAATCCAAGAAATACTTAAGCTTAATTACTGTCAACAACTAGATGGTTGCACTAAGAATTCTTTGGCAATTAATTCACTGTTGAAAACTATTCAGAGTAGGGAGAACATTCTGCTTGTCCCAATGATAATTTCAAAACAATAAAATTAGCTTTGTGCTAATGTAATCCTTAAGGTACTGGACATGAAGTTTTATGGTAGTAAAATCTCAGGCTGATGCAGTAAATAGGTGATGACTGTAAGACAGGCAAAACCATCATGCAAGAGAGAAACATTTTCAGATTCTACCAATTTGAAGGCTCCTCTCACTTTACCTTAATTCAGGCTGCAAAATAAATCCACTTCCATTCCATAGCACATATCTTAGAACATGCAGAATAATTAATGATGTCCTGAAGAGAAGTTTACAGAGAGAAAAGTCATTCTTATACCAAAATAAGAAGTAACAACTTAGCAGACTCTAAGTTGAATGTTTCAGCTTTATATGGATCAATACAATAGCTACTTGTAACCAGAATTTTTACATTTCAGAAATGCTGCAGATGAAGGTTCCAACAGTAAATTTTGAGACATTACCAATCAAAAGACAGATTTTTTTTTGCAATTGATATAAGTTGCTTGTTACCAAGATGAGAAAACCTAAAGCATATACATAAAATTGAACCAAGAGAATGAAAGGAAAAGTTCAACACTATATTTGCTACCTTGGTAAAGTTTTCACAACTACATTAGGAAAAAGATTATACAAATATAAGCTGAAGTTTGAATAAGGCAAGTGCCCATATCATATACTTGCCTGACGTTCTTTCCTTACCTCGGGATGTGTAAATTAAAAATGGTGTATGGGTGGGCATCAGGAAAGTCAATACATTTTTTAAAATCTATAAATGTGTAATAATGTAGAGAAGGGAGAGAGAGCTTTCTCTAGACATTCAAATTAGTCTGTGACTCCTAAAATGGCCAAGAACAGCTATACAAGTATTATTTGTAACCGTGAATATATAGTTAATGTTGGTCAAATATCAGTACACAATTTTTCATGAATTTAAGGAAGATTTTAGGAAATTTTATTGGTAAAAATTATAAATATGACATCTAAAACATCACAATTAGATTAATAAATTCTGTAAGTTTGTTCATAATGTTTCCAAAGTAAAATTTTAATCAAACAATAAAATTTGTGGAAATGCTACATCGATCAATGTTATTATTTATGCACATTGATAATACACAAGCAAATTGTGTCAGGCAAGTTATACTCAAATAAAGAAATAAGCATCTGGAAAAAATTAGAAATAAATGAGCCTGAGAAAACATTCTTTGATGACAATTACACGTATTATCAATGATTAATAGAATTGGTGAATATGAGAACAATTCATATTTATTCCGATCATTTGAGGCACTAGGCAAAAGGACCTGTATTTCAGAAAATGGTAGCTTATAAAATATTTGTTTTTCAATTTATACTAAAAACGGTATTAAAGTCTATAAAGTAAATATTGCGCTCAAGCATACCACATTTGTGAGTCCCACGAAGAAAGAAAACAGATTTACATTTTGGCACTGATAACATTATATATTTAGAGTTCATATGAGAAAAGTAAGCCAACCTATCACTCTCATTATATAAATATGGTGATATTTTAACTAGTCTGTGCAAGAGAACATAATGAATAAACATGATCATTTTCTTCAGGTTTATCAATTTAGCATGTGACAGAAATACAAATGGAATTCAATTGAGAAGAGAAGAGATGTATTAGCATATTTATTCTACCTATAAGTAGGGTGATAGCTGGCCTGAAGGATAGAGAGGATCAAAAATTTAAACAGCAAGAAAATTGTTTCTCTAGGCTTTACTTTCTGTGATATTCTGAAAAGACCAAGCACTTGCTACTCCTCTTATCAGTCAAGTTACTGAATCAATTGAGAATAAGTCATGGCAGTCAACATTATTACTGATAATGCTAAGTTGAAAGATATAGCTTAGATAGCACAGCCAAGTGGACTTGTTAAGTGAACCACTGATTTAGACAGACTTATCTTCCAGTCACAGGCAATGATGGTGGAATTCTTTTCATACCTCTTACAAGCTGCTCCATTCCAGAAAAAGTTGTAGAGCTGAAATGAGTATGTCCAATTTAATCTTTCCAAACACGTCAGTGGATGAGTCATTCTATTTTTCTGTGTAGGAGGATAGAAGAGACTTTGAGTTACATTAATTGAATTTTCTTTTTCAAATGAAAAGAACATGAATTGGGGGGAGGTGGTTCCCCAACATGTGATATTTTGGTTTATTTCTATATGTCATGCTTATTCTCTGATGATCAGCATGTATTGAAGGAGGTGTGACAACTCGCAACACACTATTCACAATCTCAAAACTCCAAAGCAAAACAGAAGAAAAAAACCACATCAGAAAATGTGCTTTTCTCAGTTCCAAATTAAATATTTCTACAGAAAATGTTGATTTGCTTAACTTGGATTATGTGCTTATCCCTTGAAGAGTCACTGTGTACATCTGAGTGATAATTATCATTGGTGAGGCTGGGTTTCATGTTTACCTCTGAGAGAAGAGAAGCAGAATATCTTTATAGGAAAAAAATGTGAAGTAACAGTTCTGAGTCCACAGGAAAGCAGCCTCCAAAAATCTCTAAAAATATGTATTTAGTTTACCTTTCATCCATTCAACAAATATTTACTGAAGGCCTAGAATGTGATGAGTGCTCTGGCATCTCACATTTATTTGCACTTCAACCTGACACTGCATGCCGAGATCGTCTGTATACTCATTCTTGGCCAAACAGACCTGTATATATCTGTAATCATTCACTGCCTACTATCTGAAAGCACATTTTCATATGTTTACCAAATTAAATATAGCTGAATCAGGTTAATATTAGCCTTTCAATTTCTCTCCATTTCAGATTCTGTAATTCTCCAAACTTAAAATTACAAGGCTATTAATAACTTTTCTCCCTCTTTTTCTCCTCCTACTCTTCTTTGTCCTTCTTGTTTATTTTAATTACATTAGACCAGTTTGTCTTGAATTTTCTTGGAATTTATTAGTGAACAAAATTCAGAATGTTTTCTGATTTTCAAGAAAGCTTACGTAATTTTTGCTTGTTTCACTCATATTTGGAAAATCCATAGCCTCATAATGTGAAGAACTGCCCAGAGTAAAAAGCATCAACATTTGAGAATTCTCCTTACATCATCCATAGACATTCATATGAAGTCAATAAATTTTTACTTGTGGAAGAACACTAATGAAAGATAAACTTCTGCCAATTAGTTTAAAATCAAGAAGTGGTGGTAAAATTATATTTGTGGTTGTTCGGGGACTTTATAAGTATTATATAACGGTAAAAATTCTCATTTTTAAAAGAATTCATAGAAAATTAATGTAAGCACCTAAATTTTATTTATTGGATATCTATTCTATATCAAGCACTGTTTATAGACACCAAGGACATTAGAGTGAACAAGACAGACAAAGACATTTCTGTTATGGAGTTTATATTATCCTGGGAATAAACAAATACAATTTATAAGAAAATTTCAGGTAGTTTTAAGAGCTATTAAGTGAAACAGTTTATAAATGGATAAGAGGTGTCTGGGTAGGAGTATAAATATGGTTTTTAGATGGTTTTTGTTAGGTCAAGATAAGGGATTCGAATATGATTCTGAGGAATTGGAAACAATACAAAGGTTTTTAACTAGAAAGTAATTTGATGTGATTTATGTTTATTCTTTGTTCTGAAATCTACTTTGTTTGATATTGCTATAGCCACTCCATCATTCTTTTGATTAGTATTTGCATGATATATGTATTTATTTTTATCCTTTTACTTTTAACCTACAAATATCATTATATTCAAAGTAAGTTTCTCACAGATAACATACAGTTGGGCATTTCTTAATCTATTCCGACAATCTGTCTTTTAATGTTTGTGCTTCAGCTTGTCCAATTAAACTTCTAATATAATTAATTTGAATTTAGTTCTATCATTTTTTTATTTGTTTTATTCTTGTTCTCTCTATTTCTTCTTTCTTTTTTTTTTCTTTTGATTCCTCTGTTTTCTCTTTCCTGCTTTCCTTGGGATTATTTCAACCTTTTTTGTATCTCATTTCAATTTGTCAACTATATTTTTTATTATAGCTGTTTGTACAATTTATTTTTAGTCTTTGATATCATGATTACTATATGCATATTTAACTTTCCAAAATCAAACTTGATTCAATATTTTACCCCTTCGAGGACAATATAGAAACCTTATCACCATACAGGTACCTTTATTGTCCCTAGTTTAGATTACTGCTGTCTTATATATGACATCCACATACATTTAAAACACATTCAACAAAATTATAATATTTGCTTTTAAACATAAAACATATTTTAATAACGAAAGAGGAGAACAATAGTTTATTCCATATAGCCATACGTTTACCATTTTTACTACTATTTTTCATCCTTGATGTTCCAAGTTTCCTGGTGGTAACATTTTCTTTCTGCCTAAAGACATTGTTTAGTAATTTTCTAGAGCAAGCCTATACACAGTGAATTTTCCGTAATCTGAGAATGCCTTGATTCCTGCCTTGATTCCTGTTCATGCATGAAGAATATTTTCACGGATATAATGTTAGATTGAAATTATTTCCATCAGCATTTTAGGAAAAATGTTCCACTTGTTTCTGTCTTCCGTGAATTGTGATGAGAAATCCATAGTTGTTCCAATTGTTTTTGCCTCTAGGAGCCTCACTTTTCTCTGGCTGCCTTTGGGACTTTTTTCTCTCTAGTTTTCAATAGTTTAATTAAGTGTGTTTGGATGTGGATTTCTTTGAGGTTATCTTATTTAGGGTTTCTCTGAACTTCTTGAACCTGTATGTTTATAAGTTTCACTAATTTGAGAAAGTTTTTGGCAATTATTTCTTTATTATTTTCTGCACAGTTTTCCTCTCTTTCTAGGACTCTGATGACACAAAATTTAGATATTCTACAATTGTCCCGTATGTCTCTGAGAGCACTGTTTATTTTTTGATCATCTGTATTTATTGACCATACTGGATAACTTCTATTGATCTACTTTCAAGTTCACTGACTTTCCTTTTTCATCTCCACTTTTCTAATGAGCTCATACCTTGAAGGTTATGTTATTGTTGTTATTTCTTATTCATCCTTGGTTTTTGGGGCATTTTTAAATAGTTGCTTACAAAACCCTTGTAATAATAGTTACAACATCTATGTTACTTCAGTCTTGGCAAATATTGATGGTTTTTTCACATCAGGTGTTTTTCTGATTCTTCACATTACAAGTAATTTTGGATTATATCTTGATATTTTGTATATAATGTTATGAGGTTCTGCTTCTTCCTTAAATTCTGTGGAGACTGATATTTCTAGTTTAGAAGTCAATCAACCCAGTTGGAATCAGGCTATAAGTTCTGACAAGCTTTTTTTGTGTTGTGTTTGCAATAATAGTTTTCAAAATCTTTACTTTGCTGTTTGAATGTGGTCTGCATGTAACATACACAGTGGCCAGTCTGGGACCTGGGCAGTGATTTAGTTTTAGTTCAATTCTAAAGCATTTTTGTGATTTTTTTAAGTATGGAATCCATGCATGAAGCTTGGAGATGAGCCCAGGAGTCCATAAACAACTTTATAGGTCACTTACTGTGTTAGGCTATTTTTGCGTTGCTATAAAGAAATACTTAAGATTGGGCAATTTGTAAAGAAAAGAGGTTTAATTGGCTCACAGTTCTCCAGGCTGCACCAGAATGAAAACACCAAAATCTGTAGTAAATTGTGTTTGCCGAGTTAAACATGTGGACATAAAGTTTTTTATTTGTGCACAATCAGAGAATAGTCACATTTTCAGCTGAAAAATTTTACTTTTACCAAATATAAAAATATATAGTATTACTAAATATATGTATAAAAACAGAGTCAAATGTAGATTTTGAACTTGAAATTATAATAGCCTTTTTCTGATAAAACATATGTATCTTGTTTTTTGTATTATGAAACATATAGGCAAGATTTTGGATATTTGAACCCATTTATTGAGAAAAAGTATTTGAATGTTATTAAAATGGTAAATATAAAAATTATTCATATTGAATTATTTTTCCTAAAATATAATGAACAAATAAACAACTTCGATTAACATATATGGAAATCTGAAACTTAAATTTACTACACTGATAGTTAAATATGACCAAGTTCCCAACTCAAGTAAAACTTAAAGAATGCTGTAATTTAAATGATGCCAGGGTACCTTGATATTGTTGTTTTTTTCAGCATCTAAATTATCTTTATAAAATCAAGAAATATTGTAAAAATTCAGGATGATACAAATAAAAATATATTAATTTAACAGTTTTGATGTAATGTCAAGCCAATGTGACATCTCTAATTTCTTTTTGGTTTAGTTTTCTTTGCAGACTAATCTAGATCTCTTTTGAATGAGGACCAACAAACTTCATTTCCACTTTTATTTGGGTTTCTCACATAAACCTTTCTTTATTGCTTTGGAGCTCAAACTGACATAAGTTCCCCACAATTCTCTGAGCATTCAGATTTTAAGATTTATTTGATATGTTTATATTGGGGAAAACAAATTTTGGGGTCTTATTGGGGAATTACTCTAGATAATGTTTTTTTTTATCTTTATGAGTTTAAATTGGAGGTGCTTAATGAGAAAGACAGATATTTTGTGATTAAGCAATGCAACTGCATAAATGATGGGGAAATCATATGTCAACCTGAATGAGATGTGGCAAGACAAAATTTGTTGAATTGCAAAGTTCGTCCTGGACTAACTGCTTTGCCTATGCCCTACTTTGCCAGTGGCTCATATTTACTTGAGTTTTGAATTACTAGGTAAAACTTAAACTTGGCAAGATCTCTAGTTTATGTAAGTCAAATTTGGCCATACCTTAATAAATACATGTTTATTTGGCATCTAATGTGTATTCCCTCTTTTTAGACATTTCAATGGATTTACATTATTTTGGGGGAACAAATTCATACCTTAGCATGACCCCCTTGGCCTGCATGTCCTAGCCTCTACATCTATCTTTTAGTTTATCTCATTCCACTCCCATATCATTAAAAAAATTTATTTTAATTAATATACTTTTTTTGCACTTTTAGGTTTACAGAAAAAATATTGAGTGGAAAGTGTGGAAAGTTCTCATATACTTATCAATCTCCCCACCCCAGTTTTCCCTCTTAATAACACCTTGGATTAGTGTGATGTATTTGTTACAATTGATGAACCATTTTGATTAAATAAAGGTCATAGTTTCCAATGGGTTCATTCATTGGGTTATACAGTCCTATGGGTTTTGACAAATGTTTGATGGCATATATTCACCATTACAGTATCATACAACATAGTTTCACTTCTTTAAAAATGTCCTTGCTCCACCAATTCATCCCTCTGTTTCCCAGAGCCTCTGATAACCACTGATGTATTTATTTTGTCCATTATCTTTTCTAGAACGTTAGAAGGCCGCATAGTTAATGTTACACAGTACACTATAGTCTTTTCAGATTAGCTTGGTTTTCTTTGCAATATGCATTTAGAACTCTTCCATGTCTTTTCTTCATTTGATAGCTCACTTCTTTTTACTGATGAATAGTATTCAATTATGTGAAACTACCACAGTTTGCTTTTCCATTCACATCTTGAAAGACCTTTTTATTGTTTCCAGGTTTTGGCAATTATGAATAAAGCTGCTATAAACATTTGCTTACAGATTTTATGTAGACAAAAAGTTTTAACTCATTTAGATAAATACCAAGGGGCATGATTGCTGAACCATATGGTAACAACATGTTTAATTCTTGTAAGACACCTCCAAACTGTCTTCCAAATTGATTGTACCATTTTACAAAACCACCAGGAGTGGATGAAAGTTCTTGTTACTCTCCATCCTCACCAGCATTTGATGTTGCAAGAGTTTTAGATTTTAGTCATTCTAATAGCTATCTAGTGGTATCTCATTGTTTTGATTTGCAATTTCCTGATGGCTATAATGCGTCGTGTCTTTTCAAAGGTTTCCATTTGTTTATCTTCTTTGGTGAGGAGTCTGTTAAGAGTTCCTCCCCCGCCCTTTTTTAAATTGGGTCTTCTGTCCTCTTGTGGTTGAGTTTAAAGTGTTCCTTGTGTATTTTAGATACTAGTCCTTTAACAGATTTGCACTTTGCAAATGCAAATATTCTCTCTCAATATATGGTTTGTCTTTTCATTCTTATGACAGTGCCCTTTGTAAAGCAGAAGTTTCTAATTTTAATGACATCCAATTTAACAAGTTTTTCTTCCACGCATTGGTACTGTGATTTTGTTACTGTTTCTAAAAAGTCATTGTTGGTTGATACTACCTTAGTTAAACCCAGGTTCACCTAGATTGTCCTTTATGTTATAATCTTGAAGCTGTATAGTTTTGTGTTTTGCTTCTAGATTGATGATTCATTTAGAGTTAATTTTTGTGAAAGGCATAGGATCTGTATCTAGATTCATTTTTGACATGTGGATGTCCAGATGTTGTATAACCATTTCTTGAGAAGGCTATTTTTTCCCCATTGAACTGCCTTTGCTCCTGTGTCAAAAATCAGTTGAATATATTTGTGTAGGTGTATTTCTTGGCTCTCTCTTCTGTAGCATTGATTGATTTGCTTATTATTTTACCATTACCACACGGTCTTAATTACTCTAGCTTTATATCAAATCTTGAAGTTGGATAATGTCAGTCCTTCAAACTTGTTCTTTTCCTTCAATATTTTCTTGACCATTCTGGGTCTTTTGCCTTTTCATAAAAGCTTTTAAGTCAGTTTGTCTATATTCACAAAATAATATGGGGTTTTGACATGATCAATTTTGGAAGAACTGACATCTTGGCAAGATTAAATCTTCCTAAACATATACATGGAATATCTCTCTATTTATTTAGATATTTCCTTTGTATCATCACAGTTTTGTAGTTTCCCTCCAATATTTCATATACATATCTTTTTAGAATGATATCTAAGTATTTCAGTTTTGTTACTGCTAATTTAAATGATATTGTTTTTAATTTCAAATTTCAATTGTCCCTTGCTGATATATGAGAAATAAATTAACTTTTGTGTCCATCTTGTATCCTATAACCCTGCTATAATTTGCTATAATTACATATTAGTTCCATTACCCTTTATTTTTACATTTATTTCTTTAGCAAACTATTTTCACTTGCCTAAAAGACTAGTGCCCTTTCTAACATGAAAGCATTTACACATCCTCTGCTCTGAACCTGAAACAAAGTGCCCTACTCTCTGCTTCACCTTTCTACTCCCTTTCCCCTCTTTCAGATCTTTGCTTGATATTACCTTAGAGAGGAGTTTTCTCAATACAAAAGATTAACATAAATATTCCATTTATATACCTTCATAACACCCCAAATTTCTTCTGTCTGACAATAGCTACAGTCATAATTATATGTCTATCATCCTTATCAGACTATAAGCTTGTTACAGGCAGGTGTTATGCTTGTTCTGCACATTGTCAGCCTCTCACCCATTATTTTTTAGTATGCACTAGACTTTCACTGCCTGTTTTTGACACATTAAGTCACATCAAATCTTTGCATGCATGCATAAGTCTTCCCACTGAAATAATTTTGAAACTCTCTAAAGATGACAAAATATCCTTTACTTTTCTTTTCCTTTCTGAGCTTTGCCAGTTCTAATAGTATTGCTTTGAATTTTTAATACATTATTTAAATAAATATTATTTTTACTTAATCCACAAATACATCTGTAATTTTTAACTCCTCAACCCTAATTTTGCCAAGACCAAAGATGAAAATGTTAAAGTTTTTTCATATTCTTCTGCTTCCTTTTCTTTCCTTTAAATTAAATATTTTTGTGTTCCAACTTATGATAACAGTATGATTAAAACTGTCAAATATAGCACATAACATTAAAGACACTATATCTAGCGATGGTGGTTGAAGAAATTGCATTTAGTTAAGATATGTTTTGAATACATGAATAATTATTGCATCTCAGAGCATAATACTTGTTTTGTCACAGCTAGAAAGAATAGAGCACAAAGGATAGTAAACCTCATCAATGTGATGGATTTTTTGTCATTGAGAAAGTGTATTTGAACAAAATTACCAAACCATCATAGGATTAATGTGTGCCATGGCTACACTTGACATTCATTTATTTATTGTTATTGAATTTACACTTGTTTTTCTTTCATAGTTTTATGGGTTAGATTGTAGTCTATGTACTGTATTAGGGTTAACATTTCTAGTTTGGAAAACAAAGACATGTAAACCATATTCTTCTTCAAAGCTCACTTTTTTTCCGCAAAGTTCAAACCCGGAGTCTTCTTGAATGTTGTTTTATTTTTCTTTATTTCTGCCATTATAAAATTAAAATAGATGAGTCTTAGAGACAAAAATAGGAAAAAAGTCATGCCTCATATATATTCTATAAAAATTAACCCGTGTTTTTGCAAATTTTCATATGAGAAATGACTTGTTGAACCTGCCAGAATTTTTTCCATTTATATATTAGATACTCACTACTGTTAATGTTAGTTATTTAGTTTCCTCTGTAATCTACATGCAAATAATATCAATCAAAACCAGAAAAAATATATAGTCCTTTTCTTCACTAAACTAAAGACAGCAGAGAGACACAGAACTAAAGACAGCAGAGAGACAAGGATGAATTAATGTGATAAATGCTATGATAGAGTTATGAGCAAAGGGTCCGGGGACGGGAGGGATTCCTAACCTGACTGATGTGGTAGAGTGTGGAGGCAAGAAGTGCTTCTAGAAGTGATCACATATGATGAGCTTTGAATCCATATAGTCATGTAAGTCTCCTTCCGTTGCCCATGCAAAATGTTGTGCCAAGATTAAATCTTGAAATAACCCTGATGAAGTTTTAGAGATTTCTAAATTCAAGTTTTCTAGCACTTAAGTGATTGAGCCCTGTCAGTGACTACTTTGAGCTATTATATGTATTACATAAAGATTCAGCATCATTAATAGTTATATTTGACTTGATTTAATGAAAAATTATGTGCAGCTGCTATTTTCAAAGCATCATGGTGGGTGTTGACAGGACACAAGATAAGGTAGCAATGATTTTGCCTCTTACTAGGCATAAAATCCAATGGAGCATTTCTTCTGGCTTACCTCAACTTGCTTATGTATAAGAAAGTATAGGATAATTAGTTTAATATATAGTTTTTCCTTATTGACTTGCTTACTTTCTTTAATTAATAGGAATAGTCTTAATAGCAGATATTTTAAATAAACAAGTTTGTTTCTAGGCCAAAATAAAAACCAAAATGTCACAAGATTTGTAAAATGGCTAAGCATGCTTTTTAACTTACTGTCCAGTTGTAACAGCTATTTTGCAGGTGCGCTATTGAATTTATTTTTTAAAAGTGAGGATCTTTTGATAGGATAGTGTACACTGCAAGTATAATTTGTTAAATGAAACCTTGCTGAGGTGAGGGCACTGCTCCTGGGGTGCTACTAAATAGAGACAGCATGGCAGCTGCCCTTCCTTGCCACAGTAATAACAGGACTCTATTCTTAATGGTAACATTGGGATGACTGACAGCAGTTCTGGACTAATGCCTCAGAGTGACTACCTCTAGCTTCAGGAGTCGAGGCAATGGGACCCAGTTGCTGCTGGCATTATTGTAATTATTATCCAATAATTATCACTTGACTACTTGGGCAAAATATTTTATTTACTTATAATTAGTTATTTCTAAAAATGTAACTGTCAGTAAATTATGTAAAATAAAAATCTGGCCAGGAATGGTGGCTCACGCCTGTAATCCCAGCACTTTGGGAGTCCGAGGCAGGTGGATCATAAGGTCAAGAGATAGAGACCCTCCTAGCCATCATGGTGAAACCCCATCTCTACTAAAAATGCAAAAAATTAGCTGGGCGTGGTGGTGCATGCCTGTAGACCCAGGCTGAGACAGGAGAATCCCTTGAACCCAGGAAGCAGAGGTTGCAGTGAGCCGAGATCATGCCACTGCACTCCAGCTTGGCGACAGAGCGAGACTCCATCAAAAAAAAAAAAAAAAAAAAAATCTTAGAAAAAAGTTTATACCTTTTGAAAAATAGCAATTTTATTAATTGCTATTTTATTAATTGCTAATAAACTAAATTAAACTTTAGTTTAAAAAAGCTTTGAGTATGACAAAAGTGGTGATTTGGAGACAGAGAGCAAAAGGAGATCATTCATGGTTAATAATTTCCTTCCACAGCACTCATTCAATAAATGTCATTTACTGATTTCATGATATATGTAAGGAAGGTAGCTGAAGTGGATCTTCACAGAACTGATAGCTATGCCATAAGAGGAAAGACTCACTGGGGCAGGGGGAGAGAGGTTGATTAAACTTAAACTTTGTTTGGTAACAGTGTAGAGAATAGAGTGCTGAGACAAGTTGATGCAAACAGGATACCCATGAGGACACTGGCACATTTTCTAGATGAGGAAACCAAAGGCCTGAGTTGGAGGTGTGGCAATGCTAAGAGTATTAGGAGTTCATAGCTTAGAAAGATGAATAGATCATTAATAAAGTAAAATTCATGAAGAAAAGTTTAAAAATATATGACTCCATTGTTTTGAACTGAGTGACAGAAAAAAAATGGAAATAACATTAACAATGAGAGCTAATATACAAACAAGCAGTGGCCAAATTATATAGAATGACAGAACCTGAACCCCAAATCTGCAGCAGTCACGGAAGGCAAACCACAATCTTTGTAGCAATTAGCCCCAGTGGCCGAGACTGGATTAATAATAGACAGCTTCCCTATTTTTGCCCCAGCTTGGGACTAACTGTAAAAGCTAAATATGCTGTTCTAAAAAATCACATAAATCACTAACTCTAAAAGCTAAATATGCTGCTCTAAAAAAAATCACATAACTTCTAGTTAGCTCTCCTTCAGTTTTCTCATGCAAACCACCTCCAGTCAGGGCATACCTGAAGCCTTCCCCTTTTTCCACAATAAAGCTTTCCCACTCCTCTTCCTGCCTTTAACCCTCTACCATAACAAGTGGTGAGGGCCTGACTCTCCACAAGCTCTGAATAAATAGCTATTGCTTGTTCTCATTTGGGTAGTCCTTGTTTATTTCCACAACAGAGAGAAGGAGTTGAGTTTAGAAAAAAAAAATCAAGGTGATGAAGTAACTTTTAGATTTGACTAGGTGTTGTATTAAGACCTCCATGTAGGTCTGCCTAATAGACAATGCAATATTTAATACAGCATTCTGAAGAAGAAAAACTGCAAATTTCTGTAGCACTCCAATTCACATTATTCAGTACACTAAGGAAAAATGATTAACAAAGTGAAACAAGCAAACAAAAACAACTTTCCACTGGGTTGGTAAAAGATTAGCATTGTTAAACACAAAATGCACTGGACCAGTAAGGAAATGATTTTATTCAGGCTGCTGCAATTGGGAGAACTTTTATTAATCAGGAATGTGTCAAAAAAAAAAGCAAAAAAGTCTTGGGTTTTATAAAGGCAACTGAGCAAGGAAGGTATCTGAGAATGTTAGGGAGTCAAGAGGAAAGATGGAGACAAGCCTTATTTCAAATATATGAGGCTATGGTGGTTCTTCTTGACCAACTCTTTCCAGTTGGGAAGATATAAGTAAAAACAAAATCCCTTGCTTACCTACTAACCTCTACACGAAAGGAGAAGATAAAGAAAAAACATTGTACTATTCAATAAGCATTAAGCTAGAATGCGATCAACTTTGCAGACAATCTGCTAAGAGATTATAAAGACAGAAAGGAATCTCCCTGTTATCCAGCCAAGCAGATATAACTCATTACATACATATTCTCAAGACAAACAATAACTAGTCCTCATGTTAGAGGATTGATGGTAGAATTTGTTACAGGTATTTCATCCTAAATTCGGTTGATAATGGGATTGACCATCTGTGTTAACTAGGTTTAATCCAAAGGAAAAATAAGCTTGTCAAAGTTAGGATCCTATTATGCAGAAAATTAGAAGATAGGGAGCTATCTTCCTTGATGTATACATCTCAAAAGAAATGTTCTCTGGATCTAAAAGCTGGAAAGATGTTTATTTAGCTTTTAAAAAGATTTACATACATTTTAAAGAGACAGAGAAAGGACTTACTTGTTTTCTAAAATAAATGCTATAAGAAAGGGAATGGGGATGAGTCTCTTTCCTTCTTGTGAATAGGCTAGTTTTCATTTCTTTTTTGATTTGTCTCTACCCTTACAATGCTCCCTTACCCCTCCCTAGGAGTGTTCTAACCCCAGTTTCTTCCTTTCTTCAGTGGAGATAATGATATCAATCATACTGTGTTTTTGTGACGATTAATTGAACTTGTACATGAAAACATAAAACTATGCCTATTATGTAAAAATTTCTGAATAAAATTTCATTAATGAGCATGGTAATTTAATCGTACATATATTTATTCAGAAAAAGTTAAGCTATTATTTGTCTATTATTTATACAGTTAAGACTAAACTTGATAAAATAGCAAATTAAACAGGTCTGTAGCAAGCCACACATTTTTCTCTAATCAAAAAAGAATACAGAAGCACAGTGACTGGTGATTTAAGTTGAGAAAATACTTTCCTGGATTATAATTCTGAAGATACTGATACGGGAGTGATGGGAAGGGAAGACCGTTGTCCCTTTAAATGATAGGGAAGATGGGAAGAGAAGTGTTGGGTAGAGGAGGGCCGGGTTCCTGGCTAGGGCCTATGCCCACGGACCTAGATGAGGACAGGCACTCCTGCCTTCATGCCCAAATGCTGCATTTCCCAAGATCACCCTGGCCAGCCATGCCTTCACCCTGTGCCTATAAAAACCCGAGACCCTAACGGGCAGACACAAGTGGCTGGACATCGAGAGGAGCGGATCTGCGGAAGAAGATAAAAGCAGCTGGACATTAAAAGGATGCCAGGAGCACACTGACAGGCACAGGCCTGCTAGCAGGCCATCGACCAGCAGAACAAGGCAGAGTCTCTCAGGGCAGTCGGAAGAGAGCCTGAACACTGAGCGCCCCGAATCCAGGGGAAAACTCTTTGCCTTCTGGCTCCTCCATCTGCTGAGAGCTACTTTCACTTAAAACCTTACAGTCATTCTCCAAGCCCAGATGTGATGCAATTATTCTGGTACACAAGGCAAGAACCAGGGATAGAGAAAGCCCTCTGTCCTTGAAACAAGGTAGAGGGTCTAATTGAGCTGGTTGACACAAGCCACCTATAAATGGCAAAGCTAAAAGAACACCCTGTACCACACGCCCACTGGGACTTCAGGAGTTGTAAACATTCACCGCTAGACACTGCCGTGGGGTCAGAGCTCCACAGCCTGCCCTTCTGTATGCTCCGCTACAGGTTTGAGCATCAGGGCAACTTTTCCCATTTCAGTACTATGTAAATGTACTTGTTTTTCAAACTAATAGAAACTAATCTATTTGAGCAGAGGAATAGAGAAAGCCGACACAAATACACCAAAAAAGAGAGATTGTTATTTTTTCTTAAGGTTTGAGAAATGGAATCCCCTAATTTAGTGAGAATAAATCATTAAATCGGATGCCAAAATTTAGTCCTTTTAAAGTAACTTTGTACTTTAAAAATCTCTTTAACTCCTATAAAGTATGCATTCACAAGCAACCATTTGAAAACTAATGTTTTTCACTTAGAGGAAAACTGCTTCCCTGAAGCCAAAAAGAGGTAAGAATCAGGTAGGACTAGGCAGAACAAAATTACTTATGGAAATGAACACAGTATTTGAACACATCAGATGATAGAAGAAATAAATAGGCAATGGCCCAGAGCAAACTGTTGTTCTTGGGGGTTGAGATAAAAGCTCATGTTGGGTGAGTGAGGCAGCATGAGGAAATATGAGAAACCAAGGAAGAAACGTGAGTCTGGTCAAAAGACACCTTTTAGATCATTAAAATTGGAACAAAACTGCTAATGGTACAGGAGAAACTTTATTCTGCAACACAAAATGGCTTGCCTTTAAAGTCATGTAAAACAAAACAACTCAACCAAAATAATGACTTTCTAACTAATTAAAAACAAAACTTGCTATCCTCTTTAAGGGTGCTTAAAAATTTTAATTAGAAACTGCAAGTTTTCTAACATCTGTTAGATGTTTCGCCAAACGTATCAAGATGAGAGTTGCTATAACCTTTCTTCTTATACATTTTAATGTCTTCAAACACAACAGCGCACGTATTTCCTTAATTTCTTCATATTAAATGAGCTCCCAATTAAAACTATTTTAACAACTTGTTTCTCAATATTCTGGAACTGCTCCTTTCTGCGGTAAAAATTGTTTTAATTAATACTTATACTGTATTTTCAAAATATGAGAAAAAATATGTTTCTTTTAGAAAAGTTAGTCTTTTTTTTTTGATGTTATCCTAATATATATGTGGCAGGGTAAGCAAATATGAATAAATAGTTTATTCAATAAACTATGTAAAGCTTAACAATTAGATAATAACAATATGTTAAGTTATTCAAGTTTTGTGTTTAAAATGTATTTTATATTGAATTATCAACATAAGGTATTATCTGCTTGCTTGGTAAGAATCTTACTTCTTTCTGATAACTAATGTTACATTGATGTATCCATCCTTAAACAATATGTTTTTTTAATTATTATAATTTAAGTTTTAGGGTGCATGTGCACAATGTGCAGGTTAGTTACATATGTATACATGTGCCATGCTGGCGTGCTGCACCCATTAACTCGTCATTTACCATTAGGTATATCTCCCAATGCTATCCCTCCCCCACCCCCCACCCCACAACAGTCCCCAGAGTGTGATGTTCCCCTTCCTGTGTCCATGTGTTCTTATTGTTCAATTCCCATCTATGAGTGAGAACATGTGGTGTTTGGTTTTTTGTCCTTGCGATAGTTTACTGAGAATGATGATTTCCAATTTCATCCATGTCCCTGCAAAGGACATGAACTCATCATTTTTTATGGCTGCATAGTATTCCATGGTGTATATGTGCCACATTTTCTTAATCCAGTCTATCATTGTTGGACATTTGGGTTGGTTCCAAGTCTTTGCTATTGTGAATAGTGCCACAATAAACATACGTGTGCATGTGTCTTTATAGCAGCATGATTTATAGTCCTTTGAGTATATACCCAGTCATGGGATGGCTGGGTCAAATGGTATTTCTAGTTCTAGATCCCTGAGGACTCGCCACACTGACTTCCACAAGGGTTGAACCAGTTTACAGTCCCACCAACAGTGTAAAAGTGTTCCTATTTCTCCACATCCTCTCCAGCACCTGTTGTTTCCTGACTTTTTAATGATTGCCATTCTAACTGGTGTGAGATGGTATCTCATTGTGGTTTTGATTTGCATTTCTCTGATGGCCAGTGATGGTGAGCATTTTTTCATGTGTTTTTTGGCTGCATAAATGTCTTCTTTTGAGAAGTGTCTGTTCATATCCTTTGCCCACTTTTTGATGGGGTTGTTTGTTTTTTTCTTGTAAATTTGTTTGAGTTCATTGTAGATTCTGGATATTAGCCCTTTGTCAGATGAGTAGGTTGTGAAAATTTTCTCCCATTTTGTAGGTTGCCTGTTCACTCTGATGGTAGTTTCTTTTGCTGGGCTGAAGCTCTTTCGTTTAATTAGATCCCATTTGTCAATTTTGTCTTTTGTTGCCATTGCTTTTGGTGTTTTAGACATGAAGTCCTTGCCCATGCCTATGTCCTGAATGGTAATGCCTAGGTTTTCTTCTAGGGTTTTTATGGTTTTAGGTCTAACATGTAAGTCTTTAATCCATCTTGAATTAATTTTTGTATAAGGTGTAAGGAAGGGATCCAGTTTCACCTTTCTACATATGGCTAGCCAGCTTTCCCAGCACCATTTATTAAATAGGGAATCCTTTCCCCATTCCTTGTTTTTCTCAGGTTTGTCAAAGATCAGGTAGTTGTAGATATGCGGCATTATTTCTGAGGGCTCTGTTCTGTTCCATTGATCTATATCTCTGTTTTGGTACCAGTACCATGCAGTTTTGGTTACTGTAGCCTTGTAGTATAGTTTGAAGTCAGGTAGCATGATTCCTCCAGCTTTGTTCTTTTGGCTTAGGATTGACTTGGCGATGCAGGCTCTTTTTTGGTTCCATATGAACTTTAAAGTAGTTTTTTCCAATTCTGTGAAGAAAGTCATTGGTAGCTTGATGGGGATGGCATTGAATCTGTAAATTACCTTGGGCCGTATGGCCATTTTCACGATATTGATTCTTCCTACCCATGAGCATGGAATGTTCTTCCATTTGTTAGTATCCTCTTTTATTTCATTGAGCAGTGGTTTGTAGTTCTCCTTGAAGAGGTCCTTCATGTCCCTTGTAAGTTGGCTTCTAAGTATTTTACTCTCTTTGAAGCAATTGTGAATGGGAGTTCACTCATGATTTGGCTCTCTGTTTGTCTGTTATTGGTGTATAAGAATGCTTGTGATTTTTGTACATTGATTTTGTATCGTGAGACTTTGCTGAAGTTGCTTATCAGCTTAAGGAGATTTTGGGCTGAGATAATGGGGTTTTCTAGATATACAAACATGTCATCTGCAAACAGGGACAATTTGACTTCCTCTTTTCCTAATTGAATACCATTTATTTCCTTCTCCTGCGTAATTGCCCTGGCCAGAACTTCCAACACTGTGTTGAATAGGAGTGGTGAGAGAGGGCATCCCTGTCTTGTGCCAGTTTTCAAAGGGAATGCTTCCAGTTTTTGCCCATTCAGTATGATATTGGCTGTGGGTTTGTCATAGATAGCTCTTATTATTTTGAGATACATCCCATTAATACCTAATTTATTGAGAGTTTTTAGCATGAAGAGTTGTCGAATTTTGTCAAAGGCCTTTTCTGCATCTATTGAGATAATCATGTGGTTTTTGTCTTTGGTTCTGTTTATATGCTGGATTACATTTATTGATTTGTGTATATTGAACCAGCCTTGCATCCCAGGGATGAAGCCCACTTGATCATGGTGGAGAAGATTTTTGATGTGCTGCTGGATTCGGTTTGCCAGTATTTTATTGAGGATTTTTGCATCAATGTTCATCAAGGATGTTGGTCTAAAATTCTCTTTTTTGGTTGTGTCTCTGCCTGGCTTTGGTATCAGGATGATGCTGGCCTCATAAAATGAGTTAGGGAGGATTCCCTCTTTTTCTATTGATTGGAATAGGTTCAGAAGGAATGGTACCAGTTCCTCCTTGTGCCTCTGGTAGAATTCGGCTGTGAATTCATCTGGTACTGGACTCTTTTTCGTTGGTAAGCTATTGATTATTGCCACAATTTCAGAGCCTATTATTGGTCTATTCAGAGATTCAACTTCTTCCTGGTTTAGTCTTGGGAGAGTGTATGTGTCGAGGAATTTATCCATTTCTTCTAGATTTTCTAGTTTATTTGCGTAGAGGTGTTTGTAGTATTTTCTGATGGTAGTTTGTATTTCTGTGGGATCGGTGGTGATATCCCCTTTATCATTTTTTATTGCGTCTATTTGATTCTTCTCTTTTTTTTTCTTTATTAGTCTTGCTAGCGGTCTATCAATTTTGTTGATCCTTTCAAAAAACCAGCTCCTGGATTCATTAATTTTTTGAAGGGTTTTTTGTGTCTCCATTTCCTTCAGTTCTGCTCTGATTTTAGTTATTGCTTGCCTTCTGCTAGCTTTTGAATGTGTTTGCTCTTGCTTTTCTAGTTCTTTTAATTGTGATGTTAGGGTGTCAATTTTGGATCTTTCCTGCTTTCTCTTGCGGGCATTTAGTGCTATAGATTTCCCTCTACACACTGCATTGAATGTGTCCCAGAGATTCTGGTATGTTGTGGCTTTGTTCTCGTTGGTTTCAAAGAACATCTTTATTTCTGCCTTCATTTCGTTATGTACCCAGTAGTCATTCAGGAGCAGGTTGTTCAGTTTCCATGTAGTTGAGCAGTTTTGAGTGAGTTTCTTAATCCTAAGTTCTAGTTTGAGTGCACTGTGGTCTGAGAGACAGTTTGTTATAATTTCTGTTCTTTTACATTTGCTGAGGAGAGCTTTACTTCCAACTATGTGGTCAATTTTGGAATAGGTGTGGTGTGGTGCTTAAAAAAATGTATATTCTGTTGCTTTGGGGTGGAGAGTTCTATAGATGTCTATTAGGTCTGCTTGGTGCAGAGCTGAGTTCAATTCCTGGGTATCCTTGTTAACTTTCTGTCTCATTGATCTGTCTAATGTTGACAGTGGGGTGTTAAAGTCTCCCATTATTATTGTGTGGGAGTCTAAGTCTCTTTGTAGGTTACTCAGGACTTGCTTTATGAATCTGGGTGCTCCTGTGTTGGGTGCATATATATTTAGGATAGTTAGCTCTTCTTGTTGAATTGATCCCTTTACCATTATGTAATGGCCTTCTTTGTCTCTTTTGATCTTTGTTGGTTTAAAGTCTGCTTTATCAGAGACTAGGATTGCAACCCCTGCCTTTTTTTGTTTTCCATTTGCTTGGTAGATCTTCCTCCATCCTTTTATTTTGAGCCTATGTGTGCCTCTGCACGTGAGATGGGTTTCCTGAATACAGCACACTGATGGGTGTTGACTGTTTATCCAATTTGCCAGTCAGTGTCTTTTAATTGGAGCATTTAGTCCATTTACATTTAAAGTTAATATTGTTATGTGTGAATTTGATCCTGTCATTATGATGTTAGCTGGTGATTTTGCTCGTTAGGTGATGCAGTTTCTTACTAGTCTCGATGATCTTTACATTTTGGCATGATTTTGCAGTGGCTGGTACCGGTTGTTCCTTTCCATGTTTAGTGCTTCCTTCAGGAGCTCTTTTAGGGCAGGCCTGGTGGTGACAAAATCTCTCAGAATTTGCTTGTCTGTAAAGTATTTTATTTCTCCTTCACTTATGAAGCTTAGTTTGGCTGGATATGAAATTCTGGGTTGAAAATTATTTTCTTTAAGAATGTTGAATATTGGCCCCCACTCTCTTCTGGCTTGTAGAATTTCTGCCGAGAGATCCGCTGTTCGTCTGATGGGCTTTCGTTTGTGGGTAACCAGACGTTTCTCTCTGGCTGCCCTTAACATTTTTTCCTTCATTTCAACTTTGGTGAATCTGACAATTATGTGTCTTGGAGTTGCCCTTCTCGAGGAGTATTTCTGTGGTGTTCTCTGTATTTCCTGAATCTGAATGTTGGCCTGCCTTGCTAGATTGGGGAAGTTCTCCTGGATAATATCCTGCAGAGTGTTTTCCAACTTGGTTCCATTCTCCCCATCACTTTCAGGTACACCAATCAGACGTAGATTTGGTCTTTTCACATAGTCCCATATTTCTTGGAGGCTTTGTTCGTTTCTTTTTATTCTTTTTCCTCTAAACTTCCCTTCTCGCTTCATTTCATTCATTTCATCTTTCATCACTGATACCCTTTCTTCCAGTTGATCTCATTGGCTCCTGAGGCTTCTGCATTCTTCACGTAGTTCTTGAGCCTTGGCTTTCAGCTCCATCAGCTCCTTTAAGCACTTCTCTCTATTGGTTATTCTAGTTATACATTCATCTAAATTTTTTTCAAAGTTTTCAACTTCTTTGCCTTTGGTTTGAATTTCCTCCTGTAGCTCAGAGTAGTTTGATCATCTGAAGCCTTCTTCTCTCAACTCGTCAAAGGCATTCTCTGTCCAGCTTTGTTCCATTGCTGGTGAAGAACTGCATTCCTTTGGAGGAGGAGAGGCGCTCTGCTTTTTAGAGTTTCCAGTTTTTCTGTTCTGTTTTTTCCCCATCTTTGTGGTTTTATCTACTTTTGGTCTTTGATGATGGTGATGTACAGATGGGTTTTTGGTGTGGATGTCCTTTCTGTTTGTTAGTTTTCCTTCTAACAGACAGGACCCTCAGCTGCAGGTCTGTTGGAGTTTGCTAGAGGTCCACTCCAGACCCTGTTTGTCTGGGTATCAGCAGCAGTGGCTGCAGAACAGAGGATTTTTGTGAACTGCAAATGCTGCTGTCTGATCATTCCTCTGGAAGTTTTGTTTCAGAGGAGTACTCGGCCGTGTGAGGTGTCAGTCTGCCCCTACTGGGGGGTGCCTCCCAGTTAGGCCCCTCGGGGGTCAGGGACCCACTTGAGGAGGTAGTCTGCCCGTTCTCAGATCTCCAGCTGCATGCTGGGAGAACCACTACTCTCTTCAAAGCTGTCAGACAGGGGCATTTAAGTCTGCAGAGGTTACTGCTGTCTTTTTGTTTGTCTGTGCCTTGCTCCGAGAGGTGGAGCCTATAGAGGCAGGCAGGCCTCCTTGAGCTGTGGTGGGCTCCACCCAGTTCCAGCTTCCTGGCTGCTTTGTTTACTTAAGCAAGCCTGGGCAATGGCGGGCACCCCTCCCCCAGCCTCCCTGCCGCCTTGCAGTTTGTTCTCAGACTGCTGTGCTAGCAATCAGCGAGACTCCATGGGCGTAGGACCCTCTGAGCCATGTGCAGGATATAATCTCCTGGTGTGCCGTTTCCTAAGCCCGTCGGAAAAGCGCAGTACTCGGGTGGGAGTGACCCAATTTTCCAGGTCCCGTCTGTCACCCCTTTCCTTGACCAGGAAACGGAACTCCCTGACCCCTTGCACTTCCCGAGTGAGGCAATGCCTCGCCCTGCTTCGGCTCGCGCACAGTGGGCTGCACCCACTGTCCTGCGCCCACTGTCTGGTACTCCCTAGTGAGATGAACCCGGTACCTCAGATGGAAATGCAGAAATCACCGTCTTCTGTGTCGCTCATGCTGGGAGCTGTAGACCAGAGCTGTTCCTATTCGGCCATCTTGGCTCCTCCCCCAGTATGTTTTTTTTTTAATCCAAGAAAGAATAGCTATTACTTAACCTTCATTTTAAGAAATAGAGTTATAACTTATTGCTAATACCACTGGCTATCTTTCTAAATTTGAAAATGCTTTTATTTTCTAGAACTGAAACACAGGTTAATTGATTGGAAAGTAATTATCACAATTAATCTCTTGCTATCATATTCAAATCCGTAAATCTCTAGGAATAAAAGGATGTTGTTACATGAACTACTGGAGAAAAATGGAGGAAGTCTTTTTACCATTGTTTATTTAACAAACACACTCCATAAAATGTTACTCTTCATTTCCTCTATAAACATACTACACAACGTACTCATAATGCTAAAGTAGTTGTGGCTTTCAGGGTATACTCTACAGTATCTTCACTATTCTGAAAATTAACTTTGCTTTCCTCAAATTAATGCCATTTGTTCACAAAGTTATGTATGCTGGTTATACTCATAGCACTTAAATATCACCAAGGAAATATGAGAACAAAAATGAAAGTAATCTCTTTAAGTCCAAATGCTTTGAAAAAATTTTCTTTGAAAACGTTTTATAAATTCAGTTTGTTTATACAAATATTTTGCAAATTAGTTGTACCAATGACAATAGTATAAAATTTTATGTGAAAATCTAAAAAGAGGATGCATTCATTTTGATTCATAAATCATTATGTTTTTATTTTATTTAAAATAGGTTAAAATAAACAATTATTAAGATGAGTATGGCTGTGTTTTCTGTTAATGAAACAATGCTAGCCTGAAATGTGTATCCGTAGTTACAGAAATGTCCTTGACCCTATATCAAAATATTGTCAGCCACTATCAACAAAAAGTTATTAGATTAATAACTGCACAATTACTACTTTCAAAGTACTTTGTATCAAATTAGTCAACTTACAGGATGGCTCATATCACAGGAGAAGACCTTTAATGCGTGAGATGATGAGCTCATTGTGCAGACTGAAATAAGCACAAAGTACAAACAGGAATTTTGGTAACGGAACTTATGTCCAAGTGTCACACTCCATCCATTCACTTGTAGGTATACGTAGCTGCCTACCACGTAGTACATAGATATGCTACACATGTGGAGATAAAATGACAAGGAAAGAAGTATTTTCATGAAAAACAGGAACTTAAAAGTACTCTTTGAATTTTGTTTATTGTTTAGTATAATACTGACAGAATGGAGGGTTAAAGGTTAGAGATTGCAAATATGCTCATGAAAAATGAGGGAGATGGTGTCTTGTTTCATCTCTGACATGTAAAGAGCATAGATGTCATCACTTCTGCTCTGATAGCAAGAAACACACCGTACAGGCTGAAAATCAATTACTCTTCTTGGACATATGAAAGAACTGGAGTTCTACAGCAAACTGCCACTCTGAAATCTCGGGAGACAGGTGAATCCATAAAGTCTCAGTTGAGATTTGCTAAACTGGAGCAGAAGCTGCTGGAGCAGTAAACTGACAAGCACTCTTAAATGGTGATTTTGAAGAATCTGTCATACCTGAAGACTGAGTGTGGGCTAGCTTGAAAGTAAGAAACTTCTCTGGGCCACAGTCTTTAACAGGATCCCTCAAATATCCTAGATATGACCTCCAGGAACCCTGCCAGTGTCTCACAGTAAAAGCCAAGAAATCTCTCCTTTAGTGGGAGGAGGGGAAAGGTAACAATTGTGAACTATGAATGTCCAGAGCATTCATCCTACTAAAGACCTAATCCCCAGGGGCAAAGACTTTCCAGAACCTAATACCACCTGAAGGAAGGATATTTCTCTGGCCGCAGTTCCCTGTAGTTTACTTGTTTTGCTTGCGGGTTTGAAGGAAAGCTAAGAAATTATTTTGAAGGCAACAACCCAGGGACTCAAGGTCATTAGAAAACTGAGACTTAAGGATAAGATTACAGAATTTATCCTCCCCTATATCTTATCATCACAAAAAGAAGGGCAACAGTATAACAGTGGATTAAGTTTACATTTTTAAAGTGCATGAGTCTAAGTAGAAGTCTGTAATAAAGCACATTACAAAAACAAAAAAAAAGGGAGAGAGAGGGAAAGCAAAAAAGGAATTTGAAGCCTTGGACACAGCTACAGCAAACATTAGACACTGCCTAACTTCTGGCTAGCTAACATATGACCTCACACTAAAGACCTATTCATTTCAGTTCTTATCACCAGTATGTTTGGCTTTCAATAAAACATTCTAAACATGCTAAAAGACAAGAAAAAACACAGCCTGAAGAGACCAAGCAAGCACAAGAACCAGATTCAGATATGATGGAGATTTGGGAATTATTAGATTGGGGATTTTAAAATAAGTGTGATTAATTAGCTATAGGCTCTAAGGCAAAAATAGACAAGAAAGAACAGAACAATGTAAGCAGATAGATGGAAATGCTATGAATTAGTCAAAGAAAAATGTTAGAATTTTTTTTAAAACTTTGTACTATAAATGAAGAAAACCTTTCAGGAGATCATCAGGAGACTATACATAGTTGATGAATGAATCAGTGAACATGAAGCTAGGTGAATAGAAACTTCCAAAACTGAAAGGAAAAAAGAATGTTTAAAAAGCAGAACAGAACACCCCAAAACTGTGGGAAACTTTCAAAAGTTGTAACAAATTTATAATTGGAACATTCAGAAAATAAAGAGACAATGGAGCCTAAGAAATATTTGAAGCAACAATGGCTAAGAATTTTCCAAAATTAATTATAGATACAAGACTATAGATCTAAGAATGTTACAGAACAAGTAGGATAAATTCCAAAATTCTACACCTAAAGCTATATTCAAACTGCACGAAACCAAAACGGGAATCTTCTAAGAAGACAGGGAACATTTACCTGCAAAAAAAAAAAAAAAAAAAAGGATAAGAATTACAATTGATTTCTGGTGAAAAATGATGTAAGTAAGGATAAATTGGAATAAAATCTGTAAATCATTAAATATTTTTAAAAAACAGAATTTTATATCCAGTAAAATTATCCTTTTAAACTGAATAAATGCTATCTCAGACCAAAAGAGGAAAGAAAGAAAGACTATTTATTGCCAGCAGACATTCCCAGAAAAAATTTAGAAGAAAAACATTCAGGGAGAATAAAATTATATAGACAAAAAACTTGCATCTATTGGATGTGCCTCAAGAGACTCCTTTCTTCAACTGACAAAAACAATAAAGAATAATTAAAAGTTCAAGTAAAACTTTTAATTTTTATATTCCTAGTTGACTTAAATAAGTGTTAGTTTAAAGCAATAGTAGTCACACTGTACTGAGTCATGATAGTTCATGATTAAGTGAAATGAATGACAGCAACATCAAAAGGAATGAAGAAAGGAATTGAGAATATTCTGTTTTAAGATCCTTGCCCTACATACAGAGTATGTAGGTATAACTAGGTAGTTAAAAATGTATATTGTAAACTCTAAAATAACCACTAATTTATTTTAAAAGGAAAGATAGTTTATATACTAAGAGAGAAGAGAAAATTAAATCACATACACTCCCCAGTTAAAACTAGACAAGAGATAAAGAGAAGATAGAAGATTTTTAAAAAAAATAGAAGAGAAAAACAAGAAGAAGCAGAAGCAACACCAAAAAAGAACCAGTGCAATGAATAGAAAACAGCTACAAATTGGTTAGGTCCAACTGTATCAATAATCACTTTAAATGTGATTATTTTAAATACTTAAATTTAAAGACAGAAAACTTCAGAGTGAATATAACACCAAGATGCATATATATGTTCTGTGCAAGAAACTCATTTTAAAGGTTAAAAGTTATATATGTCAAAAATAAAAAGAATAGAAAACATAGCATATTTATAAAGAGAAAGCTGGATAATTTATGTTACTTTCACACAAAAATAAATAAAAAGAAAAATAAATAAAAATTAAATAATACAATAAAATTAAAAGAAAGCTGGATGATTTATGTTACTTTCATATAAATCAGACTTTAGAAAAGAAAATTATCATACATATAGAGGGTCAATACATTATAATAAATAAATTATTTCTCTAGGAATACATAAGAATCCTAAATGTGTATGAACTTAACACAGACTTTCAAAATATTTGCAGGAGAAATAATAAGCTGATATAACTAAAAGGAGAAACAAACAAATCACTATTATAGTTGAAGCCTTCAATACCAATCTTTCAATAACTTATTGATAACCCAGGCAGAAAATAAGTAAGGATATAGTTAACCTGAAGATCACTATCAATAACTTGATCTAGTTAACATTCGGGAAATACTACCCCCAACAAAATCAGAATATACATTCTTCTCAAGCTAGCATGGGATATTCACCAAGGTTTGACATACTGGGCCATAAAGCTCACCTTCAGTATTAAAAAAAAAATAGAAATCATAAAAAGTATATTATCAGACCACAATTATATTAAGCTAGAAATAAGAGAAAATTAGCTGGAAAATCTCCAAATATTTGGGAATTCTAAAACACAGTTGTAAATAACATGTGTCAAAGCAGACTCAAAATATATATTTTTAAAAAATTATACTAAGTGAAATAAAAATGCAATTTAAAATTCAATACTGTAATACAGCAAAATATAGTATTTGTAATACTGCAAAAACATGACTTAAGGGAAATTGATAATATTAAATGTGTACGTTAAAAAAACAAGCAAGACCTAAAATCAATAATGTAAGCTTCTGTCTTTGAGAACTAAACAGAGTAAAGCAATTTAAACCTAAAGCAATCAGAAGAAAAGAAACAATACAAACTAAAGCAAAAAAACAATAAAATTGTAACCAGGTATACAAACCAAAACCACAATGAGATATCATCTCACACAAGTCAGAATGGCTATTATTAACAAGCCAAAAATAACAGATGCTGGCGAAGTGGCAGAGAAAAAGAAACACTTATACACTACTGGTGGTAATGTAAATTAGTTTAACTACTGTGGAAAACAGTGTGGCAGTTCCTCAAAGAACTACAAACAGAACTACCATTTAACCCAGTTATCCCTTTACTGGTTATATACCCTAAGGAATATAAATCATTTTACTAAAAAGACATATTACATGTTCATTGCAGCACTATTCACAATAGCAAAATGCAATCAACCTAAATGCCCATCAACAGTAGAGTGGATACATCAAATGTAGTAAATATACACCATAGGATACTATGCAGTGTAAAAAGAATTGGAATATGTCCTTTGCAGAAACACAGATGGAGCTAGATAGAGGCCATTATCCTTAGCAAACTAACCCAGGAACAGAAAACCAAATGCCACACGTTCTCACTTATAACTGGGAGCTAAATAATGAGAATTCATGGATAGAAAGAGAGAAACAAAGGACACTGGGGCCTACGTGAACTTGGAGGGTGAGAGGAGGGAGAAGATCAGAAAAAAGTACTATCAGGTACCAGGCTTAGTACCTGGGTGATGAAATAGTTTGTACAGCAACACCTCGTGTCATGAGTTTACCCATATAACAAACCTGTATGCGTAACCCCTCAATCTAAAATAAAAATTAAATAATAATGAAAAGGTATACAGTAGAGAAAAATTAACAAATCAAAAGTTGCTTTTTCAAAAGATTAATAAATTGGTAAACCTATACAGGTTAAGCCCAGTCATTGTCATTGGTTACTGTCAGACAATAGGAGATATTTAGAAGAAAAGGTAATGATGCACACACAAGAAAATGGAAAAATTTGACATGAAATTAGTATCAAATTAGTTAAATCTGAGAACCATGGGACTTTTTCAAGTTGGCTAATTTTATGTTCATTACAGCAGGTTGCTATTTATTAACTTATTCAGTTTAATATTTATTGATGGCCTATTGTGAGTCAGACATTGTGCTAATTCTGGGGACACAAACTCAGGGTCAAGCAGCTTGCAGCCTCTTGCGGAAGACAGATATATATATCTATATCTATATATATATCTATATCTATATATATCTATATCTATATCTATATATATATATCTATATCTATATATATATAGATATAGATATATATATATAGATATATATATATATACAAACTAATATAAATAAATGTAAAATTGCAAAACAGCACATATCTCAATAGCATATAAGTACCTTACATACTAAATATAAGATATACATAATGTTTCTAAGACAGAGATGTAACCTAATCAAGAATACTACAGACATTCTCACTCAGGTAAAAACAATCAAAGTGAAATATGAATAATGAGTAAGTCTTAATTGGGAGAGGATGTTAAAAATATTAGGACACAAATAGGACAAAAAAGGCCCGTAGATGCAGTATGATTTATCATTTTGTAGTTAAGAAGTGATAGAAAAATATCTTATTATATGTAATTTTATATAGATAGATGGTTTTATGGAAATGGAAAAAAATATAAGTAAAACATTCTAGAGAAAACATTTCAGAGATTAACTGGAAGACCTTAAGATACACAATAACTCTGTACTTAGAATAAAAAATAAAAACTAATTTCTGATTAAAAGCTGGTTAGTTGAAATATTTTTCAACAGTATCATCTATCATTAACAACATAAGAAAATGTCTCTTACCTACTCTCATAACGGTAAATTATGCCAATGAGGTAAAACATAAAAGGCAAATGTGTGTGTGTGTGTGTGTGTGTGTGTGTGTGTGTGTGTGTGTGTGAGAGAGAGAGAGAGAAATATACTTGGAATGTTGGAATGACATAAATATTAGTATTAATAGCTGATGTGATGACATAATTGCCTGCTAGTATCTCCACCTCCAACAATAGCTGCCTCTCAGAGGAAGTGAAAAACTGAGAATAAGGAGTTCTGCAGAAAGGTGACTGGAATTAAAACTCATATTCTACTATCAACAACCTTCCCACATACAATAGATAATAATTAACATAACTTATTTTACCTATTCAATAACAGATATAATAAAAGTGATATAAAAAAATAAAAGGAATGAAAGACAAAGTGTTATAATATACACAGGTTAAAAAAACAAATTTAAGGGACTGATTATATTTTCTAATAGATGACTCTAAAGAATATCAGTTATTGTTTCATAATTTATAGACACTTCTTTTTCAATAGCTTATAATAATTATTTTGAAACTATGACAAAAACATTCTTAAATGTATAAATCAAGGTAGAAAGAAAAAGAAAAGCTGAAAGATTTTCTTTTTTTTATTATTATACTTTAAGTTTTAGGGTACATGTGCACAACGTGCAGGTTTGTTACATATGTATACATGTGCCATGTTGGTGTGCTGCACCCATTAACTGGTCATTTAGCATTAGGTATATCTCCTAATGCTATCCCTCCCCCCTCCCCTCCCCAACAACAGTCCCCGGTATGTGATGTTCCCCTTCCTGTGTCCATGTGTTCTCATTGTTCAATTCCCACCTATGAGTGAGAACATGCGGTGTTTGGTTTTTTGTCCTTGAGATAGTTTGCTGAGAATGATGGTTTCCAGCTTCATCCATGTCCCTACAAAGGACATGAACTCATCATTTTTTATGGCTGCATAGTATTCCATGGTATATATGTGCCACAAGTCAAGAAAAACAAAGGGAAACTTGCTTTGACATATTTTAAAACATGTTATAAATCCATGTAAATGGTTGAATTTTATACAAAACAATGAACAATTCAGCCAGTCAAAACAGAAGTATCACTGAGGGAACACCTTAAGCTAACAAAATATTTGTAGAAAATTCATAGCATCACAAATTGTCAAAAAATAAGAATTATTTAAAAATTGCTAAGAAAAAGGGCAAACTATATGAACACATATACAATGATAACCCCCACCCACCATTGCATGAGCATAAGACACATAGGAAATATGAAGGAAAATATTGTCTGATCTCAGGATCAAGATGGATCTTATATCCATCAAACAATTAAAATAAGCCACAAAAATCTACAATATAGTTTACTTTTCTTTCAGTGATGTACACAATTTAAAACAAGTAAAATAAAAATGTACATAACAAATCAATACAAAATTTTCATAGATATCACAAACGATGTTAATGCTCTAGGGAGTTTTGAAAACCAATTTACTCTGATTTTCCTATTGGAAAGTTCATGTTCAAAAAATCCACAAGAGAAGAACTGCAATTGCCAATAGCATATGACAAAAATTTCCAAATTACCATTGATCAAAACACATTATAGTATACATGGAATGACATTCATTGTTGTGATATACACGATAGCACAGATTAAATGACACTTTTATCTTGCCAAACAGAGAAAATGTTTTAGAAAATAACATCCAGTACTCATCAGGGTATAATAAAATGTCCAGTTTTGTAGCCTCAAAATAGCAAAGCAGTACAACCTGTCAGGATTGCAGTTTTACAATATTTATCAAGGTATCTTCTTAAATACAGATCCCTTAATAGATGAACTCTAGGTATTAAAATGAAGAAAATAATTAATAGCTAAGTAATTAGTTGTAAAGGAGAATGCTCAATTCAGTGCTATTTTGATAGCAAAATATAAGAAATAAGGGGAAAATAACACAGTAGTGTTATAGAATAATATACGTTGAAAAAGATTTAGTTATTGGAGCAATGTGTATTTAATCCCAAATTTGATGTATCTATACAAATTAAAATTAAAGTAATTTTTGAAAGTGCAAATATTTACTAAGAATGAGAAAAATTGTTAGAAATTTTAAAATATTGAAAAATAACATAAACATGAAATTTACAAAAAGAAAATATTTTCATTAATTGACACCCTAATGCCTTTGGTATTATGATGTGAAATAGTGTTCCATGAAATAAAATATTGATTGTGGCATGACACTAAAATCCAATCTGATCCAATAATATGTTATATAATCTAAATTATGGAATATGTATGTACACATAATAAAACAAATTTTATATATGTTGCTATCTTGTAGCTTCTTTTAGCAGTTAAGGTATGATTGATAAAGTTTACTTTTTATGTTTTTATTTGTTTTCTAAATTTGCTATAAATTTTTCTAATTTTCTTATAAATAATCATTTCATAATCTCAAAAATTAAACAGCTTATTTTAATAGAGTGAGTTAATCTTCTTTCTTTGAATTGTATTTACCAAGTGTAAGGGGAAAAAGACAACTAGAAAGACAAAGTTCAAATCTTTACCTTCTCTTTTCCCATAATCTTCAAATATTTTGATATGATTCCTTGGTGTTTGCTAAAGCACTTCTGGACAGAAAAGTAAAATAGTACATCAAATCCTTGAAATAACAACATTCCTGCTGCCTCCATGAACTGCCTGAGTCCTCTGATTTCCCTGCATAAGAAAGGGAAAATGTTCTTAGTTCAATTTTGCTTAAAAATAATCCATTGAGATTCCAACTTTTAAAAGTATATAAATAAATCTTGACTTCCAATATCTATCTGAATACTGCCTAAAACTGAAGACCAATATTTGTCCAGCGTCCAGGATATGCATTCCCACCTAGTGTGAAACTTCTAATGAAGAGTGTACAAGATTGTAGAGAACCTTACCACCTTATCCAGAACAGCATGTGCAAGGGAGTCATGTTATTATTACACAGCAATTACACTTTCATAATCTTTACACATGATATTTCAATGTTTATCTTACATTCCTTAAAATATTCCATATCTCAAAAATTAATATGAAATCATTGCATTCTCTTTACAGGCAATAAAAACTACCACCGATTGTGAACATTGTTTTATTCCACTCCAAAGACTCTTCAAGTGAATATGAGCTACATACAAAGAAATAATTATATATATATAATACAAACAAAGAAATACAATATGTATGAGCTACATACAAATATGTATGAGCTACATACAAAGAAATAATTATGTATGAGCTAATACAAAATGTGTATGAGCTACATGCAAAATATGCATGAACTACATACAAAGAAATATATATGTATAAAATACATAATATATATGTGAGTATATATGGGTGTGTGTGTATATACATATTATATATATATAAAGAAAGAGAGAGAGAGAGGAGTAATTCTTCCAGGTAAACTAAAATTAAACTTTCTGAAAAAAATACAAAATTAAAAGCTCAATAACCTTCAACTTAATTTCATTTTATCCAACTTTAATTTATCACATTTAATATAAATAAATAGTGATAAAAAATTTAAACCTATCATAGTTCAAAGTAAAAACTCTCCTCTAAAAGCACTTTATGAACTATGTAATTTTAAACCAAGATCAATTATATGGCATGGTACAGCACACTCGTAGAATAACATTATATATGAATAAATATTAATTTAATTTTATTGACAAAATATTGAGGTTTACTATAGATTTTAGAAGACTTTTGCTATTATAAAGTAATAATTAAAGTTTTATGGTGTATATATTGTGGAAAAATAAAATTTTCATGGCTTTCTCAGTGTTTCTATACAAATTTCAGTTTCTTGAGTACTGGAAATACATATAGTGTAAAGATAGAGAATACTTGCTTTCACTTCCCTTAGAAACATTTTATTTTTTACATGTAATGAGGATTAGATCAGTATCTTAATGAGCAAGCTAATGGCTTTCATTAAAAAAACTTCCCCTTGTCTCTTTAAGAGCCCAAAGTTTACATTTCCAGATAGACAACTAGGCTAGAGCATTATTTTTCTTCCAAAGAAATTCTCTCAGAAGGTAAGGGGAGAAAATAATATCTTTCCCCTTTATAAAAGGAGGAAATTAATATTTTCCCAATCCTTAGCTATACAGCGAGCTCACAATGTCTGTAGAATATTTTTTCCATTTGGTTTTCAATAATATTGTTGTTCAGGGTTACTGGGTATGTACGGACAGACAGCCATATTACTTCAAAGGATTGTTGATTGGGCTGTGAGTATAATAAAGCTCTTTACTGTGATCCACATTAATGTACTTGATATATACTGTGCAAGTGGGGTAATATTTCAGACTTTTCACAGTTTCTGGCATATATTTAAGTATTGTTTTCCATTTATCTTTAAATAGACTCATTTGTTAATAGGGAGGCCATTAATATAAAATATTGTATTTGCAATTTTTTCTTTGCATATTCTTAAAAGTTATTTTTCCCCAAATAGTAACCTTTCAAGTTGTGCTCAGACATAGTTTTATGACATAAGAAAGCCCCAAAAGATAAAAATTGATCATGGATACAGTGGAGATTTCTTAATTACGATAGCATAAAAACAGGCAGCATGATTTATGATGGCTCAAGCTCCATTTGCAAGTTGTAGCCTAGAGATTCTATCTCACAATTATTACACCCCTTTTGTTATTAACAGGAAGCAAAATAAATTAGTAATATTATCCTAACATTTTTCAAATGTACTGAATTACTTATCAGAGGACTCTAATATCAAAACATCTATTATTTATTTTGTAAGTAAAGCAGGATAGGAAATCCATCAAAGCCAAGAAGGAATTTTTTTTAAATTAGAAATGTTAAAATGAAATGCTTGATTTGAAAACAGCTGTAATCTTGCAATAAATTTTGTCTTCTGCAGTATAAAAAGGTTATATTCGGTTCTTTAGCTGTGAATATTAATAAAATAAGGTACAGTACTATAATTCTGATTAATTTAAAAACTTGAATGTTGATAGGATTCATTCAGATCATGCAGCTAATAGATACTCTAAAAATTAATATCTCAAAATTATAAATATCAGTTAACTCTTGAAATGTATTTAAGTAATCAAAAATCACAGTTCTATATTTACATTTAAAACTGTATTTATAGCTTATATATTTCATATTCTAGCGTCATGATAAATGCAAGTCATAATCACATCTAAAGGAATCAATAATCCAGGCAATATTACAAGCTAGCTGTGTAAATCTATTTCTAATATATCCACTTGCATATTTTCATTTAGTACTCAATAAATTGTGAATCATTATAACTCTTTTAAGTATATTTCCATATTCTTATGAACACAAAACTACATTTCCTAAAATTAAGAAATCATATTTAATGTATTTTAAGTATGCTTTACAAAATTATCCTTGAGAACCAGAACACTTTTCATGACCAAATGAAAAGATATGTTAGCAGAAAACAGATCAAAATGGTATGATAGTTTCATTTACATATACAGTTATTTGTGCCATAAATATTTTAAAGTATATACTTAGTAACTTTGATCTACAATCTACACAATGATAAATATGTTGTGTATTATAACTTCCATTGTATGTACACTGTGCACACAACTTACAAAAGACCTATTATCAGGGACAAAATTGTGAAACTAATTATTAAGATATTTCTAATTTTTTAAAAGATTTTCCTATATTTCCTATTACCTCTTTCTCTCCTTTCATTGTCTCATCTACCTTCCCTAAATAGATTTTTGTTCCTATCACTTCCCTGACACCTTTCTTAATACCCAATCTCTGTGTTGCCAAATTCAATGATCATTACAATAACCTCACCTCAGTATTTCACTCAGTAGTGATTGATATAACTGATCTTTCTTAAAATACTTTATTTTCTTGGCTTCTGTTACACTTCTTTCTTCTGATTTTTATTTCTGATCACTGGTCAAACAAGAAATTGTGTTAAGCCTTGTTCAACTGTAATGTGTCTCATCCTCTTCATTCAGTTTTTAAATGTGGGAATGCCCCAAGATTCTGTCCTGGAATGGCTTCCCTTCTTAGCCTGCACAATCTTTTTAGAACTCACATCCTAAATATTAATCTGTATACTGATTAATTTTATATTTTTATGTCTCCAATTCTAACCCCATCTGTGTATATTAGGTTTAAATATTGCTATGATTTGATACTTTGTGACTGGCAGAAATACATGTTGAAATTTAATTTTCATTGTGGTGGTTTTAAGAGATGGAGACTTTAGAATCTAATTAGATCACAAGGGCACTACCCTTATGAATGGGATCAGTGCCCTTATAAAAGTAGTTGAAGTGAGCTGGCTTGTTCCTTCTGCCATGTGAAGGCACAGCAACAAAGTACTATGTGTGTGAAATGGGCCTTCACCAGACATTGAATCTTATGGTGTCTTGATCTTAGTCTTCACAGCACCCAGAACTGTGAGCAATACATTTCTATTGTTTATAAATTACCACAGTCCAAGGTATTTTGTTATAGCAGCCAACAAACTAAGACAAATATTCAAATGCTATCTATCTAAGTAGGCAGATGTCTCTGTGCAAATCTGCTCTTCTCAGTCTTCCATTTCTCAGTAATTGGCACTGTGACCCCTTTGTACTTAGAATAAAATTAGCAGCTGCTTAATTCTTCCATTCTCCTCCCTTTTTCATGTACTCTGTTATCAGATCCCACAAACTCTACATCTACAAATTAACCAAATTCCACATTTTTTCACCTTATGTGACTCTTGACTCCCAGTGATTCTCCTTTCTTTCCTGGACCAGTAAAATAACCTCCTATGTGGTTTCTCTGATTTTATTCTTCCCAAATACTTTCTGCATGAAGCAAATAAAGTAATCTGTTTAAAATATATATTGGATGTCAGCTACATGCTTGAAAATTTTTAGTAGCTTATTACCCATTGGAAATAAAACCCAACCCCTTTGTCATGGAATGCAAGGGCTGGCATGATTGGGCTTTTAGCAGCATCTCTTACAACACGCACTATCACTTTCTCCTTTGTATACTGTCCTCTCTCCACTATGTTTTTGATTTTGTTTTCCATCTGAGAAATATGTTAAACTCATTCTTACACTGGAGCTTTCACACTGTTTCCTCTTCTTAGGAGTCTTTCATCTGATTTGTCCACAGATTGATTCATTTATCATTAAATCTTAAGTTTCATATTCTTGTGTCAAAGTGAACTTCCTTTAGCACCAAATGTCTACATTAGAATGCCTACCCAAGATCTCAATCACTATTATATCACTCTCTTTTATCTCTATTGCCTGAAAACATATTGACATTTTCTTGAATGCTTGTTATTTATTTTCTCTCTCTTACCCACTGTAATGTCTGCTCCAGGAAAGCAAGAGCCATGCATGTCTGTCCAGGGCAGTATCACCAGCATGTGAACATAGTAGAGTCGCAAAAATCTTTGTTGATTTAACAGACATAGTGCCTGAATTTTCAAAAAGGCAGAGATATGAAATTTAAAACAACTGCCATGATTTTTATTTTAAAATAAATACTTGTGTAATAATTGGCAAGATAAAAGTTCCAGTGAAAAGTCAATGAATTATAAATAAAATTTAGAGAAAAAATGGAGCTGTTTCTCATAAGATGGAGAACTATATCTTTGCTTCTGTGGCAATATTTTTAATTGCTGCACAACGTTAATATTGAAAATTGAAATCCTTAAATCATTCAAAATAAAATAGATTTATGACCAGCACCAATTTTCACCTTTGTTGATTCTTTTTTTTTAAGTGATTTTCTTCTCAGCTACATTCCCTCTCATTATACCTTGTTCTTATTTTTATTGGCTTATTGATCAATTCCTCAACCTAGTAAACTCTATTAAGGATATTAGCATATACTCTGGTTTACCACTGTTGATGTACAATGAAGCACAAAAAATTGCTCAATAAATGATTATTGAATAAATGAATTAAAAATGTGATTGTAGGCCTGAAATACTTAGTACTCCATTATCAGTTATTATTGCCATCTTAATTTTACAACATTATCACCAATTCCATAAATTTTTAACTGAGTAGAAGTGATTTCTCCTTCACTGAACATTTAAGAGTTTTGTGTGACTCTTTTTTTGAAACACTTATAATATTATACATATTTTTGTCAAATATATAGCAAAACAGTGTGTTATTTCTTTATTGGAAAGAATTCACATGTCTATCATGGGACTTTATATTGGCATTAGTTTTTTAAAATTGCTAGCAAAATGAGAAGTGGGGTGCCTTTGGTTAGCCAAAGATTCTCTTCCATCTTGTCAGCATAAATTCACTTATATGGGCACTCTATTGCATAAACTGAAATAATATTTTTCAAAAATATTCCAGAGGAGAGATACAGAAGGAGAATTCCTCAAGGTCAAAAGGTACAAGGTTTCAGTTAGAACGAGCAGCAAGTTTTAGTGTCTATTGCACAGAAAAGTGACTACAGTTAATAATAATGCATTGTATATTTCAAAATTGCTAAAATAGTAGATTTGAAATGTTCTCACCAAAAAATAATAAGTACTTGAGGTGATAGATATGTTAATTAGCCTAAGTTAATCATTCCGCAATGTAAACATATGTAAAAAACATCACATTGTACCTCATAAATGGAAAACAATCAAAATAAAACAAACCAAAAAGATTGATCCACTTGGTAAAGGAATCAGGCAGTATTTTGACCTAGAAAAACAAAAGGAATATTTTTGTAGAATAAATTATAAAGAGTCCTATTTCTTCGTAACTAAAAATAGAATTAATTGAATTGGCTTAGGTGAAGTCTAAAGTATAGAAATAAATGAAAATAAGAATGAAGATAATTTAGGAAAAAAATTATCAGTGAAGGTTTTGATGAAACAAGTTGGTGTTTTAATTTTCCTCCAGTACTACTGAGTTCCTTCACACAAGATGTTTGAAAACTTTTTCTGTAAAGGACCAGGTAGTAAATATTTCAGGCTTGAAGGCCATAGGATCTCTTGCAACTGTTCTACTCTCCTTGCTGCAGCAGAAAATGTAGCCATAGATAATATGTAAATTAATAGCCGTGTTCCAAATACACTTTATCTACCAAAGCAAACAGGAGGTCAGATTTGACTATGGATGGTGGCTCGCTGACCACTGCTTCAGGAAATAATTATGGTAATTATGAATTTTTCCAATGTTTTAAACTTATTTGCCTCTCTCTGTGGGATGTCAATAACTCAAACACGGCCTTCAAGGCCATAGGATCTCTGCTGCAACTGTTCAACTCTCCTTGCTGCAGCAAAAAATGTAGCCATAGATAATATGTAAATTAATAGCCATGTTCCCAATACACTTTATCTACCAAAGCAAACAGGAGGTCAGATTTGACTATGGATGGTGGCTCACTGACCACTGCTTCAGGAAATAACTATGGTAATTATGATTTTTTCCAATGTTTTAAACTTATTTGCAGAAATTATTATACAAATTATTGATGTTTAATAACCATGTTTGAGTTATTGATATCCCACAGACAGAGGAAAATTTTTGTCCCAATGAAGAGGCCGATAGTTATGATAGACAAAAAAGTAACATGTGAGCTCATTAACTGAATAAATATATACCACTACTAATAGTAGTTTGAATAATTACATTGAGAGAACCAATAACAGCATATGGGTACTTGATATGCAGTGGATTATATTCCATTTGGTCATGAATTTATTCTCTCTGGAGTAAACATTCTGAATAAATTGTAAGCAGTTGAAAATTTTTGAATGTATTGATTTATGTCAATCATTAACTGTGCAAAAGTATGCATTGTGCCATTCGTGCTTGATGGCTTTGCACATACTATTTTATCTTCCTGGATGTCAATTCCTTCAGTTGTTTCTATGAAAGCATGACACCATGATCATATTAACAAAATTGGAAATAGGCAACTCAATTGAATGATAATAACATTGACATTGGTATCATATCCCAGCTCTGTCCTTTTTGACATCAGCTCTCTGAACTTCAGAAAGAATTTTCAGGGAATCTTGGCAGTTCATCCTCAGGTGCTCAATGATTTTTTTGAGTTTCAACCACAGCACTTTTGCTTATATAAAACCATCTTGTTTAATTCTGTGTTGCTTACTGCCACCAACTAAAATGTAAGTTCCATGAGGAGGATTATTGTTTGTCTTATTAAAGCGCTGTTTTTTGACTGGCATGTACTTAGTATTTAAAGGAAATTCTAAACTTACTAAAGGAAGCTATCATCTATTTTTCTTTCACCCATAGAATCCATTATAGGTAAGTTATTTATTGAAGAAGACCTAGACAATGCTTACTTTGGATTAGTTAGAAATGTCTTGGATTTCCTTAAATGTTTCTAATAATGGATTTTGAGTGTCATAAGGCTGAATGAAAGCATATCCTTTAACTTTATAGATTAGATGTCCTTTAGGTTGATGGATAATTTTAGGCCTCGGAAATTCCCCTATTGTAGTTTACATACAACTTCACTATCCAAGATTTGGCTGTCTCCCAAATTCATGTTAGTGTTCCAGCATGAATTTCCAGCTTCTACTGATCCATTTGGAAGAGTAAATAGAAAAGCAAATTGATTTTAACTTGAGTGCCAATTCTTATGGATTGGTAGTGGCTCTTTAGAGCATTAAGGTGAGAAATATTCTGAAGTTACATCTGGGTTCAGCCGGGGAAGAGTGCGTTGGAGGATTAGTGATGTTGTTTGAGAAAGAGGAGATTAGGCAGTAACATGCACACCATATTTTAGAATGGAACATAGACATATTATTCTAAAAGCACTTTTCAAAAAGCGAGTATATTACTATTGTTTAAATAACACTGGTGCTTTCCTTTTTACATGCAAATGGATATATACTTTGTTCTTTCCATTCCTCCTCTTTTCTGTTAGAGTAAAGATGCCTAGAATATTTTAGTCTTACATTAGTAATTAATATGAGCATCTCTTGCTTGATCAAATTCTTAGACTCCACAGCCATAAATAGATTAAAAACAATGAACTGTGTATTTCAATTCTATTCTGTGTTAAATTTTAAATAGTTATCTAATAGTTACAGGAAAAGCAAATGTTAGCTGATGAAATATTAACAGCGTAGGAGAAAATATGAAAAAATAATTAAATAACAATGAAAATGACATTAACATCCGATCATGTCTGGACATTTTTACTACCTTTACATTATTTATCATGGATGTCAATGTTTTAATGGCCATCTGTTCAATATACGAAGTACTACATGCCATTAAGACACTAAATTACTATCAGATGCAAAACAAAAAAAAATGAATTCTTACATCTTGTGTCCCAAGCATGTACTTATATTAGAAAATATGAAATAAAAATTCCTCTCAGAAGATGGAAGTTATATGTTATCTGTGTGAGAGTTATCTTCAGTTGTAAAATTTCAAATTGCACTTATTCTGTTTTATTTCCATGCCACTGGGTGTGAAATTTATGATATGGAGTTTGGAGCCTATTAAGTCTAGAAGAGAGAGATGGTGTGACAGGGTGAAGCAAAAGCTTGTATCTGGAAGAGTGAAAATATATAGATGTGATCGTGTTACAAAAAAAGATCACTATCAGTTAAATCCACTGGTTTGGGGTCAGAGATAAAAATACCTGTATTATAGTGACCCCATAATAACCTACTTATTTCATTTATTATTTGCTTGAACTTCTTCATGAATGTTATCACCCAATTTTCATCTATTGCAGAGTTTATGGACCTTAACTTCAAGACTACTTTTTAAAACCAATCAAAGATAAGTCCAAGTCAAAAAAAACACCATAAATTCATAAAATGGATATACTTTTAAAATAAAAAACTTAAGATTACCATGACCAGTCATCATTTCTAAAAAAAATAGTTGTCAAATATGGATGAGCTGTGGTAAACAATTATATACAAACAGACACACACAAACACACACACGTGCACCTCCACATTTGTTCTATTTTGTCCTCATTGAAGATGAATTTATTTCAATGTTATATCTCTTTGAAGACTGGCATCTGTTAATGATTGAGGTACTCTGAAATAGTGTTGATCATATTTGCATGATTTACAGTGTTAAAAATTTCTTTCGGCCGGGCACGGTGGCTCACACCTGTAATCCCAGCACTTTGGGAGGCCAGGGTGGGCAGATCATGAGATCAGGAGGTTGAGACCATCCTGGCTAACACAGTGAAACCCTGTCTCTACTAAAAATACAAAAAATCAGCCAGGCGTGGTGGCGAGCACCTGTAGTCCCAGCTACTTCGGAGGCTGAGGCAGAAGAATGGCATGAACCCAGGAGGTGGAGCTTACAGTGAGCCGAGATCACACCACTGCACTCCAGCCTGGGTGACAGAGTGAGACTCTGTCTCAAAAAAAAAAAAATTCTTTCATATATATGAAATATAACTTCTAATAACTTCAAATTATAATTCAGAGTTGTAAACTTTTGATCCCACAAGTCCAATGTCTTGTATGTAAAATTTTATCAAATATTTGAGGATTTGTATGTATATTGTATTATTTTCTGCACTTTATTCTCTGAGTTACACTCCTCAGTTCCCTAAAACTTTAATGATTTTTCTGTCACCATGATCAGACTCCATGAATACAACCTAATCTTTTTTCAGTATCTCTCCTAAAATGCTATTCTTATAAAGATATATATTTAATAGCAGGGAAAAAATCTATAATCCAGTGTATGTCAGTCAGAGAATGTATTCCAAAAAAACTTAGTCTCTCAATTCTAATAAAAATTCAACATAAGAAATATATTTATAGAGCATAGCCTGAAGAGTATGCAGTCCATGCAATCATTAAGTAACTCTAAAATCTATTTTTGGATTAAATCACACAATTAGAAAATTCCTATAAGATTAAAATTGTCTGAATTCCCTTTTGCTTTGTTCATGACAGAATGAGATTAAATTGAAGAACAATAAAAAAACAGTCCTTGGAAGTTTGTCACTCCTTTTTCCTTATTTATAGTTAAAAATGTTTGTCATTATATCACTTCATGTCCATTTAGGATAATGTGTCCCTCTTCAAATTGCGTGCAAGAAATCTTGGAGCCATATTTTGGCTCACATCTTAGAAGAGACTAGCACATCACCCAACAGTATTTGTGGGCAAAGATCATACTAGCTAATTCTCACATTAATTCTGTAATTTCTCCATTTACTTAAAATATTTATGTAAAGCAGCACCATTTTTTTAAAGAGCAAGTTGACTAGTGAATGAGAAAATAATAAACCATGACTTCCTTATATAACAAGACCCTGAAGCAGGTAAAGTTACCTACTTTACTTTTACAACAGTATAAAACAAGGTAATTAAAAGGATTTATGCACATAAAGGCTAGAAGTAGTATTCACTTATGTTTCGTGAAAAAATGTACACTTTTTCTCCACAAACGAACATTTTAGCCATGTGTTAAATACATACTTATTGAATGGTGGCAGCAAAATGTAGATATAGCATGACATTTTCCCAAACCTTACAGTATAGTCAGGAGAGATAAGAAAGTAATCCATAAAAAGTTACAGTGACATGCACATGGTAAATTGAATAAAGGACAAGGAATATTCAGAAAGATTGCGGTGAGGTTTGTAAAGCTCCCTAGAGAAAATGACTGTACGGTGTTATAAAGGAATAAGTAGAAATTAGATAAAGAATGAAAAGGACTAATGCATTCCAAGCAAAAGGAATATGATTTATACCTAGGGGTTGTAGTAAAAAAGCAGGATGAGATTCCTGGAAAGAAAGTAGTCTGGAGATGCTGAGACCTGTACATTGAAGAATTGGGAAAAGTAGTTGCATCTTTTTCTTTGTTTTCCTCATGAACACCTTGTTTCAGTTACCTATTACTGCTTAAAATTTTACCCTAACATTTAGTGACTTAAAATAACAATGACATTTTTTTTCTCGTAATGCTATGAGTTGGCTGGGCAATTCTTGGCTCCTCTCATCTAGCTCCCTCATGCAGCTGCAGTCACAGACACTACAACTGGATTTAGGGAGTTCAAGGGGTCTCATTCACCAACTTTCAGCCAGTTGGTGCTGGCTGTCAGCTTGAACACCTTAGATTTTCTCTGTGGGCTTTCACTCATCAGTAGGCCACACTGGCTTTTTCACAGAATAGTGGACTCAAGTTCTAAGAAGTCCAAGGTGGAACCTGCAACGTAGCCTGGGTCTGGAACTTGCACAGTGCCATTTTTTCATATTCTGTTACCCAAAGCATGTCACAAACTGGTCAGATTTAAAGGGAGGGAAAATGGGCTTCCTATCTTGATTAAGAAGCAGTAAAGTCTCTTTCCCTGTGACAATGAAACAAATTATTGCAGTCATCTTTGTCAACAATCTATTGACACTGCCACTAATAGTCCAGTGTATCAGGAATGTCACTGTGATAGACCAAGAGCAGGAAGGATCATTATATGGGATTGACATGTCCCTCCAAAATTGAAAAGGTTTTAGAAGAAATGGGTGTGAAGGAGGCTGGGGGAAAAAATTTAGAAACAACCAAAAGATGGCAATATGTGTCATAACAATTCATATACATAGGCTATTTGTTTTCATTAGGTGTAAATAAATCAGATATAGAAAGTAGGGAGTGTAGAGTCAAGTTCTATGAAAAACTGATTGTTTTAAACCTTCATTTGAAGTGTTTAAAAAACATCTACATATTAGAGTCTTCTTTTATTGAAGTATAAAAATTCCCAGTTTAAACAAACATAAAAAATAAAAACGTTACTTAAAATTTATAGCAAAACTTTCAAAGGAAACAGAAAGCTAAAGAATAAAAATATAATCCTTAAAAATTGTTGCAATTTAAAATAAAAAGGACTTTTATTTGATTTTTCTTACTTAAAATCTGAAACAACTCTGAAAAGTAAATCTTATTACCCTGCTTTAAAGATAAGAAAACTGAAAGTAGGTACATTTCAAAAAGCCTGGTCTCTCTTACTCCAAATGAGCTAAATCAGAAAAGGAAACTTGGTCTCAGTCTGAGACTTGAGAAGATGGAGAGTCTGAACCATTTCCAAGATTGTCTTCCTTCAGTTGACACTGGATCAGCAAACAATCTGTGTAAGAGACACACACACAATCATTCAGAGGGATCCCAGAGGGGATGCAGTTTCTCACACAGGGTGCCTGAAGTTCTGTAGTCACTGTGAAGTCTGGGGATGCTCTGAGTTGAGAGGACGAAGTAACTGCAGGTTCACTTCCTTAGATAACTTGGTTGGCAAAGAGGCCACATTAGCTCCCAAGAATCTACCTACTACAAAATCTATCTACTACATTCTTACTATGCATGTTACACTAGTCTGTGTTCTACTACCAGGTTTCAAGTTCTGAAATATTTACTTTTTCTAAAACATTAAACTACTTACCTATTAAGACATCTATAATTTCTAAATCTCTAATTTTTTTTTTTTTTGAGATGGAGTCTTGCTCTGTTGCCCAGACTGGAGTGCAATGGTGCAATCTCGGCTCACTGCAGCCTCTGCCTCCTGGGTTCAAGCATTCTCCTGCCTCAGTCTCCCAAGTAGCTGGGACTACAGTTGCCCACCACCACACCCGGCTAATTTTTGTATTTTTAATAAAGGTGGTGTTTCATCATGTTGGCTAGGCTGGTCTCAAACTCCTGACCTCAAGTGATCTGCCTGACTGGGCCTCCCAAAGTTTTGAAATTATAGGTGTGAGGCCCCGAATCCTGGCCTAAATCCCTAATTTTGATTTTAAATAATTAATGTGAGATGTATTACATCCAAAATAATGGTGACATATCTAATTATACAGCACCTCTGTGTCATGCTAATAAATTATATGATAAATATGCTCACCAGAAAATATTTCTGTTAGTAGAGCTTATGATTTAAAGATTTTTTTCCTTTAGAATTATGCTTTAAAAATATTTAGGGGAAATATTATGCAGTAAAATATTTTGAGTGTAAGTGAGAAAACCACGTCCTCAAATGCTTCTAATATTTCCTCTCAAATTTGGAAATATTTATATAACATCTTATGGTAAGATGGCTATTACTTTTCTTGGTTGCTTATATCTCAAAATATGGCAAAAAGCAAACGTTGACCTTTTCTGTGTTTGAATACAAAAATTAAAAGCTTTCTTATTTTTGATTCTTTACTTTTTGGACCATCTCCAGGGAAGCTCCGCTTCACTACAGATTGAGTGGGTTAACCTGTTGCCCTGAAGACTATTTGTCTCTATGGAACCCTACTCATTCATCCTCAAAGGCACCTTTCCCTTCACAGCCATACAAGCAGAGTTTTTATACAGAGAGTGAATTAATCATGTTTTTGTCATACTGCACACAAAATAAGTCACTTGATACAACAGAGCAAACTGTTAGCTGTAAGTTAGTTCACTCCATTAGAGTTTTACAATATGATTTTAGTTATATTTTTCTAGGAGACAGCCAGGATTGATTGTAGGATAAAATATTTTAATTTTCAATTTGCTAAAATACAGCACTCAACTTCAAAAACACAGTCTAAAGTAACGCTTGTAAGAATGTACTATTATATGGAAACAACATTTATTATATTCCTATCAGGAGTTCTAATGCATTTTCTTGGGCCAAATTGTGAATTATTTAAGGTAATGTAGGTGCTAATACTTATATGGGTTATAATTTATTTTAAATATTTAAAATTTTGTTGCAATTTTAACTTATATTCCAGCAGTTTACATATTTAGTATTTTATGTCAATTGTTTTATCTAGAAAGTGACTTTCTTTTGTCTTATCTTTTTCTACAATCTCAACTACTAACTCCACTGAAATTTATGTAAGCAAATTTACCCTCTTAAAACTTGCCCCATGAGACAGCAGAGAAATAATTTGAAAGAAAATCCCATAAACTATACCTCATTTTAAACAGCCTAAAGAGATATGGAAACATGGATTCCAGCCAAGAAAAGAAAAAGAGTAATGAGAAACTAAATTAATTTTAGGAGTTATAAAGGAATAAGTACCAGTAATTGGTAGATAGAATATTAGGGTAATTTAGAAATGCACATTTTAAACATTTTTTAAACAAGAACTCCTTAGAAGCTTCCTCTATCTATGCCTAGTCTCTTACAGACACAATTATCATATGATCATTTTCAAGCAACTTTATTGTCTTTGACTTCCAAGAGAAGTTTTTATGGAAAATAGTGGATTGAGTGTTTCAGAGTTAACATATTCTAGCCAGTTATATAAAATTATAATTATCAAACATGTTTTTGTTTTTATTTTGATACAACCACAAGCTACTGATCCTGCAAGGCTATGGCAAAGAATCTTTTTGTTCTTAAACCCGTTAAGAGTAAGTTTCCTCGATGATGCCCAGTCACTCCTGAATACTTAAATACATATCAATAAAAAGCAAGACTTTCTCCTGTATAGTCACAAAATGCAGCCATTAACTCAGGTCAGTAACATTTATATAGTTCTACCATCTAGTCCAAAGATTCCATTTACATTTTGCCAATTTTCTTAATGACGTTATTTATGGTAAAAGAGACAAAGACAGTATCACCTCCTACATTTAGTTGTCATGAACCTTTATTTTTTTTAATTCTGTAGTGGTTGTTTTGACTTTCATGGCCTTAATATTTTAAATATTATTGGATATTTTATAAAATGTATCTCAAATTGCATTTAACCTATATGTTGTCATTGTTAAATTTAGGTTATTTGTTTTTCACAGGAATATCACAGAAATAATGGTGTGTTCTCATTCCTTTGTATCAGATGGCACAAATTTTAATTTGTTCCATTGCTTTTGATATTCAAGTGGGTAACCTGAGGGAGGAGATAGAGCATGGTAGCCAAATTGAAGCCCCAGCAATCGTCCCTGTACAGTAACACCATATTGAACAACTTTTTACACAAGAAACCACATTCATAATAACCAAGAAAATCAGGTGAGCAATCTCGGTGCCTAGTTTTTACATAATATCAAGAAAACATTCACTGAAGAGGGTGGGAATAACAGTCTGGCAATGCCTACACCACTCCTCCTTCAGCCTCAGGCAGCACAGCACAGAGAAAGAACCTGTGTGCTTTGGGGAGCAAGAGGGAAGTGAGTGTGAGATTTCTGCATTGGAACTCAGTCACAGCAAAGCACAAACACAGGGCAGAATTATGCAGGTGCCCATGGAGTGGGCCTTTAGATCATCCCTGAGCCAGAGGAAAATCTTCTATCCCTAGTGGGAGAAACCTAAGCCACAGACACTTCACCACTGGCTGACTAAAGTGGCCTGAGGCCCAGAATAAATTTGAAGGGAAGTCAGGCCATAAGAACTGCAGTCCTTGAAGAAGCCCTGTTGAGGCACTGGTCTTCAAGGCAGTAGATTTGGGGTGTGACCCAGTGTGACACCAGCTGTGGTAGCCATGGGAGTGCCTTCACTACCCCTCCCCCAATTCCAGGTGGTGCTATTTGGGGGAGACTTTCCTTGCTTGGGGGAAAGAGAGGAAAGAGCACAGAGGCCTTTGTTTAGTAACTTTGGATTAGCTAGACCAGAGTAAAATAAAGTATTGAGATTCCTGATGCCTCCGACTCCAGGTCTTTGCTCCTGAATGGTGTTTTTAGGCTCACCCTGGGCCAGAAGGGAATCCACTGCCCTGATGGGATGAACCCAGTCCCAGCAGGATTCACTGCCTGCTAACTAAAATGGAAATGGGTCTCGAACAAACATTAGTGGTAGTAGGCCATAGTGACGATCGGCCTTAGGTGAGCCTCAGTACTATGCTGGTCTGCAAGACCCAGAATAGACAAAATATCCTGAGCAAAAAGAACTACCTGATTTTAAGTCAGGCACTATAATACTTGACTTTAAGTTGTACAACACATTTACAATAACCAAAATATGGCATTTACATAAAAACAGACACATAAACCAATGGAACAGAATAGAAAGTTAAAGTACAAATCCACACATTTACAGTGAATTCATTTTCTTTTTTTACAAAGATGCCAAGACCATACACTGGAGAAAAGAAAGTCTCCTAATCAGTAATAAATAGGCTACCACCACCATCAACAAAAAAAACCCATCCAGAAACAGATGAATTCGTGGCCAAATTAACTGTTACACAAAGATGAACTGGTACCATTCCTGCCGAAAAAAATTCAAAAGACTGAGAAGGAGGGACTCCTCCCTGACTCATTCTATAAGGCCAGCATTATTCTCATACCAAAACCTGGCAGATACACAACAAAAAAAGAAGACTTCAGCCCAATATCCCCGATAAAGTGTGATGCAAAAGTCTTCAACAAAATGCTTGTAAACTGAATGCAGCGGTACATCGAAAAGCTAATTCATCACGATCAAGTAGGTTTCATCCTCAGGATGCAAGGTTGGTTCAACATACATAAGTTGATAGATGTGATTCATCATACAAACAGAACCAAATACAAACACCACATAATTATCTCCATAGACACAAAAGAAGCTTTTGATAAAATTCAACATTCCATCATGTTAAAAACTCTCAATAAACTAGATATTGAAGGAACATACATCAAAATAATATATACCATCTATGAAAAAGATGCTCTCTGTCATGACTCCTATTAAACAAGGTATTGGAAGTCTTGGCCAGAGCAATCAGGCAGCATAAAGAAATAAGGGGAATTAAAAAAGGAGAAGAGGAAGTCAAATAATCTTTCTTTGCAGACAACATGATACTATATCTAGAGAAATCCAAGTTTTGGCCTAAAAGCTCCTTCAGCTGATTTACGGCTTCAGAAAAGCTTCAGGATACAATATTGATTCACAAAAATCACTAGCATCCCTATAAACCAATAACAGCCAAGCCCAGAGCAAAATCATGGACTCAATCCCCTTCATAACTGCACACACTCAAATGCAAATGCACACATACAAATACCTAGGAATATAGCTAAGCAGGGAGGTGAACTATCTCTACAATGATACTTACAAAACACTGCTCAAAGAAATCAGAGATAACATAAATAAATGAAAAAACATCCCATGCCTACGGATGGGAAGAATCAACATCATTAAAATGGCTACACTGCTAAAAGCAATTTACAGATTCAACACTATTCCTGTCAAACTACCAATGACATTCTTCACAAAACTAGAAAAAGATCTGTTTTAAAATTTATATAGAACCAAAAAAGAGTGCAAATAGCCAAGGCAACCATAAGCCAAAAGAACAAAACTGAAGGTATCATGTTACCCAACTTCAAACTATGCTGCAGGCTAAAGTAGCAAAATAGCATGGTACTGGTACAAAAACAGACACATAGACAAATGGAACAGAATAGAGAGCCCAGAAATAAGGCTGCACACCCATGACCATCTGATCTTCAACAAGGCTGACAAAAGCAAGCAATGTGGAAAGAACTCCCTATTTTACAAATTCTTCTAGGATACCTGGCTAGCCATACGCAAAAGATTGAAACTGGACCCATCCCTTACACCACATACAAAAATCAACTCAAGATGAACACTGAAGCATAAGACCCAATACTATAAAAACCCTGGAAGACAATCTGGGCAATACTATTCTGGACATGGGAACTCACGACTTAAGGATTCATAGGAATTTCATGACAAAGATACCAAAAGCAATCTCAACAAAAGTAAAAATTGACAAATGGGGTCTAAGTAAACCAAAGAGCTTCTGCACAACCAAAGAAATAATCAGCAGAGTAAACAGACAACCTACAAAACGGGAGAAAATATTTGCAAACTATGCATTTGACAAAGGTCTAATATCCAGCATCTATAAGAAACTTACAAATTTACAAAAAAAAAAAAACAGCCCCATTAAAAAATTGGTAAAGAACATGAACAGATACTTTTCGAAAGAAGACATACATGCAGCCAATAAGTGCAGGAGAAACGCTCAATAGTACTGATCATTAGAGAAATGCAAATCAAAACCACAATTAAATATAATCTCACACAAGTCAGAATGGCTATTACGAAAAAGTCAAAAAATAACAGATGTTGGCAAGGTTGTGGAGAAAAAGGAATGTTTATAAGCTGTTGGTATGAGTGTAAATTAGTTCAGCCATTATGGGAAGCACTGTGACAAATTCTTTGAGAGCTAAAAACAAAACTACCATTTGACCCAGCAATCCCGTTACTTGGTACGTACCCAGGGGAATAGAAATCATTTCGCCAAAAAGACGTGCATATGAATGTTCATTGCAGCACTATTTACAACAGCAAAGGCATGGAATCAATCTAAATGCCTATTGATGGCAGATTAGATAAAGATATTGTGGTTCATATACTCTATGGAATACTTTGCAGCCATAAAACATAATGAGATCCTGTCTTTCATGGGAACATGGATAGAGCTGGAGGGTATTATCCTTAGTAAACTAACACTGGCATGGAAAACCAAATACCACATGTTCTCACTTATAAGTGGGAGCTAAATGATGTGAACTCATGGACACAAAAAGGGGAACAACAGACACTGATGTCTACTTGAGGTGTCTTGAGGGTGATGGGTGAGAAGAGGGAGAGGAACAAAAAAAAATAACTATTGGGTACTAGGCTGAGTAACTGGGTGATTAATAATAGTCTGTACAACAAACACCCATCACACAAGTTTACCTATATAACAAACCTGCACATTTACCCTTATACCTAAAATAAAAGTTAAAAAGTAAATAAATAAGTGGTTTTGGGAAAACAGAATATCCATATGTAAAAGAATGAAACTAGATAAGTGTCTCTCATCAAATAGAAAAATCAAATCACAATGGATAAAAGACTTAAAATGTACAACCACTATAAAACTATCAGAAGAGAAAAAAGGAAACATTTTCCAGGACATTGGTCTGGGTAAAGATTTTTTGTATAACATCTCAAAAGCACAGGCAATCAAAGAAAAAAAAATAGACAAGTTGGATTAGATCAAACTAAAATGCTTCTGCACAGCAAAGGAAACAATCAACAAAGTGACAAGACAACTCACAGAACAGAAGAAAATATTTGCAAACTGACATGTGACAACATATTAGTAACCATAATATATAAGATGCTTAAACAACTAGAAAAAAATAAAAAATAATAATCAAATTTAAAAATAGACCGGGCACGACAGCTCACGCCTGTAATCCCAGCACTTTGGGAGGCGGAGGCAGGTGGATCACAAAGTCAGGAGTTTGAGAGCAGCCTGGCCAATATGGTGAAACCCCATCTCTACTAAAAATACAAAAATTAGCTGGACATGGTGGCGTGCACCTGTAGTCCCAGCTGCTTGGGAAGCTGAGGCAAGAGAATTGCTTGAATCCAGGAGGCAGAGGTAGCAGTGAGCCAAGATCTTGCCACTGCACAAAAAAAGGCAAAATATCTGAGTATACACACTTCCAAAAGACATACAAATGACTAGCCAGTATATTAAAACATATTCAACACCACTAATTATTGGAGAAATGAGAATTAAAACTACAATAATGTATCATCTCACCTTAGCTAGATTAAATGCTATCCCCATCAAGCTACCATTGGCTATCTTCACAGAATTTGAAAAAAACCACTTTAAGTTTCATATGGAACCAAAACAAAAGCCTATATAGCCAAGCCAATCCTAAGTAAAAAGAACAAAGCTGGAGGCATTGTGCTACCTCACTTCCAACTACCCTACAAGTCTGCAGTAATCAAAACAGCATAGTACTGGTACCAAAACAGATATATATAGTCTAATGGAACAGACCAGAGGTCTCGGACATAATGCCACACATCTACAACCATCTGATCTTTGAGAAACTTGACAAAAACAAGCAATGAGGAAAGGATTACCTATTTAATAAATGATGTTGGGAAAACTGGCTAGCCATATACAGAAAACTGAAACTGGACCCCTTCCTTACACCTTATACAAAAATTAACTCAAGATGGATTAAAGACTTAAATGTAAGACCTAAAACCACAAAAACCCTAGAAGAAAATCTAGGCGATACCATTCAAGACATAGTCATGGGCAAAGACTTCATGACTAAAACACCAAAAACAATGGCAACAAAAGCCAAAATTGACAAATGGAATCTAATTAAGCTAAAGAGCTTCTGCATAGCAAAAGAAGCTATCATCAGAGTGAAACAGGCAGCCTACAGAATGGGAGAAAATTTTTGCAATCTATCCATCTGACAAAGGGCTAATATCCAGAATCTACAAGGAACTTAAACAAATTTACAAGAAAAAAGCAAACAATGCCATCAAAAAGTGGGCAATGGTTATGAACAGACACTTCTCAAAAGAAGACATTTATGCGGCCAAGAAACATATGAAAAAAAGCTCATCATCCCTGGTCACTAGAGAAATGCAAATCAAACCACAATGAGATACCATCTCACGCCAGTTAGAATGGTGATCATTAAAGAGTCAGGAAACAACAGATGCTGGAGAGGATGTGGAAAAATAGGAATGCTTTTACACTGTTGGTGGGAGTGTAAATTAGTTCAACCATTGTGGAAGACAATGTGGTGATTCCTCAAAGATCTAGAAGCAGAAAAACCATTTGACCCAGCAATCCCATTACTGGGTGTATACCCAAAGGATTATAAATCATTCTACTATAAAGACATATGCACACATGTGTTTATTGCAGCACTGTTCAAAATAGCAAAGACTTGGAACCAACCCAAATGCCCATCAATGATAGATTGGATAAAGAAAATGTGGCACATATACACCATGGAATACTATGTAGCCATAATAAAGGATGAGTTCATGTCCTTTGCAGGGACATGGATGAAACTGGCAACCATCATCCTTAGCAAACTAATGCAGGAACAGAAAACCAAACCCCACATGTTCTCACTCATAAGTAGGAGTTGAACAATGAGAACACATGGACACAGGGAGGGGACTATCACCCACCAGGGCCTGTTGGGGGGTGTGGGGCTAGGAGAGGGATAGCATTAGGAGAAATACCTAATGGAGATGACAGGTTGATGTGTGCAGCAAACCACGATGGCACATGTATACCTACGTAACAAACCTGCACGTTCTGCATGTGTATCCCAGAACTTAAAGTACAATTTTTAAAAAATTGCTGTGTATTTGTGTATAGCAACAAAAATCAATTTACAGTCTATTTTCACTTTCTTCCTCTACTCTAGAACCTGTAAGCAGTCTAAAGATTTGCCTTCCCAGTTTCTTTATAGCTAGAACGGATTATAAGACCTTATTGTGTCCAATGGGATGAAACCAAAATATAAGGCTTCTAACAAAACATTTTTAAAAGGGACAGACTTGGATGATTGAGACTTTGGGTCTTTGTTACTTCTCTTTTCCCTTTTTGGAATGGGGATGTGATGTTTGAAACTGTTCAAGTTACCTTTAAACTGTGGTGATAAATGTCACTTTAAAAAGATGTCAAGAACGGAAAAATGAAGAAACGGAAATTGTTGAAGATGTTCTTTGAACAACAATGTGAAAAGCAACCCATGTGCTCCAATATGACTTTACTAAACCAAGAGGCTCTTGCTCAGATAACATTAAAAATTACATTATTGTTAGTTTCAGGAACATCCTCCAATCTGTTTAGCTGAACAATAGACTGATCATCTAGTCCTCATTTCTCCCTTTTCAGGACAATAGATTAGTCAAGCCCACTAATCAACTGGCTATCTATTCTTCAAGAGTCCCTTCTAAAGCCTTGCCTCCCTGTAGTCACTAACCCTTAACTATTGTATCTTGAACTTTACCCAGTCTCAAGCAGGCCCCGAATTGAGAGAATCATCTTAAATCAGATATCAAAAATCTCAAAACTGTCTGTCTGTGGCCTCCTGACTCTAAGTAGCTATTAAGAAGCACTCAAAGTAGTAGTTTCTCTTACTACATTAAATAGTAAACTTGCCTTTGCGTTATGAAGAAGGTATTTTAGTGGATTTTTCTGGGACCTAGTCAACAAATACTAGGGCTTGATTACATACCATGAAATTTTTGATACAAGTGAAATGAATCTCTGCTAAAGCTTAGTTTTGTTATTTCTTCCTAAGCATGTCTCTAACAAATGGTGTAGTTATTATTATAAGTACTTTATGTAAAGATACTAGCACAGTATTTAGCATACAGTCAATGAATGTTAGTTTTCCTTAATTTGTGACCACCCATTAAATGTTAGTTCATATAATCTTCATAAAAGGATTTTGAGAGGCCAATTTTTAAAAGTATATTTTGTCCTGTCATTCAGAACTTGATTCAAACATTCATTCTGTCATCTGCTGGCTATGTGACTCTGGACCCATTGATGAACTACTCATTAAGCCCCAGTTTCTGCATGATATTGTCACAGCTACTTTACTAGATTTTTGTAAGGAAAATAGAAAACATGTCATTATTAAATAAATGTAAACTAGGATGTCTTAGTTCTGCTGACAAAAAGAATCAAACTCTGTAAAATATTTTAAGAGATTTATTCTGAACCAAATATGAGTGACCAGGGCCCATGACACAGCCCTCAGGAGACCCTGAGAATATGTGCCCAAGGCAGTTGGGGTACTGCTTGGTTTTATATATTTTAGGGAGACATGAAACATCGATCGAATACATTTAAGAAAAATATTGGTTTGGTTCAGAAAGGCAGGACAACTCAAAGCAGGGGCTTCCAGGCTATAGGTAAATTTACATATTTTCTGGTTGACAACTGGTTGAGTTTATCTGAAGACCTGAGATCAACAGAAAGGAATGTTCAGGTTAAGATAAAGAATTGTGGAAACCAAGTTTTCTTGTGCAGAGGAAACTCTCAGATAGCAGACTTCAGAGAGACCACAGGTTGTAAAATGTTTTTATGTTGTTGTTGTTTGCTTTTGAGACTGAGTCTCACTCTGTTGCCCAGGCTGGAGTATAGTGGTGCAATCTTGGCTGACTGCAACCTCCACCTCCCAGGTTCAAGCGATTCTCCTGCCTCAGTCTCGGACCTAAAATGGTGCCTGGCTCTTAGTTGATTTTCTCCTGGATCTGGAAAGGAAGGAAGAAAAACAAAGGGGAAAAGGGATTCTCTATAGAATGTGGATTTTTCCCAAAAGAGATTTTACAGGGCAATTTCGAGATATGGCAGAGAAACATCTTTTGGGGTAAAATATTTTGATTTTCTTCCTTGTTATGCCAGAGTCAGATTGGAAAGTAAGTCACTATATACAGGGTTAAATAAAACCCATTTGGTGAGAATTTATGGTTTATAGGACATGACTCCCCAGACCCCACAGATAGGAATTTGGGCAAGATAAAAAAAAAAATCAGAGTTTAGTCTTCAGTTCCATTTATTAAGTATATAATGTGTTATGCTTTCCTACCATATTTTCACTTTCGTGTTTTTTATGGTTTTCCCCTTCCATATAAAAGTAGCCTACTAGGCCAGGTGTGGTGGCTCATGCCTGTAATCCCAGCACTTTGGGAGGCCGAGGTGGGTGGATCACGAGGTCAGGAGATCAAGACCATCTTGGCTAACACAGTGAAACCCCGTCTCTACTAAAAATATAAAAAATTAGCCAGGCGTGGTGGAGGGCGCCTGTAGTCCCAGCTACTTGGGAGGTTGAGGCAGGAGAATGGTGTGAACCTGGGAGGTGGAGCTTGCAATGAGCCGAGATAGCACCACTGCACTCCAGCTTGGCAACAGAGCGAGACTCCGTCTCAAAAAAAAAAAAAAAGGAGCCTACTAAAGTCTAAATCCTCTATTCTAAATTGCCGTCTTCTTTCTCCACCCTAAAAAAAGCAAGAATTTCAGCCCTCTGTGAATCTGTAGAAGTTCTGATATTAATTTCATTTAAAATGTTAACAACTATTAAAGTTTAATACAGGTTAAGTATCCCTTACCATGAAACCAGAAGTATTTTGGATTTTGTTTTTACTTAGATTTTGAAATATTTGCATATACATAGTGAGATATCTTTGAGATGGGACCCAAATCTAAACACAAAATTCATTTATGTTTTTACATGCATTATACACATAGCCTGAAATTGATTGTATTCAATATTTTAAATAATTTTGTGCATGAAGCAAAGTTTTAGCTGCATTTTAACTGTGACCCATCACATGAGATCTGATGTGGAATTTTTGACTTGTGTCATCATGTTGGCACACAAAAAGTTTCAGATTTTGAGGATTTCAGATTTTGGAACTTTGAATTAAGGATACTTAACCTGTATGTTATTCTGCCTAGGATTCTTCCATTTCTAATGGTAGAATCTTATGACTTTGATAGGACAGCAGAATGATTTCTCCATTGTCAGAGAAGAATATATTTTAATCTCTGAAATTGAAGTCATACTAGGTAAACATTTATCTGTCCATGTATAACTCTAATGTGTCTATATTATTATTTAGCACTTCCATGCACAGAGCCAGCTGTTGAATAAATACATTAAGTCTGCAAAAGGCCAAAATATTTACATTTAGATTTACCAGAGCTTCAAGAAAGTGGGCTTTGGACATATTACTTTATAAAGATCATAACTAACTTGACTGCAATTTCATCACTTTCATTGATTTCTTTCTTGTCTGAAAATATCCATTTCTGATTGTTCCTTTTATTTATATCAGCAACATGGCAATAATACAATTTAAAGAACCTTCCCAACATTTTTGCTTGTATAAATAATAAAATCTTTCAAAACAAAATATTGAAGACATTTAAATCCTGGAAGTTTATATGCTTAGTTTCAGGTATTTTTAACTATATCATCAGTTATAACAGAAAGATCTAGTTAAAAGGGTAAGAATTATTTGAAATAGGCCAGAATTAGATCAGAACTAATACATTTTAAATTTGTTTTGAGCCAACCTGTCTTGGTTTAGATAAGTGTTTCTCAGCCTTTGTATTATTGATGTTTGAGCTGGATAATTATCTCATTGGGGAGCCATCCAGTGGATCATAGGATGTTTAGTAGCCACCTTGGCCTCCACTTGCTACATGCCAGTAGCAACACCCTACACCCTTCTGTGACAATTGAAAATGTCTCTAACTATTGCAAAGTTTTCCCTGAGGGTGAAATCACTCATTGATAACAACTCATTTAGTGTAGACATTTTTATAGTTGCCATGTATCATTTTTTTGTTCACTATTAGAAGCTTCATGTACTTTAGGAACACATTACATACTTCTAATCAAGTTCCATTTTAAAAAATTATCTTAACTTAATTTTTTTTTTAGTTGTGAATCCTCTTGCACTGTTATAGAATGTATTGACATAAGGACACATGCCTGGGACATAAATTAGTACTGTCCTATGGAAAATTGGGAAATCATTCAGGTCACAATGACCTCCAATGACAAAAAATACACTTAGCATTCCCTCAGAGTTATTCATAGCTTCATCTTTCAGTTACTCTCTTTTTCTTCTATTTATGCTAACATTTTCCCACTGTTTGTTCATCCTTAATATATGGTTCCTATTACTCATGGATTCTACCGCCTAATAGTGTCTGCTTAAGGCCTTGTTATTCTGTGTGTCATTACTGACTTTTCTCTCACTAAATTCCCCAATAGAGAGGAGCTGGGTGCTTTTGTCCGTGTTCAATATACAGGATAATCTTACCAGTCCACTTCACAGGCTTCAGGTCTGCCTGTAGACGAAGGCCTTTCATGATAGAACCCTGGTTTGACCAGCTATGGTCATTTTTAAGAAAGCTGCCCGTTGTCATCTTTTTAATTTGAACTTGGGTCAAGGAAGGCACTCTGATTAGTCTAGACTTAGCGTGTTATTATAGGCAGACATCTCACCTGCCTTATCTGATATAGATAAGATATGAGCATTGCTTTTTTTGTCACTTTAAATTCAAAGTTTTAAGAAAGTAACATTGCTTTACCCTTAAACTTTTCAGCAAATCTCATGAGAAAGTATTTGTATTTCTCTGTTCCTCTTAGTGTGAACACCTTCCTTATTTATTAGAAGAGGGATTTAACAAACATTTTTGAGGTCACAAGGACGGTAAAGGCTTAACAGGCTATTCCTCTTGGCAGTAGTCCTTCATTGAGAAGAATAAAGAGGAGTTGCCCTGGTATAAAGAAATCATTATTGCCCAATATTGCCATATCAATGACAGCATGAACCACGCTATGTACAGACACTTAATCCATAGAAACCCATGTTCAACCAAATAATTTACTGAATACAAATAGCAGGTTTAAAAACAAAAAAACCTAGAGCGTGGGCGATTTGCAGAGGCAGCACATTATTGGGCAAACCTTCTGAGTTTGAAGTAAGAAGTTGAATCAAGGCATGTTTTACTTTTCAAATACCTTTAAATTATTGATCAGGCTGTGCCATTTATTCAAGGCTAGTTTCTTCTTATATCTTACCTTAGTCTGGAGAGGTGACAGCGTGCTGGCAGTCCTCACAGCCCTCGCTCGCTCTCGGTGCCTCCTCTGCCTGGGCTCCCATTTTGGCGGCACTTGAGGAGCCCTTCAGCCCACCGCTGCACTATGGCAGCCCCTTTCTGGGCTGGCCAAGGCCAGAGCTGGCTCCCTCAGCTTGCAGGGAGGTGTGGAGGGAGAGGTGCGAGCGGGAACCGGGGCTGCGTGCAGCGCTTGCGGGCCAGCTGGAGTTCCGGGTGGACGTGGCTTGGCGGGCCCAGCACTCAGAGCAGCCGGCCGGTCCTGCCGGCCCCGGGCAGTGAGGGGCTTAGCACCCGGGCCAGAGGCTGCGGAGGGTGTACTGGGTCCCCCAGCAGTGCTGGCCCACCAGCGCTGTGCTTGATTTCTCGCCGGGCCTTAGCTGCCTTCCCACGGGGCAGGGCTCCGGACCTGCAGCCCGCCATGCCTGAGCCTCCCACCCACTCCGTGGGCTCTTGTGCGGCCGAGCCTCCCCTAGGAGCGCTGCCCCCTGCTCCACGGCGCCCAGTCCCATCGACCGCCCAAGGGCTGAGGAGTGTGAGCGCATGGCGCAGGACTGGCAGGCAGCTCCACCGGCAGCCCTCGTGCGGGATCCACTGGGTGAAGCCAGCTGGGCTCCCGAGTCTGGTGGGGACGTGGAGAGTCTTTATGTCTAGCTCAGGGATTGTAAATACACCAATTGGCACTCTGTATCTAGCTCAAGGTTTGTAAACACGCCAATCAGCACCCTGTGTCTAGCTCAGGGTTTGTGAATGCACCAATCCACACTCTGTATCTAGCTGCTCTGGTGGGGCCTTGGAGAACCTGCGTGTCCATACTCTGTATCTAACTAATCTGATGGGGACATGGAGAACCTTTGTATCCAGCTCAGGGATTGTATACGCACCAACCAGCACCCTGTCAAAACAGGCCACTGGGCTCTACCAATCAGCAGGATGTGGGTGGGGCCAGATAAGAGAATAAAAGCAGGCTGCCCCAGCCAGCAATGGCAAGCTGCTCGGGTCCCTTTCCACACTGTGGAAGTTTTGTTCTTTGGCTCTTTTTAGTAAATGTTGCTACTGCTCACTCTTTGGGTCCATGCTGCTTTTATGAGCTGTGACACTCACCGCGAAGATCTGCAGCTTCACTCCTGAGCCAGCGAGACCATGAACCCACCAGAAGGAAGAAACTCCGAACACATCTCAACATCAGAAGGGACAAAATCCAGACGCGCCACTTTAAGAGCTATAACACTCACCACAAGGGTCTGCGGCTTCATTCTTGAAGTCAGTGAGACCAAGAACCCACCAATTCCAGACACAGTCTCAAAATATTGATGTGAATAATCAAAGTCTATGAAGCACTTCCCGAACTGTGTTTACTATGATCATTATAGGGCCTTCTTGACTGAGAATGATAAAACTAAGGTATACATTTCAATTTCCAATAAGTTGGATGTGTGCTGAAAATGACTAGAAAAAGATACATATATATATATATGTAAACAAAAATCCTTTTTTTTTTCTCCATGATTGCTTCAAGAAGGAACATTGCTAATGCTCTGGGAAGCAGCAAACCAGAACTAAATAAATCTTTATGGCTGCATAGTATTCCATGGTGTATATGTGCCACATTTTCTTAATCCAGTCTATCATTGTTGGACATTTCCATTGGTTCCAAGTCTTTGCTATTGTAACTAACCTGCACATTGTGCACATGTACCCTAAAACTTAAAGTATAATAATAAATAAAAAATAAAAATTTTAAAAAAAATTGCTTAAAAAAATAAAATCTTTAAAATCTTTCTGAGAAAGTGCTTTGTTGCACTCAGAATTCTCAAGGTAACTCTGAAATAATTCTGCTGTAGTTAGCATTCTTAACTTATTTTTAAAAATGGCAAGGCAACCACATCTTACTCTCTTAAAATATACTAGGGAATCGGCCAGAGATTTAGTCTGGTCTATAAATTGTAGTCTTTTTTTTTTCCCCGTGGCTGGGCGCAGTGGCTCCACCTGCCTCTGCAGGTGGATCCCTTGGTCAGGCTGGTCTTGAACGCCTCACTTGAGGTCAGGCGTTCACTTCACTGCAGCCTGGGGAACAAGAGTGAAACTCCATCTAAAAGAAAAAAAAAAGAAATAATAGAGAAGATGGCTAAAGAGAAAGTTATATTTCTTCTAAGGAGGAAAAAAAGGGGAAAATAAGTTACATTGTTCACCATTCTATCGAATTCACAATATTAACCAATTTATCTTGAGCAGTCAACATGGATTTCAAAATGTGGCTGAATATTTCAAAGCATTTGTTGTCCTATTTATATTGTCATATCCATAAAAATATAAAAACACGTAGTTGTAATTATTTAAGCATTATGCTTTTTTTATTTTTTCTATGTTCCTATGAAAGACAGGCTTGCCAGAATTTTCAATCTCATGATAGCTTAGATAAGATTTACATGTTTATATTAAGTATCTTTAATCAAATAAACCCAATACTTTAACTCCAATACAAGCTGCTAGCAACTGTTCACATGCAGCTACTATCTGAAAGAGCAATCAGTAGAGTAGTATTTTGACATATATTGCCACTGTCACATAAAAATTTGTTGACATTTGGTCATATGCCTGCTTTGAAAAAATCCTGTGAAAATCTCATAGATCACAGTGTCTAAAAAGTAAAATCAGAAAAATATATATTTATTTATAAATATCAGTAAGGGGGGATAACAATAAAATGAGAACATACTAAAGGAAAACTAGAAAATACTTAAAATGAAACCAAAATAAAAAGAAAGAGTATAAATACATTGATTTGGTGAATAAAAGTAAAAATATATTCTTGGGATTTTATGGAGTAGAAAGCTTGCACCCAAAATAGAATGAAAAATGAGTATTCTGTCCAAATTTGGTTAAGATGGTGTCTACCCAGATCCATCCCAGTAAAATTATTATTTTACACTTTATAGTGAATAATTAGCTTGCAGGGAGATAAGCTAATTTGAGACTATGCAAATATTCTGTTCTTCATCAGACATTTTTTTCCTCAAATTTTATTCTCTCTCTATAAATCTTATCTACATTAACTATCACTATGGTGTTTGCCTAATGATATTTATATTTTCATTATTCCTTCTATATTTGTTGGTTGAAATTCAACTATGTTGAAGAGCTTTGATTTCTTTCCTGTGTATCTGTTTACTCAGTCATTAATTTCTATCAGTATGGATTCATCGATATATATTTTATTCTAGTACATATAACTCACTTCTATTATTTTTTTGCCCCAATTGTCTCAGGTTTAGTTATTAGAAATTCCTCCAAGCAAGTTGTTTTTTCAGTACAAACTAACATTATTTCAGCAATATTTTACTTGCTGGTTTTACTTACAAGTTTTTGCATGTTTATCTTGCAGTTTCTTTGCCCAAGCCATGGAGTCAGCCATTTCTCCAAAGACCCCTAGTTCCCTCTGTGGGAGATTAGAATTCAGAAACTGAAATCTGGGTGCCAAATATGTTCATTGCTCTAGGGTGTCACAGCTTCTAGGTTCTCTTAGTTAACAGAGCTAGAAAATATAGCTACTTGTATATATAAACCCATATCTTTATTTATGTCTGTATATATCTGTGCATGCATCAAAATCATGACTTTATACTATGTCCAAGCTCTCATAATTGCTCATTACTTACTCATTGATTTGGCTTGACCAAATGTTAGTCAACATTCTCTTCTCACAGGTTGAACTGTGTCTTGTACCTAAGCTTTCAAGCAAGCACTGAAATGCAGAACATTCTCTTTTGATAGCACACTCCAAGAATCAGCTGACCAAAGAGAATAAAAATGTTCTTTTAAAATGTGACTCTCATGTCATCTGTTTAGCCCTTTTCTTATGCCCCACACCCCACAAACTTCTTGCTAGCCCTATGTACTTCCTGCTAGCTATGTTTACCGCTCCTAATAAAATAAAAGCTTTTTTCGTTTTGATTTGGTATTTCGCCAATCTTAGGGTTGGACTATTCTCCCTATTGCATAGTGCCCTTCTATCTATCATAACACAGTTGACCCTTGAAGAGTGGGAGGTTAGGGTTGCTGATCCATGCACAGTCAAAATTACACATATAAGTTTTTGCTCTCTTTTTCAACTTTTATTTTAGGTTTGAGGGTACATCTGCAGGTTGGCTACATGGGTATCAAATCATTATAAAAACACCCTATTAAATAGTTTTAAAAGGTGGTTCCGCACACTTTAAAGTTATATAATCCCTCATACCTTCCTTATGTCTCTAAATAGAGAATGAATTAGTCATATTTTTTAGATTGGTGACTTTTATGGACATTTAAGAGGCAGAATTTGGAGACTTACTAGCATTATTTTTCTTTTTTGTTTTTGTTTTAGGTTCAGGGGGTACCTGTGCAGGTTTGTTACATGGGTGAATTGTGTGTCACTGGGTTTGGTGTACCAATGAGTTCATCACCCAGATAGTGACCGTAGTACCCAATAGGTAGTTTTTCAAACTTCACTATCCTCTCAACCTCCACTGTCAAGTAGGTCCTGGTGTCTGTTATTCCCCTCTTTGTGTCCATGTGAACTCAATGTTTAGCTCCCACTTATAAGTGAGAACATGCTGTGTTTGGTTTTCTCTCCCTGCATTTATCACTTAGGAAAATGGCCTCCAGCTGCAGTCATGTTGCTGCAAAAGACATAATTTCATCCTTTATTATGTTTGTACAGTATTCCATGGTGTATGCATACCACATTTTCTTTATCCAGTTCACCACTAATGGGCATCTAGGTTGATTCCATGTCTTTGGTATTGTGAATGGTGCTGCAATGAATACATGAGCACATGTGTGTTTTTGGTAGAATGATTTATATTTCTTTGGGTACATAACTGGTAATTGGATTGCTGGGTCAAATGGTAGTCCTCTTTTAAGTTCTTTGAGAAATTTTCATACTTCATTTCACACTGGCTGAATGAATTTACATTCCCACCAACAGGGTATAAGCATTTCCATTTCTCTGCAACCTTGCTAGCATCAGTTAATTTCTAACTTTCTAATAGCCATCCTGACTGGCATGAGATGGTATCTCATTGAGGTTTTGAATTGCATTTCTGATTTGTGATTTTGAGCATTTTGTCTTACGGTTGTTGGCCATGTGTACGCCATGTGTATGTATTCCTTTGAGAAGTGCCTGTTCATGTTTGACCACTTTTAATGGGGTTGTTTGTTTTTTGCTTGTTGATTTGTTTAAGTTCCTTATAAATTCTGGATATTAGACTGTTGTCAGATGCATAGTTTGCAAATATCTTCTCTCATTCTCTAGTTTGTCTATCTACTCTGTTAATAGTTTCCTTTGCAGAGCAGAAACGCTTTAGTTTAATTAGACCCCATTTATCTATTTTTGTTTTTGTTGAAATTGCTTTTGGTGTCTTCATTGTAAATTCTTTGTCCAGGTCTATGTCCAGAATGATATGACCTAGATTTTCATCTAGGGTCTTTATAGTGTGACATTTTACATTTCAATTGACAATCTATCTTGAGTTTATTTTTGTACATGGTAAAAGGAGAGTCCAAATTCTATAATCTGCATATGGCTAGCCAGTTATCCCAGCATCATTCATTGAATAGGGATTTCTTTCCCCATTGTTTGCTATTGTAGAGTTTGTTGGAGATCAGATGATTCTAGGTGTGTGACACTATTTATAAGGTTTCTAACCTGTTCCATTCGTCTATGTGTCTACGTTTCTAGCAGTATCATGCTGTTTTGGTTACTGTAGCCTTGTAGTATAGTTTGAAGTAGTGTAATGTGATACCTCAGACTTTGTTTTTTTTTCATTGGATTGCTTTGGCTATTCAGAATATTTGTTTGTTCCATATGAGCTTAGAATAGTTTTTTTCTAATTCTGTAAAAAAAAAAGTGCTGTTGGTAGTTTGACAGAAATAGTTTTCAGTTTTGTAAATTGCTTTAGGCAGTATGAATATTTTAACAACATTATTTCTTCCTGTCCATGAGCATCGAGTGTTTTTCCATTTGTTTGTGTCATCTATAATTTCTTCCAGCAGTGTTTTGTACTCCTCATTGTAGAGGTATTTCACATCCCTGAGCTGTATTCCTAGGTATTTTATTCTTTCTGTGGCTATTACAAATGGAACTGTGTTCTTGATTTGGTTCTCATCTTGGATGTTACTGATTTATAGAAATGTTCTGGAGTTTCGTACTATCATTTTGTATCCTGAAACTTTCTTGACACTATGGGGTTTTCTATGTAAAGAATAATATTGTCAGCTAAGATAAATAGTTTGACTTTTTTTCCTATTTGGGAGCCTCTTATTTCTTTACCTTGCCTCATTGCTGTGGGTATGACTTCTAGTATTTTGTTGAATAGGAGTGATTAAGAGTGGCATCCTTTCCTTGTTTCTGGTTAGGGAAAATGATTTCAGTCTTTGACCCTTCAGTATGATATTGGCTATAGGTTTGTTGTAGATGCCTCTCATTATTTTGAGATATTTTCCTTCCATGCCTGTTTTGTTGATGGCTTTTAACATAAAGCAATGTTGCATTTTATAGAGAGCCTTTTATGTATATTGAGATGATCATATGGCTTTTGTTTTTAGTTCTGTTTATACAATGAATCGCATTTATTGATTTACTTATGTTAAACCAACCTAGCATCCCAAGAATAAAGCCTATTTGGCTGTGGGGGATTGGTTTTTTGATGAGCTGCTGGATTCAGCTTGCTAGGATTTTGCTGAGATTTTTTTATCTATGTTAATCAGAGATATTGGCCTGAAGTTTCCTTTTTTTTTCTTTGTGTCTCTGCCAGGTTTTGGAATCAAAATGACGCTGGCCTCATACAATGAGTTAGGGAGGAGCCCCTTCTCAACTTTTTGAATAATTTCAGTAGAATCTGAATGTACTTCTGAAGAAGTAGGTCTTTTTATGTTTTTTAGAATTTGGCTATGAATCTGTCTGGTCCAGGCCTTTTTCTGGTGGTGGGTTTTTATTACTGATTTAATTTTGGAACTCGGTATTTGTCTGTTCAGGATTTCAGTTTCTTCCTAGTTCAGTTTTGGGAGGTTGTATGTTTCCAGAAATTGATCCATTTCTTCTAGGTTTTCTCATTTGTATGCATAAAGGTGTTTGTAATAGTCCTTAGGGATTTTTGTATTACTGTGGGGTTGGCAGTAATGACATCCTTGTCATTTCTAATTGTATTTATTTGAATCTTCTCTCCTTTTTCTTTATTAATCTAGCTATTGGTCTATCAATATTTTTTATTCTTTCAAAGCACTGACTTTTGGTTTCATTTATCTTTTATGTGAGTTTTTGCATCTCATTTTGTTCAGTTATATTGTTTTGGTTATTTCTTTTCTCCTTCTACCTTTGTGCTTGGTTCGCTCTTGCTCCTGTTTCCCCTAGGTGTGATGTTAGGTTGTTAATTTGAGATCTTGCTAACTTCTGGTTATAGGTGTTTAGCACTATCAACTTTCCTCTTAACATTGTTTTACATGTATCCCAGAAATTCTTGTATGTTGTGTGTTTGTTTTCATTAATTTCAAAGAATTTCTTGATTTCTGCCTTAATTTTATTGTTTACTCAAAAGTCACACAGGAACAGGTTGTTTAATATACATGGAATTATAGTGGTTCTGAGAAAACTTCTTGGTATTGATTTATATTTTTATTGTGCTGTGGATTGAGGGTGATGTTGGTATGATTTTTAACCTTTTTAAATTTTGTTGAGAATTGATTTATGGCTGAGCATGTGGTTGATCTTAGATTATGCGCCGTGTGCAGATAAGAAGAGTGTATTTTCTGTTGTGATTGGGTGGAGTATTCTGTAGATGTCTGTCAGGTCTATTTAGTCAAGTGTCAAGTTTATATCCAGAATATCTTTGTTAGTATTCTGCCTTGATGATCTATCTAACACTGTCAGTGTAGTGTCAAATTATCCCAATATTATTTTGTGGTAATCTAAGTCTCTTCATAGGTCCTTGAGGTCTTGTTTTATGAATCTGGTGGATCCTGTGTTGGGTGCATATATATCTAGGATAGTTAAGTCTTCTTGTTTAATTGAACCCTTTATTAGTATTTAATGCCCTTCTTTGTCCTTTTCGATTGTTGTTGGCTTAAAGTTTGCTTTGTCTGAAATAAGCACAGCTACTTCCGCTCTTTTTTGTTTTCCTTTTATTTGATAGATGTTTCTTCATTGCTTTCCTTTGAGCCTATGTGTGTCACTGCATGTGAGATGGGTCTCTTGAAGACAGTGTATAGTTAGGTCTTGCTTCTTTTTCCAACTTAGCACTCTGTGTCTTTTCAGTGCAGCATTTAGCCCATTTACATTGAAGATTAATGTTCATATGCTGGGATTATATCCTGTTACCATGTTTTTAGCTGTTTGTTGTGTAGGATTGATTGTATCATTGTTTTGTAGTGTCAGTGGGCTCCCCATTCCAGTGTTTTTATAGTGGCAGGTACCAGTCTTTATCCCCATAGTTAGCACTCCCTTAAGACCTCTTATAAGGCTGGCCTGATGGTAACACATTTCCTTAGCATTTGCTTCTATGAAAAGGATTTTATTTATCCTTTGCTTATGAAACTTAGTTTGGTGGGACATGACATTCTTGGTTGGAATGTCTTTTCTTTTAGGATGGTGAATAAAGGTCCTCAGTCTTTTCTGCTGAAATATCTGCTGTTAGCTTAATGTTGTTCTTTTTGCATGTCACCTGCCCCTCCTCCATAGCTGCCTTTAGGTAGGTTTATTTATTTATTTATTTATTTATTTATTTATTTATCTTGGCATTGACTTTGAAGAATCTGATAACTCTGTTTCTTGAGGATGGTCATCTTGTCTAGTACCTTGCAGGGGTTCGCTGAGTTTTCTGAATTTTCATGTTGACCTCTTCAGCAAGGCTGGGGAAATTTTTATGAACAATATGTTCAAATATGTTTTTCAAGTTACTTGCCCTCTCTCCATCTCTTTTAGGACTGTCAATGAATCACAGTTTTGGTCTGTTTACATAATCCAATATTTCTCAGCGGTTTCGTTCATTTTTAAAATTTTTCTCTTTATTTTTGCCTGATGGTGTTTATTTGAAGGAATATTCCTAGAGCTTTGTGATTCTTTCCTCAGCTTTGTCCATTCTCTTATAAATGCTTCCAATTGCATCCTGAAATTCCTGTAGTGAATTTTTTATCTCCAGAAGTTCAGTTTGCTTTTTTCTTAAAAGGGCTATAATTCTGCTTTCTTTCTTACAATGGCTATGTCATCTTTCAACTATTAAATACTTTTACTCTGTTCCTTGTATTGGATTTCAACTTTCTCCTGTATTTCAATGAATTTCTTTGCCATCCAGATCCTGAATTCTATGTCTTTTCAGCCATTTCACTCTGATTAAGAACCACTGCTGGGGAGCCTGTGCTCTTGTTTGGAAATAAGAAGCCACTCTGGCTTTTAGAGTTGCCAGAGTTCTTGTACTAGTTCTTTCTCATCTGTGTGGGTTGATGTTCCTTTAAATCTTTCAAGTTGCTCCCTTTTGGATGAAGCTTTTTTTTTTGCTTTATATTCTTTGGTGCCCTTGAGGGTTTGACTGTGGTATAACTTGGGTTATACCAATTACAGTCAATTGTCTTCATTTCTGGACGCTTTTGGGCGGGGGAGCAAAACTCAGTTCAGCACTCCTGGGCTATGTGCTGTAATGCTGGAGGGCTGGGAAAAGGCACGTAGCTTTGCTCTCTTGCCTCTTGAGTTTAAGCACCTGCTGTCCTGGAGGAGCTGAGGTGTTCCCAGTTTGCTAGCAACAACATGATGGGGGCTGCTGGCAAAAGCACTCTGGAGGGATAGTAGGGCATCCAAACATGCATGAACATTGGTGAGGTCTAGCAAGGAGGCTGCGAGTGAAGGCACGCCCGGTGGGGAAGACTGTGGGTGAGTATGTGCTGGGCAGTGGAGGAGGCTGCATGTGAGTGCACACTGGCTGGGGTTCATCTGCAAAAGCATTCTGATGGTTAGGTGACATCTGCTGGTCAAAGAGCTATAGCAAGCTGAAGCTGTGCTGCAAGCAGCTGTAGCCAGACAGGAACCCTGGGAAAGGCCAGCAGATAGAGGGGCACTTAGATGATACTGGCCCCTTCCCAGAGGCAAGACAGCCTTACTCTGTCCAGATCCTGAAGCCAAAAATGGCTAGAGCCACCTAGAGGAGTACAGTGATCCTTAGGGGATGAGTTCCTGTGGCTGTGCTCCACTGCAGCCATTCCCATGTCAAACTTTCTGGGAGCTTCTCAGGCTGAAGTCCTGTCTCTGCCAATGCTCCAGACAGTTCTTCCTACCAGCTCAGATGCTGTGAGGGTCCTGGGGTCTCCTACAGCTAGGATCCAGGAGGTCCATGGCTAGAGTGAGCCACTCCATGCCTATTTCGCTCAATGCTTCCCTAGGAGCTGCTCAGGGACAGAAGTGAGTCCTGGTGCTCAGCAAACCAGTGCAGGGTTCCCAGCTTCCTCACCTTTCAGACTGGGTTCTGTGTCCTTCCTCTGTCCATTTTCAGTGCCTTCTTTCCAAAGATCTGTTCACAGCATCCCATTCGTTTTGATGGTTTGGTGTCTTTTGGTGGGAGAGGCTCTTCCTGGCTGCACTAATTGGCTATCTTTGCTCTCATCACATATAACTTTTAAATCTCTCAAAACTTAACTTCTGATAGCTTACTGTTGACTGGAAGCCTTACTGATAACAAACAATAGATTAACACTCATTTTGTGTGTTATTTATGTTATATAATGTATTATTATAATAAAGCTAAAAGAAAAGGAAAGACAATGTTATTAAGAAAATTATAAGGCAGAGAATATATATTTATTATTCATTAAGTGGAATTAGAGCATCATAAGGTCTTTATCCTCATAGTCTTCACAATGAGTAGACTGAGGAAAAGGAAGAGGAGTGGTTGGTCTTGCTGTGTCAAGGGTGGCAGAAATGGCCAGAAAGGCAGGCAAACTTGGTATAAATTTTATCGAAAAAAATTCACATATAAGTGAACTTGTGCAGTTCAAACGCATGTTGTTCCATAGTCAACTGTAGTGTTTTTGAATAAAGTCTTTATATTTTAGTCTGTTTTTTTTTTTTAATTTTTTATTTCTTTGAGACGGAGTCTCGCTTTGTCGCCCAGGCTGGAGTGCAGTGGCGCGATCTCGGCTCACTGCAAGCTCCACCTCCCGGGTTCACGCCATTCTCCTGCCTCAGCCTCCCGAGTAGCTGGGACTACAGGCACCCGCCACCACGCCTGGCTAATTTTTTTTTTTCTTTTTGTATTTTTAGTAGAGACGGGGTTTCACCGTGTTAGCCAGGATGGTCTCGATCTCGTGACCTCGTGATCCTCCCGCCTCGGTCTCCAGAAGTGCTGGGATTACAGGCGTGAGCCACCATGCCCAGCCTAGTCTGGCTATTTTTTTAAGTTTCACAATTGATACAACTGCTGCCAACCCAATACTACAGGTGTTTGAATTAATAGATCAGATTACCATTATTGAAATAAAAGTCTATAACCTTTTACACTTTATATTGTCTTCAAGATATGTTTGCAATAAGATAAAACTTAACTATTATTAAAACTAAAAACTGTAGCAATGGTGGTATTTCTTTAAATGGCTTTAAATGGTATTTCTTTAATTTTATCTTGTTTTTCCATAGATGATTTGTTTTCCATCAGTACCTTTCTCTGGTGACAGTGAAAAAATATTTTCGAAAATCTATTTTAAATTTAACTTCTAATTTACTTGCTGATCAATTCATTTACAAACATTCAATCTCTAATTTAAATGAGGTGTTTCTTTTTTTGTTCATTATGCCCCTCTTCATCCTTCTGGTTCTCTCTGCAGAAGAACTGCCTCTTTGGTCCCAGGCTGGTACAGCAGTAATAAAGGCAATGGCTTCCTTCTAGTGGTCCATTGTTTGCTCTGTAGGCATGGTTGATTGCAGTCTGCAAATGGTGTAGTTTATACTTCCATCTGCACATGGTGTAGTTTATACTTCCATCTGCACATGGTGTAGTTTATACTTCCATCTTTTTTTTTTTATGTAATAGTCAAATTCCTAGAGAGTTTCCTGGATTATTTGGCCTAATCATAACTACTTTCAGATATAAACATTGCTTTGTGAGTGAGTGTTTTGCTCTCTGTTCAGCTTCCTATTCCATCTGTCCACAACCAGCCGCTCCTTTGAATTCTAGTTCTTATATTGGACCTCCAGAAAAAGTCATTAGCTTTCAACTCTGCACTCATGTCCCCTGGAGATTTAAGTAGAACAGAAAGCTAAACTCAAGAGACTTTTACAGTATCATTTATTGCTCTGAACAAATTACTGTGAGTGTGTCTCAAAATTTTGGGATGTTTGGGCAGGGCAGCACAAGATGCCATCTCTATGCAAAACCCTTATCAGAGAACTGAACAAAACGCTTCTTTCTCTGGCCTCAATATTATTGCTATGTACAGATGCTCCTCAACTTATGATTGGGTTACATCCCTATAAACACATCTTAAGTTGAAAATACTGTAAGTTGAAAATGTATTTAATACACTGCTGAACATCATAGCTTAGCCTAGCTTATCTTCAATGTGCTCAGAACACTTACACTAACCTACAGTGGGGAAGCCTATCTGACAACACAGTCCACTGTGGCATATTGATTGCTTACCTTGTGATCATTTGGCTGACTGGGAGTTGCACCTTGCTGCCATTGCTCAACAGCACAAGCGAGTATTGTACTGATTTCTACTGGATAAGCATTACTTTCCAACCACCCTAAAGTCACAAAATTATATGCTGAACCACTGTAACTCAGTACTAGTCTTTGTCTTTATGCAATTTTCTCTTTTCCTGGAGAAGAGTCCAAAGGGAGGAAGTCAGGAGGCACATTTTGACAGCAACATATAGTTTGCTTATTTTTTAAATCTTATCATTATTTTATTAAACAATCTTTTATAACTTTTTTCTGTATTATATAATTTTATGGTCTTGGTGTCAAAGATGGGAGAGATAATTTCTATGGATAAATTATAGTTTATAGGTAAATAAACTGTAGTTCATAGGCAAGGAAAGTCCTCCAGGCTTAGTTGTCTGTCTAGTAAAAGAGGAAGGCTGGAGGTAGCCATACACATACACATTTGTCCCTTGGTATCCATGCAGAATTGGTTCCAGGACCCGTGTGGATACCATAATCTGAGGATGCCCAAGTCCATGATAAAAAATGGTGTAGTATTTGCATATAATCTACACAGGTCCTACCTTATACCTTCAATAATGTGTAGATTGCTTATAATACCTAATGCAATGTAAATGCTATGTAAATAGTTGTTATACTGTATTGTTTAGGCAATAACAAGAAAAAAGTTCTGCATATGTTCAGTACTGACACAATTTTCTCCAAATATTTTTGATCTGCAGTTGTTTGAATCCCCAATTACAGAACCCATGAATACAGGATGACTGTATATAAAGGTTTATATATTATTTTTTAAAATGTATATTTTTATTTAGCACATTATTTTTTAAAATTTTGGCTTATAAGATTATTTCTATTATAATAATTCTATGTTTCATGTAAGAGGCTGAATATTACCTATGTTCTGTATTTCTACATGTTTAATTCCATACCCCTTCTCATTTCCACATCTCACCCCATTTAGACTAGCCAATGGATGTTTTGGGGCAACTAGGAAAACAACAGGTATTAAGGGAGATAAACATAGAAAAATCATAATTAAAAATTAATGTCCCCATTGTACATCAAGAAGTAGCATAAGTTAACTTTCAATATCTATCTATATGTCTCTCTCTCTCTCTTTCTCTTTATCCATTCACCTATTATCTGGAGTAGTAATAGAAAACTCAATTAGAAGTGAAAGTGGACTGAGAAATAAAACAATTCAAAAAAGACTAAGTGGTTTATGTGAATACATAGGTTTTCACATAGTGGTTTACTTTGGAATACAAAAGGTCTAACTTCACTTTTACCAAGTTAGAAATTTAAAAATAATTTGTAGAAAGTATTTTGCTTTTTAAAAGTTTAGTTTCTACTTATATAGAAGAGTCATAAAACATTTTAAAGTTTTATGTTATAAAGGTCTTGAAAGAAAAATGTCCTTGGCCCATAATTATGTTTCATTTCATAATCTGTTAGGTCCTATATCTCAGTGTAGTTAAAGACCTGAAAGGGTAATTTGCATGTTTTGATGGGAAAATCTTAGAATGGAATTTTAATATCCTTCTGCACTTGATTAAAATAAAGGTGAAAACTTGAATCAGTGCATTAAATGTCTATAACTCTCACCTCTTCTCAGTATACAGGATTTTATAGCTTTACTAAAATAATTCCCATGTCATAAAGGAGCAGAACTTAAAAAGTCATTCTTACCTGTTTGTGCACACACTTGCCCATTCTCTCAGCGTGTTCAGGAACAGTCCATCTGTTCTTTTGATTTGACTTTTACATTTTTACTCAATTTGTTCATGTCTGAAGCCAGATTGCTAAATTTCTTTTACTTGTTTTTTCTAATTATTCAATTTAATACATAATATATTTAAATACTTTTTTGACATTTAGTCAATCACTATTTATAGATAATCTACTGTGATCTGGGTAATGTCCTAGATTTTTAGAATATGTTAATAAACAGAACAGAAAAAAAAGGAACCCTATCCTCATTGAATATTTATCATATTTTACATTTTAAGCCCCACCTTTCTTACCCTCTTTGGATAGATTACTTTTCACAAAACACAATAAATCATTTCGTATCAATCATGTTACTTAACATGAATTCAGAATAGTTGCAAATAATATCATAGTATTCAAGCATGGCAACTTTTTGTTTACTCTTGCACAAGTGTTAGCCATGTCTGGAATTTGCTTTAGAATTTCTAGGTCTAAAGGATTTCCATTGTTCACATTAGGACAATATGACAGGCAAAAGAAGTATGAATTTTCTTCATTAAAGGTAAAGACCAGGAGATCCAAAGACTGAGAACAACCAACAAAAATACACACACACACACACACACACACACACACACACACACACACACTTACATACATATTCCTATGTGCAATGTAAAGACTTACAATAAAGGCAGTTTGAGAAAATACTGGCTTTGGCTGCTACAAAAATCCAGCTCTAATTCTAAATCATACGAGACATTTTTAAAACATAGATGTTATTAGCTAGCTTCTTATCACAATCCCATTGCTTATTATTTTAAGATTTTGCCTACCCTGTATTCATTGCATACTTTTCAATTGGTGGTTTCACAACAAATGCTTCTTTTTCTCTTTCTTTTCCTTCTCCTTTCCATCTCCTACTCCTTCTCCTCTTCTTCTTTCCCTAATTTCCCCACATAAAATATTTCAGACCAAGTAAAAGGAGTTTCTTGGTGGGCAGTCTCAAAACAGACTTTGTGATACGCAATTTGCTGCCTAGAAAATATGCTGGATGTATTATACATTAGTGATATAGATGCTAATTAAATAGGCATATTTTGTGCATGAATGCACTCACTAAACAAAAAAGGGATGAAACATGATAAGGATCACAGATGCCCAAACACTAGTGTTGGTTTAAGTCTTGTCTCAGCCTATTGCAGAGTATTATATGGTGGATTAAATTATTTAAGTAAGGAAAAAACACAGTGCCTGGCTCACACCTAATTTAAAAAAATCATCATTATCATTATAAACAAAACCACTACAACTGTTATCATCATCTTAAAAGGAACATTGGGACTTTATATTGGGTGAAAGAGCACATTTTTTAGCACACTATTGTAAATGTGTCTATGAATCATACATAAATAGTCGAATTTCAAAGTTTTGTTTTGTTTTGTTTTGAGATGGAGTCTCACTCTGTCGTCATGCTGGAGTGCAGTGGTGCTATCTTGGCTCACTGCAACCTCTGCCTCTCAGGTTCAAGCGATTCTTCTGCCTCAGTCTCCTGAGTAGCTGGGACTACAGGTGTGCGCCACCACACCCAGCTAGTTTTTGTATTTTTAGTAGAGATGGGTTTTCACCATGTTGGCCAAGATGATCTCGATCTCTTGACCTCGTAATACGCCCACCTCGGCCTCCCAAAGTGATGACCAAGTTTTAAATTCACACTTACAAAGGAGTATTCAGACTACTGAGTACCGCATACAAAAGGTATGCAGGAGTACTGAATATATTTTCTTTTTTTGATAAATAATTCAGGAGTCCTACATTTAAGTAACATACCACAAGCAGCCCCTGGGCAGTCTTTTCAATTTTCCTAATAAATATCTATGGAAACAGAACAAGATGAAAACTCACAACCCTAAAAAACTTAAAATTCCACGCAAAATATTGGTGGAATATAGAGAAACTCTTACTACCTTACTTTGATTTGAAGATGAATTTAGACAGAAATAAATGCTTTCACTAAAAACCAAAGGCTTTTATTAACCAGAAAACTCAACAGACTCAACTGGTCTTTGATAATGTTGCTCAGTTAAATTTCACTTTCTCAGAGTCTTTTCCCCTCCCAAATTACCAGAGGCTTTTGTTAAAATGCTATTTCCTTCAGACTGTTTCTCTGATAATGCATTTCATATTGATCTGTTGGACTATCTCTGTCTCAACTCTCTTCGTTTCTCTATCACAAAGTATGGAGCAAGATGATGATTTATTTCTGGTTCCCATCCCATCCTCAGAGTCGGGTGCAGTGCCTGGCACAAAAGAGAACAATTGATATTTTTGAATAATTAATTATTTTTTTCCCATCAAACAGTCTTATAAGTGACAGAAAAAGTGAGATAGGAGGACAGAGCAACACACTGCATCTTAAAAAGTCTTCCCCAAAAGTCAAATTTTATATATGGTAACAAAAAAAAATAGAAGTCTAATTGCAACCCAGAGAGAGAATAGTAGTGTTTTAAATAATCTAATTAGAATATAAAATATTCAGGAAGAAGGAACAGAAAGGAGGATAAATATTTATCTTGGTAAGAAAATTTCTATGGGCTGGAATGCCTGCTATGTAGTGGTGATTGTGTGGGCTATAGTGCAGAGTTGCCTGTGGTAGTTCATAGATCTGAGGGCTGACGCTGAGTGTGGCAAAGTGAGTAGACACATTTGAAAACTGAACAATTTGCCTCTTCAAACACTAAGTCTGGATCAATTTATAAGAAGTAAAGTCCTACCGTATCATTGCCATAGATCGAATCAGTGACATGGAATAAATAATCACATAGCACAGAGTAAATAGAGAAAGAAGAAAAACAACAGGATAGCAACTGCAAAGAACAAATAATAGATATCTACACTGAGGTATTCTTGGGGAGGAGATTAGAACAATAAGTGAAGAATATAATAAAACTTGACCAAAGTGTTTTAAAGATCACATATAGGAAGATTCACTACATCAAATATGTTAATTATCTCAAACATAATCAGTAGATACAATGTAAATTTAATCTGAATCTTGAGTGTCTTTCTGAAAAACAGGACAAAGTGGTCTTGTATGAAAGAGGAAATTTATGAGAATACCCAAGAAGCTTTTTAAGAGGAAAAACAAGCTGGATGCAACTACTATACAAATTACATCTGTAATAACTAAGACAGCGTGGAACTGGCAAACAAATGGACAGATTGATAAATGAAACAGAGCAGAAAGCACCGGAACAGACTTGCGCATATATGAAAACTTAATTATAGCAGACTTGGTATTGCAGAACAATGAAGGAATAATTGAGTCTTAAGTAAAGTCTAGGGGACAGTTGGTGCCAATTTGTAAAAACAAAGAGACAAACAAGTTTAAAATTAAGTCCACATGTCACACTATATAATAATATCAGCTTCAAGTGAGAACCAAATTTGAAAAGCATACTTTAAACTTTCAGAAGAATGCATTAGAAAGCACAATTTCTTTTTCTTTCTCTTTTTTTTTTTTTTTTTTTTTTTTGAGATGGAGTTTTGCTCTTGTTGCCCAGGCTGGAGTGCAATGATGCGATCTCAGCTCACTGCAACTTCTGCCTCCCAGGTTCAAGTGATTCTCCTGCCTCAGCCTCCCCAGTAGCTGGGATTACAGGCATGCACCACCACCACGCCCGGCTAATTTTGTAGTTCTAGTAGAGATGGGCTTTCTCCATGTTGGTCAGGCTGGTCTCAGACTCATGATCTGCCCACCTCGGCCTCCCAAAATGCTGGGATTACAGACTTCAGCCACCGTACCCAGCCAAAAAGCACAATTTCTAAACAAAATCTAGGGATATGTTTCTTAAGCCAGATGCAAAAGTATTTAAACATGCAGAGCAAGAGTGTTATATTTTACTGCATTAAAATTACAAGAATCAAATAATATCTTTGTAATAAAAATCAAGAAAAATCAACAAATTCCCAGTGTAATATCAGTACTCTGAATAATACATTTTAAAAACTACAAATCAATTAAATGAGAAAATATGCCAACCGATTAAAAAGTTCCCAAAAAGGAAAATATTGGAAAATAATAAAAACCTCAGATGATTAATTTTATTAGCTATTAGGAAAATGCAAAAATCACATTGAAGAACAATGTTACCCCCATTTAATTGATAAAAATAAAAATGTCTCTTATGTAAAATATTTCGGAACACTAGATGACTGGAGTATAAATTAATGTTGCCATCTTACAAATCAGTTTGGTATAACACTTTAAATTTGAACATGTGTCTAATATAGTCATAAACATTAGAGAGATTTTTGTTCACACTCTAGAGAAGAGAGACATGAGAATGTCCAATGTGTAATTGCTCATAATAAGATAAAATTGAATTGAATTGAAATGTCCATACCCAGGAGAATAAATACATTTTTGCACAAAAACACAAGTATTAAAAACAGTAAATACAATGGTAAAAATGAAATATGTGCAATTGTAAAAACTGAATATATGAAATAGTATATATACAATGGTACAAATCAATAAGTACAATCACACACATAAATAGTGAAGAATCTTACGAACATAATGGTATGCTTAAAAAGTAAGTTCCAGAAGAATAAGTACATTTTAAAATAAAATATTTATTTTAAAGCAAAACAAAAATAACCATAAAGTAAGCAAAACTAATTAACATCATAACTAGGGATACATACAGTCAAATTATAAGTGAAACACATGAATAATAAACACAAAATTCAACATATTATTCACTTCTTAAGGGAATATAAAGATATTATAAATGGTACCCAGGTAAGTTCCAGTGATATTAAATAATGCATTATTTGTTAAGTTGGGTGTTGTGCTCTTAGTTGTTTATGTTATAAATTATATGACATAACCTTCATATACATTATGAATATTCACCTACATTAAACCAATATTAAAATAATGTATCATGGAATAAAAATATGATTGCTTTAAACTAGAAAAACTCAATAATAAATAGCATATATGATTGACATCGAGTTGAAAACAATTATAATAAATGTGACATTCATAAGTTTGTTCATTAAACTTATGAATTCAGTCAGAATGAAGAATGAAGGGAAGAAGAAAAGAAAAAAAGAAAAGAGAGAGAAAAATGAAGAAAGATGGAAGGAAGGAAGGAAGGAAAGAAGGAGAGAGAGAGAGAAACAAAAAAATCAAGATACACACAGGACTTTGCAGAACAAAATCTATAGGTGTGGGCAAAGGGACAAACATTGAAGAGAAAAAAATTAACGATTCTACATCTAGACTATTCAAAATCAAAATTTTTAGAAAGAAACTTGGCAAAGCTAACGAAAGGGTAAATCATACTACACACTGTGGGATACCAATTATTGACAGCAAATGACTCATTGGTAAAAATGCAGTTCAGCACAATATTCAAATTGCTGAGCAAATTTCACTATTTTAATGTTTTATTGACAATTAAACTGTCATTTGTAAGTAAAAGATAAATTCATATCTGTACATAAAAATAATATAGTTTAGTCTATTCAGATATTCATTAAAATTTCATTAAAGAATATTCAGTAAGAAAAAAGTAAACCCCTGAAGAAAGACAGTATGTAAGAAATGATGAAAACAAATATTAATATATATATATATCAGCACATCTAATTAAGCAAAGGCTAAAAATATAATAACTAGTAGTTTTGTTACACTAAGACAAAGTTTCCTAGAAAATCTGAGAAAAAGATGGAAAAAAATAAGGTAAGTAGAATAAAAATAAATAATATAATTAATGACAGATATTTTATGCATTACCATTATTGCCAATGTGCTCTTTAAACTCAGCCCTGACACTAACAACTAAATGAAATATTTTGTGATATTTGTGCAATTTACCAATATGATTTTGAATGTGATTTTCTAATATAATACATACATTAAAGCTTCAATAAATTAACCTAGAATCAGTCAAATAAATTTACTTATAGAACAAAATAATATCTCACTGTGATAACACTTATAATAAATTTAAAAGCATTTTAAAAGAAATTCTTTTGAAAGTAGATAGAAATAAGGAATAACTTCATATTTTGTATAATGCAAACTACAACAAGCCAATTAATTAGAACAAAGTGAGAGCTAAACCAAGAGTAAGTGAGGATTTTAGGAAGGCAAAATGCTTTTCTATATTAACATTACTTTTAGGTGACAAATTATAATTGTATACATTTATGAGGTACAATGTGATGTTTTGATATATGTATATAATGTGGAATAATTAAATCGAGTTAACATAGCCATCACCTAATGTACTTATTTTTTTTGTGGTAAGACATTTGAAATTTAGTCTTTTAGCTATTTTGAAATATAGCATATATTATTAACTATAGTCAACGTGATCATGACTAGTCAGTATCCTTCCAAGAGACTACTTAATTTTTTTTAATTTTAAAGAATAATATTTTATTGAATAAGTTTTATTCACAGAAAAATAAGCTTTAATCTACAATGAATGCCAGATTATACAGCAGAAAGCAATTTTCTTAGTTTTCCACACTGATAGAAAGGTTCTTACTAAGCGAAAAAAGTCATAAAATTATGTTCACAAATATAGTACTCTGCCTCAAAACATTTCACATGATTATTCCCAATACTAATACAAAGAGATCAGTCATTCAGTCAGGTAAAAGTATAACAGTAATGAAAAAAATGCAAAATCTAACATAAATTACATTAAAACCTTTGTTACATCAAATCAAAACTGCAAATTTCTTACTAAATCCAGAGAAATGGTAAAATATACAATAATTTAAAATATTACATTAATGATACAGAATAAAAGTGGTAAACTCCAAAAATCTATAGGCATATCTGCAAACTTCAGACTTCAAAGTAGAATCTGACCACCCAAACAATTAATGTAGCATTCGTCTAATTTTTGTTTTGTTTTGTTTTGTTTTTGAGACGGAGTCTCACTCTATCACCTAGGCCGGAGCACGGTGGTGCCATCCCCGCCCACCGCAACTTCCGCCCGCCAGGCTCAAGCGACTCTCCCGCCCCAGCCGCTCCAGTAGCCGGGACCACAGGCATGCGCCACCACGCCCAGCTATCCCTACATTTCTGTAGAGACAGGGTTTCATCATGTTGGCCAGGGTGGCCTCCAACTCTCAACCCCAGGCGATCCGCCCGCCTCAGCCTCCGAAAGTGCTGGGACTACAGGCGCGAGCCACCGTGCCCGGCACCATTTGTCTAATTTGAAGATACAATTGTCCCTTGCTATCTATGGGGTTTTGGTTTCACGACCCTCTAGGACCTGAGGATGCTTAAGTCCCTTAGATAAAATCACACAATTGGGAGGCCGAGGCGGGCGGATCACGAGGTCAGGAGATCGAGCACATCCTGGCTAACACGGTGAAACCCCGTCTCTACTAAAAATACAAAAAATTAGCCGGGCGTGGTGGCAGACGCCTGTAGTCCCAGCTACTCGGGAGGCTGAGGCAGGAGAATGGCGTGAAACCAGGAGGCGGAGCTTGCAGTGAGCCTAGATGGCGCCACTGCACTCCAGCCTGGGCGACAGAGCGAGACGCCATCTCAAAAAAAAAAAAAAAAAAAAAAAAAATCACACAAGGCCGGGCGCAGTGGTTCACGCCCACAGTCCCAGCACTCTGTGAGGCAGAGGCAGGCAGATCACCCGTGATCAGGGTTCGAGACCAGCTCAGCCAACACCGCAAAACCATCTCTACTTTGTTGCCCAGGATGGAGTGCAATGGCGCAGTCTTGGCTCACCGCTGCCTCTGCCTCCCAAGCAGCTGGGACTGCGAGCGTGCTCCACGGTGCCCATAAAGTGCTGGGATTGCAGGCGTGAACCACCACGCTCGGAGTTTTTTTTTTTTTGTTGTTTTTTTTTTTTCAAGACAGGAGTCTCGCTTTCTCACCCGGGCTGGAGTGCGGTGATGCCATCTCGGCTGGCTGCGGCCTCTGCCTCCTGGGTTCTGGCGCTTCTCGGGCCCCGGCCCCCCGGGTGGCTGGGATTGCAGGCACCCACCACCAAGCCCGGCTAATTTTTGTATTTTTTTGTAGAGACTAGTTAAAATTTTAACTAACTTTATGGTTCCGAAGCAGAATTCATTTTGAAACAAGCCATTATACATATAATTTTAGTAAAAATATCAATAATATAATAATTAAAATATAAATGTAGGTTTGCAATTATTGAATTAAGATGTATAAATTTCTAGTTGACATTTAAAACCCTACGATGATAAAACGTATCAAAGAAATACTCTTTTTCTTCGGGAAATAATACGCTGTCGTTTCAAGTGAACAAAAGCTGGTTATTACACACTTGAATACTGAAAAGCTAAGAATTACTTTTTCTGTCCTTATTCATTATGTATTTAGAAATCTTAAATAAATGTAGCATTTATTCTAGACTAGTACACTTAGATATATGACTACGTTATCACTCATGAAGCCATCGAGGACTCAAGAGGAAAAGCAGTAGGTTGTAAAAAGATAGAATTAATAATTTATATTTGAAACTCTTGATTTGACTGTTTTCTACCACTGAAACTCTCTATATTTAAAACGCATGCTAGTGAAGACAGATTCACTTAAAGTAATCCTGAGTCATAAACACTTCAGTGAGCCAAAAGTATAATTTAATAGCAAGAGAAGTGGAGCTTTGAACAGAGAAAAGGAGAAAATTGTATTATTAAAATGCTTGCCAAGAAGGTGAGCATGTTCAATTGACTCCCATTTTTTGGGACGTTTACTCAGAAGTATCCCATATTTCTAAAAATCAGGTCAAGTTTGTTATTGTGTTAATGCACTTTTGTGATTAATTTTACTAATGAAGAATATCCATTTTCACAAAGCATATGTAAAAATAGTTCATTTTTGGATAAAAGAGATTTGCAAGGTCAATTGAGCTACTATATAATACAGAATAGATGCATTTCACTTTTTTTAAGTAAAATAAAACTAAATTATGCTACCAATAAGGAAAATAAAGAAGCGTTTTAGTTTTCATGCAATTGTAAAATTAAGAATCACAATGAATAGAAAAATAGATTTAGCTAGGTACAGGTATTTCAATCATGTTAAAATTTAGCGGTGTATAAAAGAAAATGTCTCTCTGGAAAGTCGAAGTTATATTTTTTTAAGGATTTATAGTAGCATGAATCACAAAAAAAAAGTTTACTACAAGCTGTAGCTAAAATGTATTTGTTTTAGTCAAAATGGTAAGAAACCAATTAAAATTACTTATCATGTTCCCAGAGCCAGCTTTAGAATTTGGTTTAAATTAAAACTCTATTTTGTCTTTTTAAAAAATCAATGCTATTTGAAAAAGTATCTCCCTGCTTTAAATTTAATTCTGGCATACTTGATGAAGATTCAAAATAGATAAATTTCCAGATGCTGCCAGTGTGGTCTTGAGGACACAATTTTAAAACACTGCCGTGATGTCTTTGATACTAGTTTCCGGCCAGATTACTGAAGGGAATAAATTAAATATCAAGAGAGTAACATAATTATAAGCCCATAGAAAGAAAATGTAGAAGAATCAATATTTATTTCCTTGTTTTTTTTTGCAGTTATTAAAAGTTGGTTATAAGGACAAGTAATTATTTTGTTAGTGCATTCAACATACATATCTAGTATATTTATTTAGCATAAATAGTGGAGTGTACTACATCTAAAAAGGGGAAATTAAAGTATAACACAATTATTTATTTGATATTAATAGAAATTATCTGTGCAACAAAAGTCAAACAGATGTCAAAGCTCCTTAGTATACTGGAATAACACAAAAATATATCTCCACAAAGCTAGTTATAGAAGCACAGGGATTTCAAGAGGGGCTTAAAACCTGGGAAGTGTCTTCCCTTGGTTTCCTGGAGCAGGAAGGGAGCTGACCCTCTGCCATCGAGGGGAGGCTGAGGCAGGAGAATGGCGTGAACCCGGGAGGTGGAGCTTTCAGTGAGCCAAGATGGCGCCACTGCACTCCAGCCTGGGAGACCAGGCGAGACTCCGTCTCAAAAAAAAAAAAAAGTTCATAGGCAGCTGTGATCACCAACAGCAATTTTCCATAGATCCTGAAACTTCCTTACTCTCTAAAAACCAGTGGTGAATCTGACTGCCAATAGATACTTCCAATAGATGACCCTCTTTCCTTTAGCTTTGACAATCATTTTTGATTACCCATTCCTTGTATAACAATCCCTTCCTACTTAGAATAAGTATAATGGCCTTGGTCTTCATGTTTAAACTCTGACCAATATGGACAGGTGTCATCGTTTTTACTAAGATGTTAAAGAGGGGCTTTTAAATGAAGGTGACCCTTGAACTGAGATTTTAAGTTATTCCACAGACACAAGAGATGGAGGACTTCTAGACAGAGGAAACAACATGAGCAAGCCACAAGACTTAAAATTCCATTGTATTTTTTGCAAACAAATAGTGTGTATTAAAAGTATTTACAACAGAAAAAGGATTAATGACATCTGGCATAATCAGGGGAGGTGTGTTGAAGACATTGGGTTTTGAAAAATGCACAGTACTCAGGAATATAAATAGGAGAATCTCTACTCTGATTTGAATGTAAAATATTTCAGACTGAGATGAACAAAAGATCACAAGAAAATTAGTAAAACTAGTGTTTCGAGTTAGAAAGACATTACTCATCAGACTGTAAGAGGCTAAGTTTGAGACGTGAGTTGACACTAAACAGGTCACATATGTGATGGTTTTACATATGATAAAATATTTTTTGAAGTTAAATACATACTGAATATTTTTTGTTTGCTCCTCTAGATGCACTTTTTACTCTTCTTAACTCTGTTTTCTACTCTGGTTCCTGAGCTAATAGACTGATTCTATCATTTCTGGTTAGGTTGGGCTAATAGAAGGCACTAGCGTGGGACCTGGAAGGCACAGGATGGTCAGGTTGGGATATTTGGTCTCCAGCTACCTCCATGCTGGTTTTCTGAGAGTAAGTACACCACAGTAGCAGAAGCTCAAGCCCTACTTGTAGTTGTCTTCTTGGGTTCTGGTAATTCTCCTTCCTCTTGTCCTTTCAGGTCCAGCAGAGGGCCCAAATCCTCCACTAGTAAGCCCTTCCCATGCTGGCTGGCTTTCCTAAATCTGGCGCAAATCTTTGTGTCATGTCTTTTGTCAGGAGCTCAGCTGAACTGTGAGAGGGAAATGAGCTGCTAAGTGTCAGAAAAGCCAGTAAAAAGCAACAAGTCAAGAGTGGAAAGAGGTAAGCCTTTCAAGAACCTAAAACTGGGGAAATTGCCACTACAGCTTGGGAAATTGCACTGGATCAACACAGTTGTGAGGGTTGTCTCACTGTGGAGGGAGTCCTCAAACTAAAGACTCTGCCAGTGTTATGCACAATGAGGTGAGGTGAGGTGCTGGTGCTGGTGAAGGAGGAAGGCTAAGAGTGGAAAAGTGCTGGGTGCTGAGTCAGAGAGAGAAGTGTCTCTTCAAGGTCTTCTCCTCCTCCCCACATAAGGAGACCTCAGCAGACATGCCTGAAGAACACTTCTGCCCAAGGCTTCTGTATTAATTTATTCTCACATTGTTATAAAGAAATTCCTGAGATTGGGTAATTTACAAAGAGAGGAGGTTTAATTGGATCACAGTTCTGCAGGCTGTACAGGAAGCATAGTGGCTCCTGCTTCTGGGGAGGCCTCAGGAAACTTACAATCGTGGCAGAAGCAAAGGAGAAGCAGGCACATCTTAACATGGCTGGAGCAGGAGGAAGAGAGAGGGCAGGGAAGGTGCTACACACTTTCAAACAAGCACATGCCCTGAGGCCTCCATCACAAGAACAGCACTGAGGGGATGGTGCTACACACTTTCAAACAAGCACATGCCCTGAGGCCTCCATCACAAGAACAGCACTGAGGGGATGGTGCTAAACCATTGGAAGCCACCCCCATGATCCAATCTCCTTTAACTAGACCCTACCTTCCCGCATTGGGAATTCCATTTCAAAATGAGATTTGGGTGGTAGCAGATCCCAACCATATTAGCATCAGATAAAGAGACATAGGAATGAAAGCACCAGGCTAGAAATTTATCCAAAGAACATGATTTGATAGAGGAGCTCGAGTCCCTGACTGACTTGACTCTTGAGAGACTGCAATGCTCTGGCTGTGCACCAGGCCTACTGTAAGGAGGGCAGCTTTCCTCTTGAGGCTTGCCAGGTAGCCTTTGTAATTGCACATGGTCAGGCATCAAAAATCATACATAGGTTTTAAACCAAGAGCAAATCTCCTTATCTTTCAAGGTCAGCCAGGAACCTAATCAATGCAGTTACTGTTGCAGAGCCTCAGAATGAGATTCTGAGATCGGTTTGTTCACATTTTTGAAGAGCACACAGAAACCTCCTTCTTGGTGTATAGTTGTGAATGACAGGGTTAATCCTTGGCTTACAGTGGTCTCATAATTACTCAAATTAACACCAATGTCTACTTAGAAGGCAGTGCCGGTGGCAGTAAGATGTTGGGAGCTCTATAGCTCTGGCACATAGTCATCAGTAATAATAATTTAAAAATAACATATCGTGAAATAAACTGGCTGCCTTAGAATAACTAACTAACATGCTCAAACAAATTTGTAGACTATATATCTTTTTCTTTTTAAAGATCATTGCCATTGAATATTAATTGCATAAACTCACTCAAATATTTCAATTAACAACAAAATCATATATAAGAATTGTAAATTTATTGATATTAATAATTTAAATATATGCTGCATATATCGACTAAAAATATATATGTAAAATTATATGGAGAGAGAATACAATTGTATTATGTCCTTCATGTTACCATGATAACAATGTGACCATATATTTTCAAAATAAGTTCTATATAAATACATCTGAGAACCATTTGTCTGCTATTTTAAATGTGTGATCAAGTAGTCTAGATTACCTAAGGATAGACAATCTACATTTCAGAGACTGGTATCAGTAGCCTCTAAAACGTTGTTAACTAGTTCTCTTCAGGCCTCGACATGATCTTTGGCCTTAGAAGGAATACTAAAAAGATTAACCTTTTTTTTCTAGTTAGTTGCAACTAGGTAAATATAAAATCAAAATTCTTTCATAAACAACATGTCATTATCTCATAAATAAAATGTCTTTTCAAAAAAAGTAATAAAAGAGAAATAAGGATATATTTTAGTTGATATATATAGAGTACCTTCCCTTCCAGTCATTTATTTTCCTTGAATACAGAACTAAATCAGTTAGCATTCATGAAACTTTTACTATGCTCATAGAATTTTCCTTGCCTTGGTGTTATGTTGTATAATGAATACATTGGTTTGAGATTTCAGTTTTTACATTTATACATTATTTTTCACTAGAATTTAGGTAAAAACTATGAAAAAGGCACATACTAAATTTAAATTCCTGAGAAATAAGAATGTAGTACGATGTCTCATGTGCACCTAGATCACAGAGAGGTAACAACATGACTTTAAGTAATGACCAGAGGAATACATGGTCTCTCTCTCTCACCTCTGCTTCCTTCTCAGAACCACTGGGACCTTTACAAAAATGGAATCGAAAACTCTTTAGTGGTTCGTTTCTGGCATAAAGCCCTAGCTTTCATTTGGTGCAATGGGGCATGGGCTATTTACTTTCCAAAAAGTATAATTATTGATCAATTTATTTATAATAAAACCGAGTCAACCAAAAACAACAACTAAACACTTATTTAACTTCCCAAATGTTAATAAATTCCAAAGATAGCATCTTGAGCAAATAATTTGGTTCAAAATCTCCCATTTATTGGCTACATTTTCACTAAACATCACATTTGTTCATCTAAAATAACTTTTCGAACTCTTTTAGATAGAGACATAGTATAATATCTCACTTACACGTAAACATTTACAGTCTATTGAGTATTATTACAGAATCCTACATAAATATGCTGCTTTTTTATGATCCAATATAAATATGTTTTATAAGATAGGTGACAGTTTGCAAATGATAAAATATTGATTTAATTTAAAAAATGCATATTACTTGTGTATATAAGACTGGGAATTGTGTTAAAATTATTTTTGCAATAATCATTCCTGACATTTATACTGAGAATTAGAGAACCTTCACAAATAACCTCATTTGATTCTTACATCTACTTTGTGATGTAGGGCAGGAAATAGCCTTAGAGAGGTTAAGTGGCTTGTCCAAAGTCCAAGTATTAAGAGGCAGCAATAAATCCAGAAATCAGGTTTTTTTTACAAGGTCATTCCTCTTTATACACTAATACTCTAATGGACCTGACACACACAAAAAACTTTATTAACATAATATAATGTAATATAATACAATATAATATAATTGGTTGTATTTCTCTTACTTAAGAAAACATTTTTGCATTGAAAAATGAAAACTTACAGAAAATAAAACTAAGAAAACTGAGGAAAACAGATATTTTCATATTTTAACATTTAATTATTATTTCCTTTGTGTAATATAAATACACATTTTACATATCAAATTTAATGGGCTTTAAGGAAAATATATTCTATTCAATTTCATACTAGCTTAAATGTTCTGAAAAAATGTTGGTATTATCAATAATAAGATCTAAATCCAAATTAGGGTTATGTTCTTTCTGGACCATCTCCTTAAATTTTAAAGGCTACTTTCCCTTTCTGTCATCTATCATCACAGTCTAAATCAGAAGACTTTTTTGTTCTGGGCAGGAGCAAGCTCACTGTCCTCTGGGGGCACACTGTGCAGCCATCCCTGCCCTCTTAACTTGAACAGGTACTATCATCCCAAGCCTGTGCATCCATGGATCTGCCCTCTGAGCCATTCTTTCTTCATTTTCTCCCTTTTCTGTTCCTTTCAGTCAAGGCTGGCAACATTCGATTGACATAAATTCTCAAACTCTTGTCAGTCCCCTGCACAATTCAAGAGAGTTTAAGCCATTAAGTGGGCCCTCCATAAATGTTTTCTGGATAACCACATCTCTATTCATGGTGTTTGCTAAGATAGTTGATTGGATCCATGTGTCACACACCTATGGTCTTTAGCATAGCTGTCCAACCACTTGGATGCTTTTTCCAGTGGATGCTTTCAAATTTATTCATCTCACACTTTTGACTTTTAGTTCTTTGTTTTGTTTAAGCAAGTTTTTACTAGCCCTAAATACTTTCAGCTATACCACACTAAATGTTCTTAAATTTCAGTTTTGATACTTTATCTTTAATTGGACCTGTGTTTTGGAGTATGATGTAAAATAGGGATCTAATTTATTAATTTGCATATAGGCAAATTTTCAATTGTTCAAGAAAAGTTGATTAAATAGTTCACCAATCATTAATTGGTTCAGTAAAATATACTTTTGATATTTTTATTGAAATTACATTGAATTTATAGTGTAATATGAAAAATATTAAGTTTTAATATTAAATTTTCACATTCATGAACATACTTATCTGATCATTGTAAATTGAATTCATTAATAGCCCAGTTTATAACTTCTGTCCACATATTCTTGCCGTGTGACTTCCCAGTTTCTCTCACTACAAAGGTGATATTATTTCACTGTACCTCAATTCTAGACTGGCTTTGTAATCTACTTTGGTCAATATGATATTATCGAAGGGTAAAACAAGAAGAGGCATTTAAGGCAGCTAGCACATTCATTTGTTTTTTCTTGCTCCTCTGTCATAGCCAAAAAGGCCAGCCTGTTAGAAAGAATGAAAGACTCATGGCCAGGTCACTCCACGGCCCCAGATGTTCATCACAGTCTCCATACTACAAATAAATCTCCCAGCTGTAGTCAGCTGAAATAATTATTGTTTTAAGCCATTGAGTTGCGGAGCAAATTGTTACATAGCATTCTTGAGGTTATTTAAATAGTGATACACACTCAAGCTATTGAAGTTGATGTATGGAATATAATACAAATGATGTATGGAATATTCTCCTGAACATTTTTTTATTTCTTTCCCCCAAGTTTACTCTTAAATATCTTATAATTTTTGTTGATTTTATTACTACAATATTTTGTCTATTTTATTTTATTGTTAAGAAACTCTTTGCATGCTACTAACTTTTGCATGCTAATGTCATGGAAAACACACTTTTAAATACTCTGATACTTTTGCTGCAAAAACAGTAAAATACCTGGGAATATATCTAACCAAGGAGGAGAAAGATCTCTATGAGAAAAACTACAAAACACTGCAGAAATAAATCACAGATGACACAAACAAATAAAAACACATCCCATGCTCTTGGATGGGTAGAATCAATGTTGTGAAAATGAGCATACTACCAAAAGCAATCTATAAATTCAATGCAATTCTCATCAAAATACTACCATCATTCTTTAAAGAACTAGAAAAAGCAATTCTAAAATTCATATGTAAACAAAATGAGCCTACATAGCCAAAGCAAGACTAAGCAAAAAGAACAAATCTGGAGACACTACATTACCTGATTTCAAAGTATACTATAAGGCCATCATCAATAAAACAGCATGGTACTGGTATGAAAATGGCACATAGACCAATGGAACAGAATTGAGAACCCAGAAATAAACCCAAATACTTATAGCCAACTGATTTTCAACAAAGGAAACAAAAGCATAAAGTGAGGAAAGGACACTCAATTAAACAAATGGTGCTGGGATAATTGGCAAGCCACATGTAAGAAAATGAAGCTTCATCCTCATCTATCACCTTATACAAAAATCAGCTCAACATGGATCAAGGACTTAAATCTAAAACCTGAAACAATAAAAATTCTAGAAGATAACTCTGGAAAAAATGTTTTAGACATTGGGTTAGACAAAGATTTCATGACCAAGAATGCAAAATCAAATGCGACAAAAACAATGATAAATAGGTGGGACTTAATTAAATTAAAGAGTTTTTGCATGCTAAAAGGAATAGTCAGTAGAGTAAACAGATAACCCACAGAGTGGGAGAAAATCTTCATAATGTATACTTCTGACAAAACATTAACATCCAGAATCTACAAGGAACTCTAGGAAATTAGCAAGAAAAAAACAAACAATCCCATAAAAAAGTGGGTTAAGGATGTGAATAGACAGTTTTCAAAAGAAGATCTACAAATGGCCAAAAAACATGAAAAAATGCCCAACATCACTAATGATCAGGGAAATGCAAATCAAAACCTCAATGCAATAAGACCTTACTCCTGCAAAAATGGCCATAGTAAAAAAAATAAAAAAATAATAGATGTTAGTGTGGATGCGGTGAAAAGGGAACACTTCTACACTGCTGGTGCGAATGTAAACTAGTACAACCACTGTGGAAAAAAGTGTGAAGACTTCTTAAAGAACTAAAAGGAATACTGTCATTTGATCTATCAGTCTCACTACTGGGTATCTACCCAGAGGAAAATAAGTCATTATATGAAAAAGATACTTACACACGCATGTTTATAGCAGCACAATTCGCAGTTGCCAAAATGGGAACCAGCCCAAATGCCCATCAATCAACAAGTAGATAAAGGGATTGTGAGATATGTATATAGAGATATAGATATATATATATAGATATATATATATAATATAGTGAGATATATATGATATATACATATATACACTATATATATGATATATACATATATACACTATATATATATACACATATATACATATATGTATGATGGAAAACTACTCAGCCATAAAAAAGAATGAATAACGGCATGCGCAGCAACCTGAATGGGATTGGAAACTATTATTCTAAGTGAGGCAACTCAGGAATAAAAAAACAAATGTATTTTTTTCCACTAATAAGTGGGAGTTAAGCTATGAGGATGCAAAGGCATAAAAATGATACAATGGACTTTGGGGACTTAGGGGGACTTAGGGGGAAAGGGTGGGAAGGGGGTGAGGGATAAAATACTATAAATTGGGTTCAGTGTATACTGCTCAGGTGATGGGTACACCAAAATCTCACAAATCACCACTAATGTATTTATTCATGTAATCAAATGCCACTTGTTCCCCCAAAACCTATGGAAATAAAAAATAAAAATATAAAAACCCATGGTAACTACTGGTAATTGAAGTGTATATTCAGGGAAACTTGAATGTACGGCTCCTGGGTGGCCATCCTCAATCTTTGAGCTTCAATAAACTTTATGTAATCATTAAAATAAATAAACAAATAAAAACTATATTACTGTTGTTTTCTATAAATTCAGGATTAATATTTATGCAAATATTGAATTATTGGCAAGTAAGAGAAGTTTTGTAGCTTCCTTTCTAACTCTACTTTCTAACTCATACATCATGTTTCTTAAATCTGATTACATTTGGTAAATAGTGAACAACATTAATAGAAGCAATAATACGTGTCCTTATCTCTTTGCTGACTTAAGTGTAAATGCCTTAAATGTTCCAAAATTTTACCCTAAACTAATATTTGTATTTTATTTTGATAATTGAGGGGAATTTAATTTTTTGACTAGTTTTGTTAATCTCTTGAGATTATTATATTTTTTCTGTCCATTGGTAAAGTTCCTACACTAATAGCTATATTTATGAGTTAATCTTCATACACTATTATTGTAAGAAGAAACTATTTGGCAATAAGAGAAATAGGCAGACAGGAAGAAAGAGAAAGTTTTTAAGAATTTACTAACTTGAATTTTCAACAGGGTTTTCATATGCACATACTATGCATGCTTCATATATTATATTTTGTGTACTAAACTTTTCCTGTTATTTTTTTAATAAGGTTATTCTCACCTAATAATTTGATTTAGGTGGATTCATCTTACTTTTTATTTTCTTTATATTTACTTTACTATTTATTTTCTACTAATTCTTGATGGTTAAAGTTTGGAGTTGAATTGTCCCAAATTTTTTTAGTCAAAAATCAGAGCTGTGAGAAATAATACTTAGTCTCAAAACTTCTCCTCATGGTGTCAGGATGGCTACTACAGCTCCAATATTACACCTTCACAGAACTGTATCTAAGACCAGAAGGCAATAATAAGAACAACAGAAGAGAAGAGTTTGTTTTTGCAAGTCTCTGATTCTCAGAATCTCTTTATCAGACTTGACTTTATAGCTAATTAGCCAGAAACATTCCTCATGCCCACTCCTACATGTTTTAGAGAGAAGGATGAATAGAATAATTGCAGTGATTTGGACCAATTAGAATGCATGTCTGGAAGTTGTGAAAGGAGTCTAGCTTCCTTGAGATCTAACAACTGCTGTCTGCTTTCTGAACAGATCAGATTCTAGGCAGGAGTGAAAAAGAAATGGCTGTTTGCTGAGTAAAATCAATGTCTCACACATTCATTATTAATATTTAATAAATGCACCTTATTTAATAAATTAATCTCTAAATATTGACCCTTTTTAGCATCCAAGAATACATTTTGTTTGTATTTCATTTCTATTTTCAATATTGTTGTTGATTTTTATTGATCTGCATTGGATAATGATATTTCTAGCCATGATATTTAAGACTGTGTGTTATTTGTTCTCATTACTTAAAATGTTTTACAACCTTTTGCTGGTATTTTTTTTTTCTTGCTAATAAGAACTTTAGACAGACTAAAGTCAATTTGTTTGTGGGTAATCTACATTTGCCCCTTATATTTTAATTTCTAAATTTTCTATCTAAATTAGATATTCACTCTAATGTGTCACAGAAATTTGTTTTAATTCATCTTGCTTGGTTTTTAGTTTCATTTGTAACATGAGAACTTTAATTCTGAAAAATTCTCAACCATCATAACACTAAATATTAATTCTTGAAAACTCAAATTTGTTTACTGCAATTACTGTTAGACGTTATTTATACTATTTAGTGAGACAGTCAATAAATATTCTTTTAATTCCCTTTCACATTTTTTTGTTTTTCTGTGCTTTTTATGTAAATTCTTAAATTTTATAAATTACTTTTTTGTCCTTTTTAAACTTTAATGATTTTATTTTTAATTTACAATGTTTGTATTTCTGCAGTGTCATTTTACTTTTGACACATTTCTGCCTATGTTTTCCTTATAGCTTTTTTCTTTTTATGAGTATTTTTCACTTATTTATATCACTGAGCTGAAAATACATCTTTTAAAATTTGTTAGTTATATTTTATTATTTTTATTAGTAATGCGAGCATTTTTTCTATTATTTAGCTTTTGTTGTTGTTGTTTTTAGCATTTTCTTCTCCAAGTGTTTTGAAACTGAGTTTGCTGATTCACTTTGAGTTAGTTTATATACCATTGCATTTCTAGCAGTTTTCAGATTTTCATCCAGCCCCCATACACCCAGGACAGAATCTCCTCTTATATTGGGAGTTTGGACTTTTACCATGGTTAATAATAGGAATATAACTGTCTTAGTCGACTTTGTGTGTAACAGAATACTCCCGACATCGTAATCGCAATGGAGAAATATATATATATATATATATATTTCTCATGGTTCTGGAGGATGGGAAGTCTAGTATCAAGATGCCAGCATCTGGTGAGGACCTTTTTGCTTTTTGCTGCATTATCCTAGGGCAAAAGGCTGAAGGAGAAAAGAGTGTGAGAGAGGGAGCAACAGGAAAAGGGGATAAATTCATCCTCTTATCAGGAAACCAGTTCCATGATAACTAATTCACTCTCATGATAATGGCATGATTCCATTCATAAGAGCAGAGCCCTAATGACCTAATCACCTCCTAAAAGTCCTACCTCTCAACACTGTTGCATTGGGAATTAAGTTTCCCATACATTAATTTTGAATGACACATTCAAACATAGCAATAACAGCTCAGGCAGTAACTAGAAGTGTGCCATCATTTGGCTGTTGTGTTTGAGACTCTGTCTTCTCTTTTCCTAAACCTGCTGGTTCATTTAATCTGTAGCTTTAGGTCTTATTTTATCAGACTTTTTTATAGGTCCTGTTTAAAAACAAGACTTCTGTATGTCTCCTGTATAGCTCCTGACTACTGACTTCTGCCTCCTTTGTAGACTTTTTATTATTTGTTACTTTTAGAAGACAAATTTCTAATTATCTTCACCTACTTGTGTACTCACAGAGCTATGAATCTAGCACTTCCAATAGCTCACATTTGATGTTTTTCCTGATTCCTTGTACGTACAAATGTTTATCTTTGTGTGTGTGTGTGTGTGTGTGTGTTTGAAGTTAGAAAGAAGATGAAAAATCAAGTATTAACTTTAAAAGTCTATTATTCTAATGTATTAGTAGTTTTCCTTTCTACTCGCCAAAGCGGAAAAGAAAAAGGAAATGGAGAAAGAGTTGGTACATTATATAACTACAAACAAAATAATTCTGTAAAAAAAAAAACAGAGAGTTTTTTAGGTATAAGTATTGAAAAGGAGGTTTGAGGAATGAATAAGCAGTTGTTGGTGGAATAGAATTTTGGAATTACAGTTTTTGTTTTTCTATATTTAATGCCTTCTTTAATGAGCTTTTATTATTCAGTAAGACTGAATAACATGCCATGCAATGCATATAAGCCATTTATAAAAGAAAGGCTCAACGCAGAACATAATAACAGACTTACAGTAAACAAGAACAGGTTAACGAGATTGAATGAAAACTAAAAGCTAAATCCCATATGTATTCAGGCAAGAGTAGATAAATCTTCAGTTCTCAAACATCCCACTCTTGTGCTTTTAAAACTCTAAGCTATTATGAAATACATGGTACTGGGAGACACTCATTATCTACGCAATAATAGCCTTAGGCAAACCTACATTTGTATTCCTCTTGCATTTTCAAAATTGGGAAAATTGAATCTGTAGTGGCTTCCCCTTCCCTTTATTTCATGAAAATAGAGAATTCCAGAGAGTTAATTCTGGTGGCTTTAAAATATTTAGTTTATGTGAATGTATGTAAATACCTGTTTTGTGCTTGAAACATATAGATTAGGAAGTTAATATTAAAAATTAAACATCTACAAATTAATATCACTAGTGGACTTTTTCTGAAAAGCTTTGAGAATTATAAAAGGTATGCATTGTGTTTTGTTCTAAATTCCCTTGCCAAAATGCCTAGCTCTTTGCATGTACTTTTTTTGCCTTATTTTAGCAATGAAAAATATTAGAAAGAATATTTAAGAGAGAATAAAGATGTTCCCATTTGAGATTTCAGTTCAAAGTCTTGCGTCCTTTATTACTCTCTTTCACTTCATCTTCACTGCTTTAATCTGACTGAGAAAGTTGTTAGCTAGAATTTCCTTTTTGAAAGGACAAACTTATTCAAGGATTAATTGTAGATTGCTAGGGTATAATGTATAAAATATTTTAATAAGTAAAAACTCAAAAACTAGACCATTTTCTCTTGGGTTCATTTTGCACAATATTGTCTTGCTATTTGCTTTTAAAAGCTGTGCCATCCTGAAAGTAAACTGAAATATACAATTTTAAAAGAAAATGTAACATTAGTAGAATATATTCTTTAACAGTTTACAGCACTGCTTTATATGATATATACATTTTAAAAAAAATTTCATGGGTGTAGCTAGTTTTGTTAGACCAAAATTAAATTTCACAAATCTTTATTGGAGCTAATGTATAAAGACATTGCACCTAACACATGAACTTTTCCCCCTTCCCTCTTGAGATTTCATCAAAATGACAATAAACGAACAGAGCAAATATAAACCATTAGTAGCCAAATCAGCACAAAGCCAACAGTGAACAATGGATTTCCAGATCTGAGGAAGATAAACATTATTAAAGTGTGTTGTCAAATGTAAGCAGAAGTAACCCAAGCAGTGAGTGAGGAAGTCAATCGGCCCTGGAAATACTTTGAAGTCTAAGCTGGAGAAACTGTGGAGGAAGGTAGAGAGAGAGGGTAAATAAGGGAAAATTGGAGCTGAGAAGGAATGAATTAATAGAATGTTGTTTTTTTTAACATACAATTGATTCTTCAGCCTCCATGAATAGTGGAGGCAATCTAGGGTCTAACCACAGGGGGAACTTATTATTGTTTAACCTGTGGTTAAACACTAACTAGCCTGCACTGGGGAATCAAATAAGGTGTACTAAGAGTGGTAAATAAGTTGCTTGTAAATTGTGAACTTTCACTATTATGGGTGCTATATTAATACATTACAGGAAATAAAGCCTTTCTAAATTCACCACTTTTCTGCCGCATTCTTTTCAGGTGCACACTTTATTCAAATATCTGGTTATTTAGTCCTTGCAAAATGTTTATTTTTATAGCTTTTAAAAAAATCATTGAGCCAGGAAATTTTGGAAACATATTGGAGAAAGGCCACATTGGCAGAAGAGGTTGAAATGAACAGAAAAAAAAAAAAGGAAATTGAGAGGCAATATCACCTAAACAATTTATATAAAAATCTTTGAAAAAATATGTCCAAATATCATTCTATTTAAACGAAATTAGAACAGAATGTCATTCATTACTTCTTCCCTAGCCTCTCCATTGATTGACCAGTGGTCTAGGGATATTACAGCTGTGATGTGAGAGATGAAGTCTAAACAAAGCTCATCAATTTCACTTAATGGCTTAGGCTAAATTTCACTAAGCACAGCGAATAAGATTGTTGACTCTATCAGGCCTGCTGTGGTGGATCAGTGGAGAGGTAGACATTTTTCTTATATACTTTTCTTTATTTTGCATTATCTCTTTTTCCTTAAAATATACTTATCAAATGCCTAAAAGTATTGTCCTAGATTTGCCTCTCTTCAAGGAATGCAGAGTGGAACAATAGGGGAAATACACTATGCTCATGAGACTCTTCCTATTTTATTTTTTAACCATCAATCTTTGGAGACCATGTTGTGAAGTTGGGGTACAGTCATTGCAATGTCATAAGGTACTATTTGAGTGCATAATCCAACAGCATATTTAAAGTTATACATTTGGGCAGAATTTTTGTGTGCATTGTATGCATCTTATTCCAAGAAACTCAGTCCTGTACCTACTACCTAAATATTTGTATTATTTAACCATGCCTTCCCAGATCAGTTCATTTTTCTGGACTATTAAGGTGACCAAGAAAAAAAAAACATTCTTTAGAGGTATAAAGCCAATTATATTCTCTCTTTTGAGAATTTAAACTAAGAGACATAGAAATGAGGAGTTGAGTAACTGGGGCAATATTACTTGTAGGACACTAGTGGAATGATCCTCTCAAAGGTCCCCAGAGGGAACTTAATTCTGTCCCTCTTTTGGCTAAGTTTCTGTAGTTTGGCTGTAATTTGATGAATTCTTACAGCTTTTCTTCACTTACCTCTCCATTCAAGTTTATCTGAGCTGATTCTGTTCTATACCACCAGATGTGTCTGGTAAAATGCCATTCACATAAAAATAGGTCAAAACAAAAAAAAACACTAAACAAAAGCAAGCTATAAAGTACTCACAATATTAGTGAAATTCCAGAGGTTATATGTCATATTTTGAAGATACAAATTATATACTGCTAAGTTTCCAGAATCTAATACTTAAGATTCCACTTATATAAGCATAAACAGTCCCAAATCCAGTTTACCGACTGCTGTGTTTCCCACTTATTATGCTCCATAAATGGAGCATAAATCTCCATTTATGCTAGGAGCTTCAAAGTACTCACGAGTGTCTTCTTTGTTAACAAAGTCCAGCCCAATCCTATTCCATTGTGATAGTTGCGGCTGAAAGAAATTTCTCCTCTAAAGTAATTTATCTTGGTGTACTAGTTATGGTATGTAGATACTAAAGTGAATTCCCCTGATCTTTCAGCCATCATGAGTTTTAAGATGGTACGTAGCCCCAGTGGTAGCAATTAATCCGGAACAGGTTGACTCTGTGTTTAGTATTGTGCTTAATGATAAGTCAAACTGGCCAGGACCCTTCTATTTAAAACCCTTCTTTCATCTTTTGTCTGTCCTTTTCTATAATGCCAATGCTGGCAGAGATCTGTGCTACAGGGGTGCTAGGTAACTCGTTGTACTGCTGTTGGGGCTACACACAAAAATGAGAGCAAACAAGTTTCTTTAATAGAAATACAGGCAGTAAAGGTAACATGCATAGGGTGAATCCTTACCAAAAGGTCATATTCAGTAGGTGGTATCAGAAACTAGCTTTCTCTGCTTAGAATGCCACAAATGAGGCCTCAGTCCTTGGCTGAAGAATAATTTTTTTCTTCCTTTGTCTGACTTTATTCACTAAATATAATGATTGTATGTTTCATTAATGTTATGTGGCAACAGTTTATTCCACTTTATTGTTAAGTAATATTCCACTGTATGTGCTGCACTTTGTGTATCTACTCATCTGCTGATGGACTTTGGTTTGTTTCCAGTTGTTGGCTATTACAAATAAAGCTGTATCTATCACGCTAGTTTTTGTTTAGATGTACATTTTTTGTTTCTCTCAGGTAAATACCTAAAAGGAAAAAGCGGATTGCTCTGCTAAGTGCCTATTCATTTGCCAAACTGTCTCATAGTGATTGTACCATTTTACATTTCTACCAGCAGGGGATGCCAGTTGTAGTTACTCACATCTTTGCCAAAATTTAATTGGTCAGTCTTTTCAATTTTAGCTATTCTAATGGATGTGTTGTAATTATTTTTAAAATTCACACTCAGCAGTAAGTCTCAAGATATTGCTTCAGGAATAATTATTTACAAGAAACTTTGACATGCGTAGGAATTAATGGCCTGCCCACTACCTCTCCAATTCTTGTTGCAAAGGATCAACTGGAGTCACTTCAGCTGGAGGGAAAGGGGCTTGCAACTATGGGGAAGGTGCAACAACAATAGCCACTTGACTTTTCATCTCACCTCTGAGGTCAGAAGCAGCAATTAGAACATAAATCCCTGCCTGGCGCGGTGGCTCACTCCTGTAATCCAAGCACTTTGGGAGGCCGAGGCGGGTGGATCACGAGGCCAGGAGATCGAGACCATCCTGGCTAACACGGTGAAACCCCGTCTCTACTAAAAATACAAAAAATTAGCCGGGCGCGATGGCGGGCGCCTGCAGTCCCAGCTACTCGGGAGGCTGAGGCAGGAGAATGGCGTGAACCCGAGAGGCGGAGCTTGCAGTGAGTCGAGATAGCGCCACTGCAGTCCAGCCTGGGCGAAAGAGCGAGACTCCGTCAAAAAAAAAAAAAAAAAAAAAAAAAAAAAGAACATAAATTCCTGATATTAGGAAGACAAGGTTCTTATTGCCTACTCTGCCTCCCACAGCTGTGTAAGCTGCTCCAGGAACACATGCACCGCTGCCTCTCATAGGGCTGGGAGAGGGAGATAGGTAGTTTCTCCTATGCTAGGAGATAAAATGGACTGACATTAACTGCAATTTATAATCCAAGCCCTCCCCTGAAAGTTGCAAGTCTTCAATAGATTCCAGAATTCTAAAAAGTTACAGCAGACAGATTCTGCCAATGCAGTTGGGCTAGTTGGGAAGAGAGATTCCTAATGCTTCCTACTTAGCCACCTTCCCCAAATTCTCTCTCTAGAGCATTTTGAATAGTAAAGTTCTATTTATGTATCTTTAATCTTAAATATGTAAATGAAAATTAAGGTTCTTGCAAAGACAGCAGCTGGGGGAAACCAACGGGAAAATATCCAATAAATGACCAAGATTTAATCAGATAAATGCATGTTAATTAATTGGCTACTATCTTGGTATCAATTATTAAGAACTAGAGGAATGTTTTCAAAATGATTCTGAGCAGAGGGACAATAGTGATTTCCACTAAAGAGCAGTTTCATAGCCATGATGGAGAAATACGAAAATGCCTTATATAACGTGAAGAGTTTAAAAAAAGCTATACTCATAGGCAATTCTGCAAGGGGAAGTATTAAGTACTAAGTTATCAAGAACACATAGCAAAGGAAATGAGAACCTGACCCTCAGCCTTGAAAATAAAGCTCTCCATAAGTAGGAAGCTAGTTAGCTGAATTGCCTGTGCTATTCCTACTCTGGACCACTCTGGGGATTCTTGGGCAATGTTTTGTGGACTGTCCTTGTCAGGCTTAGATCAAAAGCAAATAAAGTATAGGGGCCAAGGGAAAACTTTTTTACCCTCTGAAGTTTTCTTGAAAAATAAACATACAAATGGCAGATTAATAGAAGAAATGGCATACAAATTTATTAGCATGCACATGGGAAATCACAAGGTGATTTTTCAATATCAGTACAGATGCTCATATACCTCTCCTCTTAGGGGAAAAGAATATAGGGAAGTGTGGATGATTTTAGGGGAATAGTACAGTAAAGGATTATTAAAATAATTCATTGGAGTTAAAGAACATATGATGAACCAGGACAACATTTGTGGGGCACACAGAGCAGACAGTGACTAGTGACAAAAATTTGTCCAAGTTTGTTGATACTCCTCATTCTAATCTATAATATGAGTTTAACTAATGAAAACTCAAGCAAGAGACAAGAGATAAGTGTTCTCTTCTTTGGCAGTTCCTGACTTTAGGCAGATAAGAAAACTTCCAGGAAAAACTTCATCCTGTGCTTTGGGGGAGACAATGGAATGAGAGACAGGAATGGTGGAGAGTAGGACAGATCTTGAGGGTCTTCAGTTATCATGTCAAAGTGCCATATTTTGAGTATCAGTGTCTGTGCCCCAACATTAGCTGTTCTGAAATTATTGCTTCCTTTAATTATTTTTTTCTATTTTTCCCAGACTTGAGAAGCCATACCTTCTACAGGTGATTACCACTAAGCTCTAAAATAAGAATAGTGATATACATAGTGCCAATTTTGCTAGTCACAATTTCTTGCCCATATGGAACTACAGAAAGAAATGGAAAAATAAACTATTCTCCCACGTCGTATAATATCTAAGAAAAGTGGCAAAGGAAGAATCTAGAGATTACTTAACATCCTAATTTTTAAGAACAATTAAGATAAATCACACTGTTAAAAAGCAAATTTAACTTTTGTTAATCTGGAATAAATGTGATAGAAATTAGATACATTGGTTTATTATATCCTCTTTGTTCCCATTACATAAAGGTTAAATATATGCTGATGGGAAGACATATGAATAATTTAGCTCTACAAATAAATTTTTTAAAACAATAGTAAGATGGTTTCAACTTATTTTAGGATAAGATAAACAAGCCCCTTGTGGAATTATGTGAATAAGATTTCTAGGAATATAAAAAATTTCAAACTAATTGGAAACAAAGCATCAGGATCTTACTAATTTGATTGCTAAGACACGAGTGTGGGATCAAAGAAGTAAAATGTGAACAGTACTCCTCAATACAAGTAGCTTCATTTAGAAAAGGAGATAATAACCAAAAAAGAATATTTATCACTGGCAGCTTGTGATTAATATTTCATTTACAGTGTTCCTTGCATTTAAATCTCCTCCATTACTCGCACTTATAAGCCTTCTTCGTGCTGTCATCACCTTTCATATCCTCCCCACTGTTAAGAAATATGTGACTGAGATAACTGCATCATATCCCACAAATGCTGCGGTCTGTTAAACTGAGAGAGCAATATTCAGTAGTGCACTGATGCTGACACAGATTTTACTAAGAACAATTTCACCTGGGGATAACTCTCTTCACCTAGCTATCGAAGCCAGCATTACTGAAATATAGGTAGCAACAATGCAATTATTAAGAATTGAACCATAATCCCCTCTCGGAGTCCCATAGAGGTAAATGTTCGAGTGTTTCAAGGACATTTTAGAGAGTCTCAATTTACTCATGGCAGGTAAATTGTAGTTAAGAAACCAGTTATGTATACTGCTACCATGTGGAAGACAGATGAGCCACTTCACAATGCATTTCACTCAGCTTGTGGTTCATGATGATCTTATTTTTATTATGTAAGAGAAGCATCACAATTTAATGAATGCCAGCTACATATTTTAACATATTCCCAGCCACAAATACCATCTATCACATTTGAGATTCTGCTTGGCAGTTTTAGAATTATTCAAAATGTAGCAAACATAATTGCAAGAATTATTAAGATCTATATGAGGAGGATTTTCAGAGTCTCCGAACTTCCTTTTGGCTTTTGATTTCAAAATATTTCCTAGCAAGTGAACTACTCCATGATCTATTTTCAATTGTTCCAACAGCAAAAAAAAAAAATTATAACATATGTAGATGATGTCAGACATACAATAATGTACTTGCATTTAACATTACATTCTTATTGCAATACCACAGATGTCATGTAAATATGTGGCATTAAGAGAGTTGGTTATATTTTGGCTCTTTTTTACATGCCCCCCATCCCTTTTCCCTTCAATCCTATGATTTCAGAAAATAGAACAAATCAAAGTATTAGTTTCAAATATTTTTTAAATTCCAGTAAAAATTAATTGAATTAGTTTTCCCCCTCTTACATAGGTATAATTTTAATAGAAGTTTATTAGTCTGTATATGAAGAAAAATATTGTTTAGAAAAATTTCAAATAAATTAAGCCTAGAAAAAACACATTTAAATATGTTAAAAGATTTTTATATATGGTTTTTCAATTTTATTATCATTATTATTATTAATTTTTTTCATAGAGACAGGATCTCCCTATATTGCCCAGGCTAGTCTCGAACTCCTGGGCTGAACCAATCCTCCTGCCTCAGCCTCCCAAAGTCAATTTAATCTTTTAGTAAATATTTTTCTTTAAACTTAAAAATAAAATTTATGAAAAAATTATAGTGTCTATGAGATTAATACTACATAAAGTAATTTTCTACAAGTATTCAAGAAAAGAAAGTACAATGAAAGTATGTAGCTTTATTTCCTTGGCAGTGAGACACATTTTAAATAAACTATATGCAAGTCACTGTAACAGACATGGTGGAGATTTCAATTCAGTTCAACAAAAAATACTATCTCTTACATCCCAGGTATTTTGTAAGCCAGAAGTAAATGATGAATATTACCTAAGAACTTCACACAAAAAGTTAAAGTCCTACTGGGGATACAAATAATTAACAAAGTAATGGAAATGCAGTCTGGTAACTGCAGTAATGGAGGGGTGCTCAACTTAGGTTAAGTGAATAAGGAAATGTTCCCAGAATACTGGATATTAAGATTGGCTGTGTCTGAAACAGCTCCTTTCTATAAGGTGTTTATAGCGTACATATAATTATAGTATAGGTATAACATAGATATAATTCACTCATCTCCCAAAAATGCTTTTTAAATCACTGTATCACTTTTAAAATGTTGTATATATTATATGTGTTAGTAAAACTATAGAAATAAATTCCTTTTCTGTGTCCAAAATAATAAAGTTCAAACTACTAGCATCTGTGAAAAAACATTCAAATATAATTGCAAGATTAAATATTGTATGAATAGTAATACATTTTTGTGTGAGTATACTTGAAAGAACTCAATTTAAACTGTATCCTCCAAAACAAATAATACTTTTTTATGTTTTATAAAAGAAGATCTAATAGAGTGAAATTTAAACACAAGAATGAGCTAAACATAATGAGATTTGAAATAACATCTGGATGATATGAAATATTTATAGGGCAAAATTTAATCAAAAAAAGGTTGAAAAAATATTTCAAGCATAGAATGTATGTGGAAATGAAAGAGTATACTTTACTTTTTTTTGTAGTTGGCATATTACAATTAGGTATAAATTATAATCTGAATTTGCACATGTTAGTAAAGCAGCAAACCTAGCAAGTACTATAACACATGGAGGGAAAAGTTCTAAACACTTTCAGCATTCTAAAAAGTACACGATATTTAAATAGTATTAAAATTTTAATAAGATTGAAATATGCTTTTAAAACTCTTTGAAATATATCAATATAGGGAGAATATAGAGTTTATCGATACCCATCTTTCAGGAATTCAACTACAGAGACAGCTTTGTAGCCATTAAGAAAATAAAATAGAGAAAGTGTGGAACTTTTTGCTAATGTATTTGACTACTAAATAGGTCATATTTGCCAAACAAAACAGACATTAAGGATAATAAGAAGTTTCTGGAATAAATTCACCGAACTCAATAAATTTTATCCAAGGCTGTCTCCTGTGTTCTTGTGATTGTCTGGGGCCAAGTGGTGGCAGCAGTTACTAAAATTATTGCCATCTGCAAGTTGGAACTGCTGCTGCAAATTCTGAGAGCCTGAAGCTTTCCATAAGCTCTTTTTCCTAAACGTTTGATTCTTTACCCTGCCATAAGTCACAGTTTTGTCCTGGTTGTGATAATGTTCTTTTTCTGACTGTCCATCAAAGGAAAAAGAAAAAGAGTGGCAATTACTTACTTTCATCTCTTGATTTTTATGCTATGCTATAACCACCAAAAATAAAAAAGGAAAGGAGAAAGAACTAAAGAAAGGAGTAATAAAGACATCAGTTATTACATGAAAAAGGAATCAAAGAAAAATATTTATATATGGATATTTTATGTGATTAGTCTCTTTGCATAATTTGGTGAAGTTAGATACATAATCAAAACTATCCATTACAGAAATTATCTTCCTTTTTTTACTGAGACTATAAACTTGTTTTATATGATATTGTAACAGAGTTTCTTTATTGTTTTATATGATGATATAACAGAGTTACTTGGTTGTATATAAGCAAAGACTTTATTAAAAAAAAAAAAAGTGCCAATTCCAGGCACAGTGGTTCACACTCATGCCTGTAATTCCAGAATCTTGGGAGACCAAGGCAGGAAGATAACTTGAGCCAGGAGTTCGAGGCCAGCTGGGCAACACATTGAGGCTCTGTATGTACCAAAAAAAAAAAAAAAAAAAAGAAAAAAGAAAAAAGCTGGGCATGGACACTCAAGAGGCTAAGGTAAGAGGATTGCTTGAGCCCCAAAATTCGAGGCTGCAGTGAGCTATGATAACGCCATAGCACTCCAGCTTGGGTGACAGAGAGATCCTGCCTCTATTAAAAAAAAATTATGACAATTAAAAACAATACATGCCAATCCTCAAGCCTCAAGCTCATTAAAAAGACAATTTGGGTCATGTGAGCAGGCAAGCTTTCTTAAATTTTACTGATTTAGAAAATACATATTTATTCACTCCATAAACACTTTTGAGTGTCAATATATGTCAACCATTTTTCTCAATAAACAAGACATGCATGCTTTCTCTCGCCATGCAACTTACAATTTAGTGGAAGAGAAACAGTGAAGACAGTAAATAAAACAGGTATTGTGATGACTGCTCTGAAGGAAACACAGGAAGAAATGGATCATAACAGAGATTCTAACTTATATAGGAAGGTCAGAGAGGGATTCTCTCTCAAGCTGAATTGCTGAGACATAAAGAGTGTGAAAGTTCTAGAAGGAGAGAGAGATCCCAGAGTTGCATGGCTGACACATCAAAGAGACACAGGACACCATACCACAGCCTCATCAAAAACTGGGGTAAGGACTTGGTAGAGTTAGAGCCAAATGTTGTGATTATAGCAATAATGTTACCATTTACCGACTCTTTGTTATGTGACAGAACTTAATTAAAGTAACTTAATTCTCATAAGAACCCTATGGGGCAGGTTTTATTAATAAACTCATTTTATAGAAGGAGACCTGAAGGCTTAGAGAGATAAGGAACTGCCTCAAAATCACCCAATTAGTTAACATGGAGCCAGCTTCATACTTGACTAGAGCATATACTTGTTCTTACTAAGTTATCTTATTACCACCTAACTTACTTTTACTGGGCACTAGTTTAACAACAAGGACCATGGTAAATCCTTTGAAATACAGGAAGTTTTAAATGTTTAGAACAATCACCTGAGATAAACAGTTTTATTTTAAAATCCCATTTTGCAGATCAGGGAGCTACAATCTAGAGATGCTAAGTAATCTTTTTCAAAGTTATTCAGATAACAAGAAGCAAAGACAGGATTTCAACAAGGGTAAATGTTGGGGACTCCTACCGGCACAAGAAGGACAGCTAATTTTTTTTTCTTTACCCACAAAATTAATTAGCTTTTTTAAAATTAGGGTCTGGGACAACACTGGGGGTCCAGAAATTCCTTTTCAACAGCTATTTCTTCTTTCAGAATATTATCTATTCTCATTCCTTTTCTCTACTAAAGAGTTTTTTTCTTTACCTCCAGTACACTGGAAGATCATATTCATTCTTAACATTTGCCAGATTACCGAATAGTTTTTCAAGAGAACAGCAAGACAGAAACTAAAATATGTTTAGCTACAGGGATTCTCTCAACATTTCTGTATTACAATGCAGGGCACAACAGTGTCATGTTGTATAAAGATTATTTCTTCCTGATGCAACCATGAGGATTGAAAGAGAGGACAACTACCTACAAAAGAAAAACATTAAGAGAATACTACAACACTAGAAAAGTGTTCACTTTAAGATTCTTTATATGCCCAATATCCTTTGTCATTTAAAAAACAAAAATTATAAAACAAAACATTGAGAAAATATCATCAACACATATTAAATATACTTCAGGGTTAAGGAAAATATATAAAATTTAATGTAAAAAATATAGATCATTTCCCACATACTCTAGGCAAGGACATTTAGCATTAAATCATATATTAATGTAAAATAGAGCCCCTTAAGCATCAAGTAGAATGTCAATTACCATTTTCTTCTGATTCACTTCACTTAATTCAAGTCAGTCTTTTTCCCTGTAAAAATAAAATGTAGACAGTCTCCTACTTATAATAGTTTGACTTAACGATTTTTTGATGTCATGGTAGTGTGAAAGCAACACAGTAGAAACCATAATTTGAGTAATCATGTAAACATTCTGTTTTTCACACTCAGTACAATACTCAATAAACTATATAAAATATTAAACACTTTATAATAAAATAAGCTTCCTGTTAAGATGATTTTGCCCAACTTCAGGATAATGTAACTATTCTGAGCATAATTAAAGTAGTCTAGGTTAAGCTAACCTTCAGGTTTAATAGGTTAGGAGCATTAAATACATTTTTTATTTATGATATTTTCAAATTACAATGAGTTTGTTTCGATATACCATGGCTTATTAAGATGTAACTCAATATATATAGTATATATAAATATATATACATATGTGTGTATATATATGTAAGGATTCAACATATATTGATTATTTTCTATTTATCTATGTCTTGACTAATTGCATGATAAAAATGATACAAACTTAAAATAAATTTTGAAATTATCTATCAATTACAACTTTCTCACATTACCTATGCATATTTTGAAGCCCAGAAATTTGATTTCCCAAGGTCATAGAGCTAATTGACAGGATAGCTGGGATCAGAAATCAAGTACTACTAAAGATTTGGTTTTTTGGTAAGAGCAGAGGTTCTCAATTTGGAGTGATTTTGTCTTTTATGGGGTATTGGCAATATCTAGAGACATTTTCAGTGATCCCAAATAAGTTTTAGTGAATAAAGGCCACAGATACTGCAAAACATTCTACAGTGCACAGCACAGTCCCGCACATCAGTGACTCCTCAGCCAAAAATGGCAAACATGCCAAGGTGACGAATCACTTTGTTAGATAAAATTATTTATTTTTTCTTTTATATATTGGATTACTTCAAGAAGCAGTGTCAGTTAAAAAATTAAAAGCATTATATTCATTAAAATTAAATGTGAATAATATATTTAATTTAAATTATTTATTACATGCTGCTCTTCCATTTGGCATGTGGCAAAAACTTAAAATTACTCAATAAAATATAGCAATTCCATGTCAAATATAATGAATTGAAATGATATTTTAGGGTAAAACATACCAAAGTACTTTTATTTTAGATTTAAAATACACTAACATACATATACTTTTACAACACTTAATTTTTTGTTGTGTTGTTGTCGTCTAATTTTTATTCATTTATTTTTAAATTTCAACTTTTATTTTAGATATAGGAGGTAATGAGCAGAGTTGCCACATGAAAATATTACATGATGCTGAGGTTTGGAGCATGGATCCCATCGCCCAGGTAGTGAGCACAGTAACCAATATGCAGTTCTTCAACCCAACCCACAGCCCCTCCATTCTTTCCCGATATTGTAGTCTGCTGTGTCTGTTGTTCCCATGTTTATGTCCATGTATGCTCAATGCTTAGCTCTCATTTACAGGTAGAACATGCAGCATTTGGTTTTCTGTTCCTATGTTCATTCACTTAGAAATACGGCCTGCAGATGCATCCATGTCACTGCAAAGGACAGGATTTGGTTGTTTTTTTATGGCTGTATAGTATTCCATGGTCTATATGTACCACGTTTTCTTTATCCATCCACCAATCACTGGGCACCTAGCTTGATTCCATGTCTTTGCTATTGTAAATGGCGCTGCAGTGAACATGCAAGTACATATGTCATTTTGGTAGAATAATCTTGATACGGTTAGGCTTTGTGTCCCCACCAAAATCTCACCTTGAATTATAATCCCCGTAATCTTCATAATCTCCATGTGACTCCCCACAATCTCCATGAACTTTTCCTGTGCATTAAGTATTTGGCCAACTCTTTGGCACAAGAGGCCTAGTTTTGGCATGTCTTGCTTTACAGCATGCCTTCCTCACTAAGTTTAACCATTCCTAGCTTTTGATTTAAAGTGAGAGACATGTGACTCTTCCTTTCACTTGAACACTTTGATGCCATTATAAGGCTAATAACCTAATTTCAATCTTACTGAGTCTAATGGAACAGGGAGGCCAAAGGAGAAGAGATATGGGGGAATGGACAGTCAGAGAAGCAGTCAGAACACACAAAAACATTACTGATTGAGTTTACCATCTTATATGGGCAAATTACATGGGGCCCCAAATCACTTATGCTAATAACATAAAAGATCACTAATCACAGATTACCATAACAGTTATAATAATACTAAAAGTTTGAAGTATTGCAAGAATTACCAAAATATAACACAGTGACATGAAGTGAGCACATGCTGTTGGAAAAATAGCACTGAAAGACTTGTTTGACACAGGTTGCCACAAACCTTCATTTTGTAAAAAACACAATATCAGAGAAACATAATGAAGATAAATGAAATAAAATGAGATATTCCTGTAGTTTAAAAGTAGCCCAGGTAATTCATAGAAATTTGAAAATTAAGAATATCTCACCTACAGAAAAAATTAAAACCACAAAATCAAATAAAATTCTAACACATTGGCGAAATTGAACTCTTATTCACTGACAAACCTTAGTAACACTATTTTTAGTACCAGCAACCCATTAAATACACAATTTCAAATTGTGATGAGTACTATGGTAGTAATATAGTGGATTATGAGAAAATAAAGCAGCATAAACTCATTTTCATATTTGGATTGTGATTAATTAAAGCCTTTCTCTCTTAAAAATATTTCCATTTAAATTAGAAGGTAAAGTTGTTAATATTTTAAAGTATAGATGAAATAATTTTTACTCGGGAGAAGCAAGATGTATCAAGTCCCCGAGCAGGTTTTTTATACAGATGTTCTGAGAAAAAGTCCACTGTGGCTAGACATTGAAAGTAAGGTGAGAAAGTAGTCAGGAGGAAAGTAGGTTCCATATCATGTATAACTAAAATGTATTTAATAGGTTTACAGACTATGATTGAGCCAATTTATGTTTAAAATTATTATTCTGTATACTCTGTAGAGAATGGATTGTAGCTAGGTAGGTATAATAGTGGAAAGACTAATAAGAAGATAATTAACCAGTGTAGGGCAGTGGTAATAGTGGCTTGACCTAGATTGGTAACAGGGTGAAAAAGAGTGAAAGAAAGTGGGCTCAGATAAGCATAGGAGGTAAAATCAACAGGATTTGGTGAGATGAATTTGATATGAAAGATAAGAGAGAAAATAAATACTTAGATTTCTAAAAAGTGAATAAATGGAATAAACGTAATACACTTTTTTTGGTCTAGTAGAATATTAGATGCTTCAATATGAGGCAGAGTGAATTGTTAAAATTATTCTTAGTTTTCTGACTTAATAAGTGGAGAGAAGAGTCATTTTAAAACCTGGGAAAAATTGGAGAAAGTGCTTATTTATAAGATGTATCAGTAATACAGTTTTGATAATGATGTATTTGAAATATCTGTATAGCATTCAAGTAGAGATTTTTGAGTCACTTAAATATATATGTCTGAAGCTGATAAAAATATTTATGGCATGAGATGTTTGCCTTGTTATGTAGAGAATATTTAAATCTCTGGCTGAGATTCCATGTTGAGAGGAAAAGGAGACCTAGATAAAAGCCTTGAATAACTTCAATGTTTAAATCAGAATATGGACAAATAGCAAGTAAAAGAAATGTTGAAGAAAACAGAGATGTATATAAAAAAACAAGAGAATGTGATGTAATGGAAACTAGGAAAGGGTAAGTAAGAGGGAGATCACAAAGTATTGATTTGATTTGACAACAAGAAGCTTATTCATAAAATTATCTAGCAGAAATTCAAGTCGAGTGGTGAGGAAAGAAGCCACATCCAGATCCAAGTTTGAGGAATAAATAGAACACGAGCAGATAGAAACAGAATATAGAATTACTTTTTCATAAAGCTTGACTCTGAAGGGTAAAAAAGAAACAGGATATTAAATGGAAGGAGCTACAGTTTCAAAGAGAGTTTATGATGGCAGATAAAGATTATACAAGGTGGGGGAAAATTCTACTTTGTAAGACATATAGGACAATAAACACATCAAGTTTTCTGAGAACACAAATGTGGTTAGGATACTGTGTATATGGGAAGGTATGGCTTTTTATAGAAGAATGGATAGTGTCTCCATTATAGAAGAACAGAAGAAGATGAATGAAGATGTAAGGAAATTTTCAGTTTTGGTCATGAGAAAGTAAAAGTGGTTTTATTTGCTGCCTATAATATTCTATATGAATTATACCCACAATTCATACAGAGTGGGGTCTGGGGGAATACAAAGAGTAAAACAGGCAGAAAGTGGTAGTTGATGAGAATTGGAGAAAAAATTTAGGAGAGAAATTTAGTAAGATAAAGTAGGTCATGTTGATCGCCCACTACAAAGAGTTACTACAATGTGTAGGGATGCCAATCAATCAAACTATGTAATTTGCATAGTGCAGCATTTAGTGGGTAGGGTACTGGATGAAGAAAATCATTGGTTGCATTCAGCAATAGTTAGGTTTTGCCAGGTGGGTGTCATGAGACATCCACAATATGTTAAAATTATTTAGGATATTTATAGTATTAGCTCATGGAAACCAAGTTGTGTGTGGTGGGAAGTAAAGCCCGAGAAGTCTAAAGGCAAACATAGAGAAGGATGTTTGTTCTACTGGCATACCACTCTGAACGTGTCTGATCTTGGAAGCTAAGCAGTGTCGGGCATGGTTAGTAATTGGAAGGGAGAGGGATGTTTGATCTGGCAATTGCTGAAGCAATGAGTTTTCAAGGTCTCAAAGTCTAAACAAGAAAGTGAGTGGTAATGTTAGATTGGAGAGGTCATTTGAAATGAAGTCAAGGAACTAAAAATGCAAGAAAATATACTAGCATCCTCTTTTTTTCTGGTGATTACTTCCCATACCCGTGGCTCAAGCAGAAGCTATCATGTTTACACAATGTGACTTCATCTCTTGGTCTTAGTTGAAAGATACAGGGATAGCACCTGATCTAAATTTAGGTTAATTAGTTCATTTCCCAAGATTTTGAGCCTGAGCTCAGTCAAAGTCTTTATAATGACTTGAAACATAAGATAAGAACTTTTAAGTTGCCAATGGGCATTTTCTTCCCATGTGGTGCAGATAAGATAATCAAAGACTAATTTTATTAAGCAAGATACAAAGAATAAAGCATACCCACAGAGAGAAGAAAATGAGCGACAAAGAGTCCTGTTTCAGTGAATGTCTATTCTTGGACTTCATATAGTAATAACCTTATAATGAACTGAAGTTTTAATTAAATTTGCATCTAAGAGAGTCTGAAATACTATACTACTATTAATATCAATCTTCCCAAAAGGCACTAAATTTATATATCGTGACCTGAACATAAAATAGAAAAATATTCTAGAGAATACTCTTGATGACTGTTTCATTTTTCTTTGCTTACTCTTCTGCGATGTTGTCTTCTTTTGTACATTTGAAAAGAGCTGGCCAGGCACGGTGGCTCACGCCTGTAATCCTAGCACTTTGGGATGCCAAGGCGGGTGGATCATGAGGTCAGGAGATCGAGACCATCCTGGCTAACATGGTGAAACCCCGTCTCTACTAAAAATACAAAAAAAAAAAAAAAAAAAAATTAGCCAGGCGCAGTGGCAGGAGTCTGTAGTCCCAGCTACTCGGGAGGCTGCGGCAGGAGAATGGTGTGAACCCGGGAGGCAGAGCTTGCAGTGAGCCGAGATAGCGCCACTGCACTCCAGCCTGGGCGAAAGAGTGAGACTCCTTTAGAAAAAAAAGAAAAGAGCTGTGAGTTTTTCAAGGTTCATTTTTTGACAGCAGGTCTATGTATTTTGGAAATGAATATTAAACTCTGATTTTATCTTAGATGTTGTGAAATATGAAGACAATATCTTAAAATGACAAAATGGTATTTTGAAATGTGCTTATATTACATAGGTTCTTCTATAAATATAAATCAAAATTGACAGCTGAGTTTGCTTGCTTTTTCGTTTTGTTAAAAATGTTATCCTTATTTTTCCTGATATGCCTGAAATGTGCTAATAACCCAGTTGCTGTTGATGTTCTAAGAAGAGAGAAATTAAGAAACAGAGAAGTATAGTTGAGAAAATTATAACACATGTACTCTCATAATGACACCATAAAAAGATCCACACATTTTTCTAGTATCTGACATTATTTTTAAATGTACAGGGATTAGAGCTGAGGTGGGTGGACAATCTGCTCATAATCAGATAACCTGTGAAACAAATTGGTTATGTGCTAACCCTAAGGCAGAATTCACATTTAGTTATGCATTTGAATGATTACAGTTGAAAAGATTCACACATAAAACTGCTAAATAATATTTTCCCCCAAGGCAATGATTTTCTTAGTAAATAGAAAATAATACTTTTTGAACGATAGTTCCAACTTTCTTGTGAGCAAAGTACATAGAATATATATCTTCTACTTTATTAAAATTTACAGTATTATTAACAAATATACTAATCTTTTAATTACTATATTTGTACATTAGATTTGATGTCTTGTATATATTTTTCAAAAGATTATGTGTAGGTTTTTCATAACTAAAAAGTAAAGTATTTGTAGAAAAATTTAAAAAAAATTGGAGGGTATAGTCTCAAAATAAAACAAACAAGTAAAACAATCAAATATATAACTTATTTCTATTTTCTGCATGTTGGCTACAGATTTATCATTATAAATATAGAGGTAAGTTTCTCATTTTGGATAGAAGATTTAGCATCATAATTTCCTTGTATTTTAAATTAAAAATAACTTTAAGCATTATAACAATATAATAAATTCTATTGTAGTTGAACATCAGTAGTCAGTAAACTTACTTACTTCCACTTACTTAAAGCCCTGATGTAAGCACAGTTACTTAAAACATTGATGAAAGTCAGTTTTCGTCTATGGTCACCTCGTTAAAAACAACAACATAGTTTTTCTTAAACAACCAGAAAAATCCAAATCTTTAATTATAACACAGGAGAAAGTAAAGCAGAAAAAAAGTTAACAGTATTTGGTCAATATCTGATGATTTTCACAAATAATTTTAATTTTTTCAGGATAATGCAAAAGTACATTTCAGAAAGTCAAATTAGCAAGAATATGAGTTATTCCCTTCAATATATCATTTTAAAAGTTCAAGTAAGCACCTAGTAATAAAATATAAATATCCTACATGCTCCAAAAAAATGTAAAATTATATTAGAGATTACAAAAGAATCTTTTAGGAAATAATTCCAAACAAAAACATTCATATTTTATCTTCAGGATAATATTCAATAATACTTTTTTTCTGGTTTGAGTTTACTAATTATTTTGCATGATGCCTTACAAAACTGAGTACCTTTGCAAGGACATGAATAGAGCTGGAAGCCATTATCCTGAGCAAACTAATGCAGGAAAACCAAACACCTCATCTTCTCACTTATAAGTGGGAACCGAACGATGAGAACACATAGAAACCGGGAGGAGAACAACACACACCAGGGCCTTTCGGGGAAAGGGGTTGGGGGAGGGAGAGCATCAGGATACATAGCTAATGCATGCTGGACTTAATACCTAGGTGATGGGTTGATAGGTGCAGCAAACTACCAAGGCACACATTTACCTATGTAATAAAGCTGGATATCCTGCACATGTACCCCAGAACTTAAAATAAAAATAAAATGGGTATCTTAATATTCTTAAAAATTCTAGATCATTTTTAGATCCCATAAATGTGTGAGAATATTTGAAGCTTGTCTTTCTGTGACTGGCTTATTTCAGTTAATGTAATAAATACCTATAGAGAAAATAAACTGACTATATTCCACCTCTTAATGAAAACAGCACCAACAGTCAAATGTATATATCCTAATAATTTCTCCATATTTTAAAACTCTTCTATAAATTAATGACTTTAATTATAATGTTAATTGATGCTAAAAAATTATCTATTTTATAAAATTATTATATACACTTAAAATATTTATGTAAAAAATTCTAGAAAAAAGTTCTGATTGCATTTTACAAAATGCATACATGTTTAGAAAATATCAACTGTGTTGACTATTAGATCTGAACACCCATATCTACTTCTTATGTAAGATATTTTTTCTGTAGGAAAAATTATCAACTAAATAATATGTATTCCTTATAAAGTATGACTAAAACAGTATCAGGAGAGAATCTGAATACATAGATAGTAAAGTGAGTAATTAATTATATTTACTTTATGAAATTAGTGTTATATATAAAGTTTTGGTGCCGTGAAAGAAATAGCACTCGAATATAAAATTTTTGTTTTAATTCTCAGCAAGGCAAGGTACTTCTATAGAAGGGTGTGCCCTTACAGATGGAGCAACGGTGAGGGCACACTTGGACTAGGGAGAAGGGGTTCTTATCCCTGATGCACATGGCCCTTGCTGCTGTGTCTTTCCCCTACTGGATAGTGTTAGATGCACAGGCTAAACTAATTCCAATTGGCTAATTTAAAGTGAGTGACAGGATGAGTGGTTTGGCGGGAAAAATGGTTATGACAGAGGAGGTAATCGGAATGAGTCAGTGTGGAGTATGTAATCTGAATGAGTCAGGGTGTAGCAGGTAATCAAAAAAGGTTGCTTTAAGAGGAAGTTAAGTTTAAAAGTAGAAGGCAAAGAATTGAACATACTTACATATTGATTCTTTGGAAAGAAATTTAGAACTCATATCTAACATTAGTAAGAAGTTTATCATTTTGTTTCTATACATATTTTATTTTTCAGAAAATAAAAATCAGAGTAGTTCTTCAATTAACGATGATCTAATACTAAACTGAGAATGAGAAAGTTCAGCTTTCAACCATCTGTTGGATGTTGGAGAATACACTCAATTTCTACTTGGATTTCCACAGCTACAAAATGTTGAAATTGGTCACATATACAAGCATGTTTTTTGTCTACATTTTTTCTATGATTTCACAGACAACATCTTGAAATTTGGAGCATAGACTTAAGTGATCTGTTGTCGCTTGCAAATAGCAAGAAACTTCTTTTATTTTCATATACCTGTTATTCACTCTATCAATAAATCAAACATCTGTTTTAATTATATGACTGTCCAAAGAAGATACATATTAAATGTTTGTGGAAGACAATAATTTTTGTGTAATATATTAAACTTATCCAGGGAAATTTTATTACATGTTAATAAATTCTTTTTAATTATTAAAATTTTATTAAATAATTTACTTCAAACTAAGTATACTTTTTTTACTAGTCTAAATGCCATATTGTTTTTTTAAATTGAAATTCTCATAATCCTGTACCCTTTACCTAACATTGCTAAACAATTGTTCAAATCTTACTAGATGGATATCAGACTGCATAATCAAAATTTTAGTGTTAATAAAATAAAACTTAAACACTATAATTATTTCACTCTTAAAGTTGAATATAAAATATATAATTTATAGATTTTCACTTGAACATTTATTAACATGTATTTTATTAATACTTTAAAAAGTTGTTTAGGAAAGCTAATGTGTTAACACAAATATAAAAACTCAAAACTGTAAGAGACATAAGCTATTTTACATTCCAAGCTCTCACAGTAATAATAAGCAAAGAGATAATGATAATGATAACTATTATTTGTGTTTGTTTGTTGGCTGGTATGCAAATATAATGGCTATGTCTATTAAGCACTAAAATGTGTCAGTTAGTGCATGAACATTATTTCTTATCTCTATAACTCTGTAACCTTAATTGTTAGCTAGTCTGAAATGACCACTTGAGCTTGTTAATAGGTTTATATCACCATTTCTATATTTGTTATTACTCATTTCATCCACATCATCTCTGATTATTTAGCAGTGTCTATTTCTATTCCCACAGGCTTCTACGGTCATTTGATTCAAACTCTTATTGATGGTTTAACAACTAAAGTCTTATACTTGTTGTAAGTAAAGTGACATTTAAAAGTAAAATTGAATACAGGATATAATTCCACTTCGCATTTTACTCCTAGAGTATCTGCCAGTAGAGACCAACAACATTATGATGAACAATCCTTACATATACCTCCAAGTGATAAAAATTTCAGTAGCTCAAGATGTCTGCTGCCTACATATAATATTTTTAAATAATCAAAAATTACAATTATCATTGAGAAAAAATATATGTTGCATTGACTTTAGATTATACCCATAGAAAAATAGGAAAATATAACTCAGTGACTAATCTGCCACAGAACACACACATACTAGGTTGTAAGCATTTGGAAATACTGTAATTATTTCCAGACTAAAAATATGCTCAAGTGAGAGCATGTAAATGTAAGTTGTTTACAAGTGACTCTCAATATTCTTCTCTCTGTATCTTCACATTTCTCTGCTTTTGCAATGATCATTCTATGGTATTAGGTGACAATTTCTATAAAGTTAGCATTTAATAAATCTAATGGGTCTATATTAAATGAATTATTTGCCATTTCAATTATTCAGTCCCATATAATGTCCTTTATTTGAGCCACTCTAGAGAATAGACCTTACGTGATCATGCATTTATTTTACACGAGTCCTATGTTGGAATATAAATTAATTATTTAAATCATTTGATGTAAATCTTACTGATGTAATTTGTTTGGGATCAGGACATTTATTACTAACAAACACACAAAAGGGCCAAATCTATTCTTGTGTAGGTATTCCTTTGGTGCCTAAATTTATAAACTATGTTTTTTTTTTCACTTGTTCTCATGAATTTGTAAAGATATACTTCTTATCACTTGCTTTATATATTCTACTTAATGGAACCAATTAATTATATATCTTCCAGCTTTATGCCAACACTGGAGAACCTTAAAACATGTTTTGTGCTGTATTTGAGTAGTAAAAATTCTGACTCTATATTGGTCCAATCAATATTGTTCAATTTATAAAATGATCAAGTTGGCAAGCAGTATGATGGCTCCTATGCTCAGGTATGCAATACAAATGTATGAATCACCCAGGATTTACAAAGCAATTCTCGTCATTATGAAGACACAGAGAGAGCCCAGATGTGAATTTCAACTTCACATAGCTTTCAATCAGAAACAGGAAACATGGCAAATTAACTAAAACACAAATTAGAAAATAATTGGTATCTTAATAGAAATCCAAATAAAATGTCACGAAATTCCACTTAAGGAAGAGTTCATTCCTAAGTGCACCTGCAGATAAAAATGTGTTTCTTAAAATAAAGATCAGATTTGGAAATGTGGAGAAAAGAGAAAAAATTAATTCCTGGTAAGCCTAACACTATAAAGACAATACTATTAGAAATCTGGGAAGGTTGTAAGAAATCGACAGTGGTTTATTTTTTTGTTTTAAAGTAGATTGGTTGTAGCAGAGACATAAAAAATGAGGCTGAGGAGTCTGGAAAGTGTGTTTTAATTGTGGAGATCCTTGAATACAGTACGAAGAACTTCAAATTTTATTTTTTTAGCCCATAAGTAGACTTTCTGTGTATTGTCATTATTGCAAAAGTTTCTGTGATATTGTCTTAAAACAGAGTCCTGGGCTCATCGTAGCCCTTGATCAATGTTTATATTTATTTATTTTTATTAAGTTTTACATTGAATTTAATAGGAAAACTTTCCAAAGCTTTCTTCATTTCTTGGTTTCTATCCTTTTTATCAGTCCCTTCATCAATAGAAAATAGAGAGATTATAGCATTTCTGGAAAAAAAATTGCATTAATCTTTATAAAATTATTACTACTCTCTGTGCAATTAATTTGAATATTTACTGATACAGCACACCAAAGTTGAGCATATTCTTATTAATATGAGCCCTATTTAAAGAAAACTGTAATTCAAAATTTGAACTTCAGCAAATCAATACCAGTCATTACTGAGCTGGCATAAGTATAAGGAAAAGTGACCATAGATTATCACATTTGTGTTTAATTTGTAGAGGATATATGTCTATTTAAATTCTAAGGCTAAATTATTTTATATGTCAATCGTGAATTTACTTCTCCTAAAATCTATTCAGAATACAGTAGTCCTTCCTTATCCATGAGGGATATGTTCCAAGAAACCGCCAATGGATGCTGGAAACTCCGGATAATATCAAACTCAATATTCAATACTTTTTTTCTATACATGGCCTGCTTGTGACAAATTTTCACCTTTTCACTTAAAATGAGTAGCTTACAACTTCTCTCTAGCATATGTTAATTGCCAGTATCGCTACTGTTGCACTTTGGGCCCATTATTAAATAAAACAAGAGTTTCTTGAATGTAACAACTGTGGTATCACAATGGTTGCTTTGATAACACAGAGGGCTACTAATTGACTGACAGGCAGTAGACAGCATGAATATGACAGACAAAGGAATGATTCACATCCTGGGTGGGACGGAGCAGAACAAGATGACAAAAGATTTTATCACACTACTCAGAAAAGCATGCAATTTAAAACATATAAATTGATTATCTCTGGAATTTTTCATTTAATATTTTCAGACAGACATTGGCCTTGGATAACAAACTGCAAAAGCAAACTCGGATTAGGTGGGACTACTGTGTTGGAAAGATATACTAACTGAAAATATTAGGCTGTCATATCCTCTGGTGTACTGTTACACAAATTTTAAAACAAAATTATAAAAGATCATTTGCTAAAATTAGGAGATAGAGTTACTATTTTAGATTCTACAGATGTTGGAAAATATTATCTGTAAAAAAAACATAGGACTCGATTTCAAAGCTTTTATATGTATTATGTAATTTGGGGATATTTTAAGATTTATAAACTAATATAACAATAATTTCAAAATTGCAACCCATTTTCGCTTAGGTGCTTCAGCTATTACCAAATACTTTCTGGGTGAGCGTCCGTACAGCCTATAATGACAGCCACATTTAGCCGAGTCCAAATATGAAATGTAGCAGGATCTAGGATCTCTACTTGCCACATTGGCATTCCTGCTCTTGTGTAATCCTCTTTCTTTCAGTGTAGGCTGAATTTATTGACAGTGGCTTTCATGTTGTGATATCCTCTCTCTCTCTCCCTCTGGAAAACCTACCTGATGACGGACTATGAGTAAATGTAGAAGCTTCTCCCCACTGTTTGCCCCAGTGGAGGCTTCATGAGGCAGCGTGAGTACAACATCATGAAAAAATTGGAGCCAGAATCATCCAGCAAATTTACTCTTGAATTCCTGATCAGATAATTGTGAAACAAATGTCTTGTTTTAAAGTTCTAAATTTAGGAAAAATTTTAATTGTTATGGGCATCACATAGTTCTGTAAAGAGAAAAATGGGTGACAGAAACATTTGTGATACCTTTTTATTCATCACAATCCACAAACTCCCTGTTTGCTAGAGGTAAATTACAGTAACTCTCAAATTACAAATTTTTGTTTGAAGAGTAGGATATTTCCTATTAGAACTACTCAAGCAAAAACACTTTCTTGTTTCTCTGTCTATGAGGTATGCTCTTAATATTGCCACTTTATTTAATTTTCAGAATCGACTTAATACATTTATGAAAGAAAAATGCCTGTTTGGATTCCCTACTATTCCGTAAAAACCCCAAGCTTCCTGTCCTAAGGATCAGATCTCTATGCTTTTGTCTAGTTAATTGCTCTGATCCAAATAGATAATACATTTTCTTTTATGTCAAGGAATGAGTCAACTGTTAGTGTCCAGAATAGATCCCTAAATTCAACCTCAGGGTATCAAGAAGAATGAAGAGTTACCCTGTCAAAATCAGTGAAGCATCAGAACTTGGAAACAACTTATGTTTTTAAAGGCTAAGAGGCAGGGGACCGTCTGGCCCCTGGAAAGATTTTATTTCGCTATCAAGGGTTTGGAATTAGGACTCAGAGCCATTACAATCCCATGGAGACCTTTTCAGGAAGGGAGGGGAGCAGCAACAGCCTTATTCCTCTATAAAGCAGGGAAAATTATTTTTTTCTCATCCTTAATCTGTGAAGTGTCCAGCTACTTCTGTAGGGAAACATTTTCATCATTTCTCATTATATTGCCTAGAGGAAAATGTCTAAAACAATGAAGGGCTGACAAATTATTATCTACTATGGGGAATTTAATAAGATATCTGTCTCTGACTCAGACATCTCTTGTGGTCATTTAAGATGAAATTAATAAAGATTAATATTAAAAACCAAACACTAGTGCTATTTAAATTCTGGGCATGTTCTGTGACATTCTTTCTGAAATGAATTAGCTTCGAAACACTGGTCTTGCAAGAGAGTTCTTTGGTCAAAGTAGGTTAGATTTTTGATTCAATATCTTGAAATTCATTTCAATTGTAGAATATTAAAGACTCAAATTCCTCTTTGTTAAAAAAGTGTATTTTGAAAACTACACTTTTCTTAATCTTTTTTGATTATTTGATTACTTTTGAATGTGCTTCCTTTCTATTTAGCATCACATGGCATCAATTTAATTTTTGGCATATTTAATAAGCACAACATGACGGCTTTTCCATGTTACGTAAACAATGTGTTGAAAAGTTTATTTCCATAATGATGATGATGATGATAATATATATTTGAACTACAAGTTGCAAAACACTTTTCTAAGATCTTTACATATATTAACTCATTTAATTTAGACAATTACTGTGAAAGAAAATAAAGACTGTATTCATAGATGAGAAAACTGCTGCTCAGGGAGTTTTATGTCTTCAATATTACACAGGCATGAAGTATAAACACATATAACCTAGCTCCAGCATCCATGTTCATATTTATTAGCATTACACTGCTTAGGTTTATTACAGAAATTCCTTTGTAGGACACAATACTGGACAGTATCTTTTTGGGTTTTAGAGGTTATTTTAGTTTATGTTTCATTATTAACATGCAAGAAGTTTTGAAAGGAAATGCTATCATTAGCATACAATGCAGCTGGGTTGCCTTTATATATTTGAGGAGTAACTAATAATACATTTAACAAGTTAGCGATCAAACGATTTGCTAAGTGTTGAGACAGATGGGATATATGGCTGAGAACACAGTAAATATCAGTACCTTATAATAGTAATTTAATAAAAAAATTAAGTATAGATTTATGATAAATAAAATAAAAATTACCATAAGTTTTATGATTAAGAAGAAGTCTATAAAGATATTTAGAAGTTGTGAGAGCAAATTCTGGCTATCTCTTAAGACACAACTGTGGTAAGCTGATAGTTTGCCCTTTATCTGCATTGGGATACAATATTTTAGTAAATCTATCACAGTGCATAGCTTAGACTCCATTTGTTTTGACTTTGAAAGTCTTCAAAGAAACAAACAGAAATTGCATATTTTATCCATACATTTTATTAAAGTTTCAACACACTTGTGGATTTACTGAATATAAACATCTTGGAGGAAATTTGAAAAAATAGTGATCATTGAAACAGTGTAAATCTTTTTTCAGCAGTATAAATAACTGTGTGAAACATACTGAAACAAAATCACATTAGCAATATTGATTCTGATATTTTTCTCCTATTTTCAATAGCAGGAGTAAATTAATCTGGTCTTCCACATATTTTGTATCATTAATGTATGCTGTAAAATGTTTAATACTCTTTTACAGTACTACTATCTATGTAGTTTAGTGACATTGCTTGTGTTTCAAATTGTCATGAATATTCATGAAAAAAAAGGAAGTAAGCATGCTAACTGATGATTTGGTACAATATAAGCTATTTCCCCTTAGGGTCAATCAACCTGACAGACTGAAGTGGTTGATACACATTTGATCATTGAAGGGAGACAGCAAGGAAGCAAGCTTATAAACCTCCTCTTGCACTATACCTCCCTCTTTTAGCCCCAGAATCTGTGCTCTTGATTATGCAATCTACATCATATGTACTGAAGAGAAGTGCTTTCTGACTCATCAGAGATATTCCTGCTGCTCCCTGAAACACATACTTCCATTTTAACATCTACTTATAGGCTTACTTAGGAAGAATAAAGACAAAAGGGGAAAATTGTGTCCTGTATTGTGTTTTCTGAATGTTATCTCAAAGCAAGAGGACACATAGCAGTATATCTTGAAAAATAAAAAAATTTTCATCACATATTTAGGAAGAAGAATTAAAGATTCTAACCCACAATCTTGAAATAAAGCTCCTGCCTCAGGAATATATTTTTCTTTAATCTGGCAAAATTACACTAGATATGCATCTGATTGACATAAAAAATTTGGCTAGAGGTGCAATATATAAAATAGTCTATTGTTTTCAGATGTGAAAGGGGAGTTCTTTCAGATTTGAAATGGAGTAGTACTCATGAAGACAATAATAGGGATCAAATCGAATGCACAGAATTTTATGTTGCTCAACTTTGAGCATAGATTCTTATGAAAGATGAGCAAACACACATGCAACCACACTTCCCCTCCCCACCAACACACCAACAAACAAACAAGAGAACTTTGATGATCATAGCATTAAGAAAGATGGCATTAACATAAAGATATGTTTTAAATATAAAAATATATTTTTAAATTGCAGGGAAGAACTTGCTGAGGTGCTCAAAATATATAAGAAAATATGTCCTCTGCATAGCAACCCAAGCTGGATATTATAATTCAGAAATTTTTGGCACATAAAATCATGAAACTAGATGAGATCAGTTAGAGAGTGAAAGTAAATAGAAAAAAAGAGACATTCTGAATCTAATGATGGCAACATTAAAAAATGAAGGACATAAGAAAGAATCAGAAAAAGAGATTAAGAAATATTAATAACTCCCAGAGAGATAGAAAGAAAACTGAAACAAAAGTGGTATACCCTGGAGGTCCAATGAATATAGCCTTTTGAAAGAGATTGGACAACTGTTTGTAATGAGGTTCCTAGATCAAGTGAATGCTCATGGGATTTAGCAGTGTGGTAATCATAATGACATTGACAAGGCAGAGTCAGGTAAGTGAACATGTGATTGGAATGGGTATAAGAGAGAACACGATTTGTAAAATAGATGATAGTATGTAGAGACAAACTATTTCAAAGATTTTTTCTATAAACAGATGAAGAAAAAAAGGACACTAGTTGGACGAAAAAACTGTCAAGTTTTTTATGTTAAGAGAAGTAATGTCATATGTTATGTTAGTGTGCTAAGAATTAAAACCAAGTAGGAGAAAAAAAAATGTGCTGGAAGAAGATAAGAAAACAGTAGGATAATGATCTTCTTTAGACAAGAGAGGATGGAATCCAGTGTACCAGCAGATGGAGGGACTTAGCTAGGAGTTTGGTCGGTACATTCATACTCACAGAAGGGAAGGTCGTTATAAACACAAACGGAATATTTGTGTTCTGCATTATCAGTTTCCTGAATGTTATCTCCAAGGAAGAGACCTGAGAACAATACATCTTGGGGACTAGAGATTTTTACACTTATTTAAATCAAGGAGATCAAGGAAAATAGGAAGGTGTAATGAGAGACTTTTTGAGGGTAAATTATATCGAAACAATAATAAGAGTATATAGGAGAATCATTACCAAAATTTTTATGGTATTAGTCGTCCTTTCTTTCTTAAAAAAATTTTGAGGGTTAAACTGCTTTTCTTTCCTATTTTCTCCTCTCTAAATATCTAAAAAGACCCCATGAAACGTCTATTGAAAGAATGTGTAGGGGGGTTGATTATTAAAACTAAGACCTACTTAGAAAGTCTAAAAACAATGCCTAACAGAACAAAGCAGAAAATTGTTATGATAATAAGGTACATAGATAGGAGTAGTAAGAAAATTGAAAAACTAAAGCCAATTTTTTGAATGTAACTCTTTCTGATTTGAACACTATTTTATATTGGGAGATCTTATAGCAAGAGATAAAAAACATATTCTTAACTATATATTTTCTCTTAGAAAAACTATATCTGTCTATCTTTCTATCTATCTATCTATCTATCTATCTATCTATCTATCTATCTACCTATCTATCTATACATACACAGTGAGCTCTCTGTATTAGTGAGTTCCACAGTGATGGAGTCAGTAAACCCTGAATCAAAATTATTCAGAAAGAAAAATATTCTACAAGTTCCACAAAGTAAAACTTGAAATTACCAGGCTTTATAAATTGTACTGAATTCATGTGAATTAAGTGATATATAAGCATTTCATTAAGTATTATAAGTAATCTAGACATCATTTAAAGTATATTTAAGCTTATTTAAGTAATATGTAAGTATACCTGAGGATGTGCATAGGTTATATGCAAATACTACATTATTTTATAAATGGGACTTGAGCATCCATGGATTTTGGTATCTGCAGGGGGTCCTGGAACTAATACCCCATGGATACTGAGGGAACACTGTATATATAACAAATGAAAAATTCAATGTGCAAAACACAGACAGCTTGTGAAAACAAAAACAAAAACAAAAAACCAGGAAAATTCCTACCATGATTGATCAAGATTTGTGAAAGATACACAAATTTTGTATGAGGGTGTCTCAGTAGGTTCAACTCACCCTAAGTTAGTGGTTTAAAGCTTTGTCTATTCCCTGTGCTATGGTGAAAGCTAAAGCTTTAAATTGCTAAGATGCACAAACACCCCGTGACTGTTTACCACTCTAGTTGTCTGCTCGCACCTTCCCTCACACCCCCCACAATGTATATAGAAGTTTTTTTAATAATAAAAATATTTTATTCTTGAATTAAAATTAATAAATACTGAAACCAGCTAACACAAACAAAATAGAATGCCTGTAAATGCCTAGAAAATACAACATTTACAAAATATTACTATCTTATGGCAAAATAAATAGCTTTTGGTTTTGATTTGCTTTTCGTAGGCTCTTCTTGCTTGGTAAAGATATAGTAGTTCCATATAATGAGTTCAGGAGTGATGTTATTTGCTATGACCGGAATTGGTTTAAATATTAAATTATGATCGGTTGTTTCTATAATCCATATATAAAATTATTTGATGATTTTGTTGTGTGTGCCTGTGTCTGTTGAGTTTTAATCACTGTTTTTATGTTTCAGAGTCTATTGCCTGCAGTATTTCTGTATCACTTTGGGGAATTTATATTTTTCAAGAAAATTGTTGAAAAATGTGTTCACAGTTGTCTCACTTTAAAATTTTGAATGTATCTTTATTTTTACTGAGTAATTATATTTATCCTTGTATCCTGCATAAATCTTGCTCAATCATGGTAGGAAGTTTTCTGCTTTATTATTTTTTCAAGAAAACTGTTAGGTTTTTGGAGACTGAATTTTTCGTTTGTTTTCTATCGCATTATTTTGTAGCCTTTTCGTTTATTTTCTCTAATTTTTTTTTACTTATTGTTTTTAATTTCCTATTTATTAAATTGTTAGTTTGTGATTTTTATTCTATATTGTAAATATTTAATACTAAATTTTAATGGCATGTGATAAATTGTGGTATGTGTACTATAATTTACTTTTCAGTTCTAAGTTTTAATTTCCATTGTAATTTAGTCTTTCCAATCTGAGAGTGATTTTTTTAGTATATTATTTAATTCCTAAATCCATTTTCTATTTTTTAGTTATCTTTGCTGTTTGACATCTACATAATTTTTGTCAAAGTCAAAACAATTTGTGTGATACTCATACTTTGATATAAATACAGAATGACTGAAATTTTGGTTTAGCTTTTCAGAAACCAGGCAGGGAATAGAAATTTTACGTGAAGGCAAGCTTGTAAATGAAACTTTTCCAGAGATTTGTTTTCCTTTCATCACAAACCCAGCCTGTGATCATTAATTTCTTTGAGTCTCCTTGCATTGTTGGGGTGGAGGGTGAATCTCAGTATTTTCAACCTATTCTGTTAGTGGATTAAGCCTTGTGTATTCCCTGCGCTGTGATGAAAGCAAAGCCTTAAATTGCTAAGGTGAACAAACACCCCCATGACTGTTTACCACTCTAGGTGTCTGTTCCCTCTTTCCCTCACTCCTGACTCCTTTTGTTTTGTTTTTTGGTTTTTTTTTTTCTTTTTTTGGGACAAAATCTCGCTCTGTCACCAGGCTGGAGTGCAGTGGTGTGAACCCTGATCACTGCAATCTCCACCTCCTGGGTTTAAATGATTCTCCTGCATCAGCCTCCCGAGTAGCTGGGACTATAGGGGTGCACCACCACACACAGCTAATTTTTATATTTTTAGTAGAGACGAGTTTTCACCACGTTGGCCAAGATGCTCTCGATCTCTTGACCTTGAGATACACCCGCGTCAGCCTCCCAAAGTGCGGGGATTACAGGCATGAGCCACCACACTTGGCCTCCTCACTCCTTTTTTAAGGCCTTGGTGACTTCTAATTTCTCCTGAACTCAGCTATTTATAAAATTAAAAAGAAAAATTGAACCAGAGTCTCTTTATGTGTTCTGGTTAATAATGTTTGTTTGCTTTTTTGTTTTGTTTTAATCTGGTATGTTATAAATCTGGATACACAAGTCTGATTTATTTTTCCAAATAAGATAAGACTGGGAAAATGAAAACCCCGATACCACTTTTTATCAACAATGGTTTGAAATTATATCTACCATGCGAGGAAATTGCTCAATTAATTATTGTGAATCTGAACTGGAAACCATACATCAGAGCATTTTTTGCTGCTGTTCTTGGTGATGAAATAAAACCTGCTTTTTTCTTACATTTAACGGGGACCTCTGAGAGCACGACTTGACTTTCAATTTCAAGTGGTCCATAATGTAGACTAAAAGGTGCTAGAGGGGATGAAACGAGGCGTTAAAGGATTTCTTAAAGAAATATTGAGGCAAATGTATACTTAAAGGTATCTATCTGTTACATATGTATACATGTGCCATGTTGGAGTGCTGCACCCATTAACTCGTCATTTACATTAGGTATATCTCCTAATGCTATCCCTCCCCCCTCCCACCACCGCACAACAGGCCCCAGTGTGTGATGTCCCCCTTCCTGTGTCCAAGTGTTCTCATTGTTCAATTCCCACCTATGAGTGAGAACATGTGATGTTTGGTTTTTTGTCCTTGTGATAGTTTGCTGAGAATGATGGTTTCCAGCTTCATCCATGTCCCTACAAAGGACATGAACTCATCATTTCTTTATGGCTGCATAGTATTCCATGGTGTATATGTGCCACATTTTCTTAATCCAGTCTATCATTATTGGACATTTGGGTTGATTCCAGGTCTTTGCTATTGTGAATAGTGCCGCAATAAACATACCTGTGCATGTGTCTTCATAGCAGCATGCACATGTACCCAAGAACTTAAAAGTATAATAATAATAATAATAATAAGATAAAAGTCAATCTCATAGAAAAAGTATCTATTTGGGCAATACATTATTAAATGGTATTCTTGTGGGAAGTCAGGCTTATGTTGAAAATTTAACTGAATCATAATGCTTTAGACTTACAAGTGTACTATCCTATCCCTGAAACTTTTATAATATATTGGATCTATTTTTATTTTTATTTTTATTTGCTTGTAGAAACATGATTAGTTCACAATTCACCACATTACTCTAAAAAAGAATATATTACAATAATTTTATTTTCACTGGAGCAACAGATAAAATTTTCTGTGCATAAAGCTCTTCCACTTTCAAAATGGAGCCTTATTAAAATTTAGTACATTGTATATTAAAACTAAAATTTCTAGAGTATGACTCACAAAATAAGCCAAAAAAACTCAAGCAGCAAATACATAAACAAATCCAATATTTTATCCAATTAACTCTGTTGCTGCCTAAATTTGACAACATGTGTTGTCTGACATACTGGAAAAATGAAACTCACGTGGTATTGCAATTAATATAGCCTTGGCCACAAGTAAGACCATATAATATTTGATTGCTTGCTTTGCTATTGTGTAGCAATAGAAACTCTCCTGGGTTTCTATGCTTATACTTTTGTTTGGTATGGTAGTTTTTTATATTGCATTTGAAATATAAATGTCAAAGAGTAATGCTATATATAGGATACCTACAACAATGTTCACAAGTTTGTAATTAATTAATTAAATTCTCTTTGCTGTGTTACAGATATCGCTTGAATTTTATTAACAACGTGCATTTCAATCCTATTTTATTGTCTTTCTGTTAAGAAAAACTGTAGAAGTGTTTCAAATGAAACATATATTCTATTATTTCAAACAATACAGTAAATTAGGACTTTTAAAATGAAGATTGATATTGACAGTACTTTTAGTAACATGCTTTAGATAATATAAACTTCAGACTTATTACATCTTATTTTCATAATAAATACAAATTATAAAAGATTCTAATTTGTAGTTATTCTGAATGAATTAAAAATGTTAATGCATTTCATTATATTTTAAAATTTTATGATAGGATATTTTTAATAGTTTAAAACTATAGGAAAGCATAACAGTCATAAAATTGCATCTTTTGAGATTAACATATTGCATTCCCTTTACTTTTTTCCTCTCATGTATCATTTTAACTATTATCATCTATATTTACAATTGAATGGCAATATAAAAATTAATGGTAATGAAACAATTTTAAGCAGAATAGTATAAATTTAAGAGTATAGACTCAAACTTAATTTTAACTGCTCTTTAATATTGCAGACATGTGCTAGGAAAAAAAATATTTTCATCTAGTTGGTGTGCTGTAACTGTTAATAGCCAGCATTTCAAAGACTAGGGCTACCAACATGATGTCACTGACGTGAACTTGTGAAGAAGTGGTCACTATCTGCTCCCCGGATGCAGTTTGAGTTGGCTCTACCGTATCACCGAAGTAAGACTTTTGTGTTGCTTTCAAGATTTGTTATGAGAAATACACTTTATAGTGAACATGTTTGTGCAAGAACTTTCCTTTCTGGGAGTCTTTTGGAGGGGAGGTTCAAAACAAAATAATTCTTCTCAAAAGTCAATTTGCTTTCCACAGGGTTGTGCCAGTAATAAGGAAATGTAAAATTATACTAATAAATGGCTACTAAAATTACATGTACTACATCATTTTCTTTTTCTTTTGGCCTGGAATTACTACACTGGGAGAATTCGTAAAGTTTTTTAAAGTCTGTTTACTTGAAGAATTACTTTATTATTCCTGTGTTACTCTGTACATTGATAAATTATCCCTCAACTACTTATTTATATCAAATTTCATTTTCTTTTCTTCTTGATCATCATTAAATTACCTGCTACTGTTTACTTGTTAGTTAAGTATTAACACATTTTGTATTCAAACAATATATTCATGACTATAAGTGCACATACGATAAATGCAAATATGTTGGTGAGTTTTCCCAAATTAAACGCACCTAGATAATAACACCCAGGCTGAGAAGCAGAACCTTATCTGTACCACAAAAAGCCTCCCTAATACCCCTATCCACGTGCAATCTGCCATTCCTTTCTGAAAAAAACACATCCTAAATTCTAACAGCATTGACTTGTTTGGCCAGTTTTTGTACTTAAAAATAAAATATTAAAATACAACAGTGTGTACTATTTGGTGTCTGGTTGTTTTGGTTCACCATAGGTTTGTGAGATTCTTCCATGATTCTCTGAAAGTGTCATTATGCAACTATATCACAATAAATTTATAAATTTTAATGTTGATAATAGGTGTTGTACAGTTTTCAGTTAGGACCATCAATAGGACTGCTTCTATAAACATTCTAATGCATGCCTTAAAAACTGTATGAAAATCTGTTGGGCACACACCTAGTAGTAGATGTACTAGTTCCTCACTGAGTACATTTTCAGTTTTAGTAGATATGCCAAAGAGTGTTTCTAGGCTGGGCGTGGTGGCTCACACCTGTAATCCCAGCACTTTGGGAGGTCTAGACAGGTGGATCACTTCAGATCAGGAGTTCAAGAACACTTTGGCCAAAATGGTGAAACTCTGTCTCTACAAAAATACAAAAATTAGCCGGGTGTGGTAGTGTGTGCCTGTAATTCCAGCTACTTGGGAAGCTGAGGCAGAAGCATCGCTTGAACCCAGGAGGCGGAGGTTGCAGTTAGCTGAAAATGCACAACTGCATGCCAGCCTGGGCGGCCGACTCTGCCTCAAAAAAAAAAAAAAAAAAAAAGAAAGAGAGTTTCGTAGATATTTTTGACAATTTAAACTCTCATCAGTTTGAAAATGCATTCAATATTTTTGCTCTATCGTTATTATAATTATTACAGTGTATATTTAATAATACCAACTTCAATTTAATTTTCCTAATAACTAATAAGTTGAGCCACTTTTTGTGTGTTATTGGTCAAATATATATATATATATAATATATACACACATATATATGCATATATATAATTTTGTAAAATATATTTTTAAGCCTTTGGGGTAAATTTTGTTGAATATTTACTTATCCTTTTCAAATTATAATAGTTCATGCATATTCTGTTATTTATTCTTTTTTATATTTTATATATATTCTTACTATATATTCTGGATATGAGTCCTAAATTGTATATATACATGGTAAATATCTCCTACTATTTTGTGTGCCGCCCTATTGCTCTCTGGACAGTATTTCTTCATAAAAAAATGTTTGATTTTAACATAACCCAGATACTTTTTTCTTCTGTGGGTAATGCTTTTTGTGTTGTTTTTCAAAAATGTTTGCCACCTCCCAGGTTGCTGATGTGATCTCCTGTGCTTTTATCTGCAAGATTTATAGCTTTGCTGGTGACATTTAGAACTACTATCCATCTGCGTTAAATTTGTAATTGTGGTGAAAGATAGGGACCAATGCACTATTTTTCCCTATTGATAGTCAAAGACAGCAAAATTTAATGACAAGGTTAAGTTTTTTTCTATGAGCTGTAGCATTACATATCTCATAAATCAGGTTATCTCTATGTCTGAATCTTTTTCCAGGCTCTCCATTTCATTCCACTGATAAGGTTTCTATCCTGTGCTTATAACATATTGCCTGACTTACTCTAAATTAACAGTGTTTGATATCTATTAGTTTAAGTCCTCCAGGTTTGTTCTTTTCCTCAAATTGTTTTGACTATTCTGGTTTATTTTCATTTCCATATGTATTTTAGGATCAGCTGGGAAACATATGCAAAATGAACCTTATAGGATAATTAACAACTTTATAATATTGAATATTCTAAACCATAATTATGATATATCTCTCTTTGCATAAGTCAAATTTTATTCATGTCAATACTGTCCTATTAGTCTCAATGAAGATGTTTTCTTTCTTCTTAGACTTTGCCTAAATGATTGTTTATAAATGCAATTTCAAACTTTATTATTTTAAAAATTTATTTAGTGTTGTTAATTGTTGATATAGAAATATAATAGAATTTTGCATGTATACATATTTTTATACAAATCACTTTGTATGCCATATATAGTGACTTTTCTAGATGTGTTATATGTCAGCTTTGTTTTTACCACAGTTTTTGAAATATTACCAAATGTTCTATTAATATTTGTAGATTTAGGGCTGGGCGTGGTGGCTTATGCCTGTAATCCCAGCAGTTTGGGAGGCCGAGGCAGGTGGATCACCAGGTCAGGAGATAAAGAACATCCTGGTTAACACAGTAAAACCCTGTCTCTACTAAAAATACAAAAAATTAGCCAGGCATGGTGGCACATGCCTGTAGTCTCAGCTACTCAGGAGACTGCAGCAGGAGAATCACTTGAACCTGGGAGGCGGAGGTTGCAGTGAGCTGAGATTGTGCCACTGCACTCCAGCCTTGGCGACAGAGCGAGACTGTCAAAAAAAAAAAAAGTAATTTAAATTTACATTTCAGTGCTAAGTAGCTCCCATATTCTGAATGGTTATGTTGCAGAGCCTCAGGGTATCTAAGAACCTCATGAATAATGGAGATTATCATGGGTGGGATGAAAGCTTGGCACTCATGTTACCCACTGGAATCAAGGGGAAATGTTTTAAGATGGCATAATATTTTATTGATATTAGCTCTCTAGAACCCTACACCTCTATTTATTTAGGTAGATAAACAGGATACATTATTCCAGAGGTTACTAAATGTTGCGGGAAGTCAGGGACCCTGAATGGAGGGACCGGCTAGAGCCGCAGCAGAGGAACATAAATTGTGAAGATTTCATGGACATTTATCAGTTCCCAAATAATACTTTTATAATTTCTTATGCCTGTCTTTACTTTAATCTCTTAATCTTGTTATCTTCATAAGCTGAGGATGTACTTCACCTCAGGACCACCGTGATCATTGTGTTAGCTGTACAAATTGATTGTAAAACGTGTGTTTGAACAATATGAAATCAGTGCACCTTGAAAACGAACAGAATAACAGTGATTTTTAGGGAACAAGGGAAGACAACCATAAGGTCTGACTGCCTGTGGGGTCGAGCAAAAAAAGCCATATTTTTCTTCTTGCATAGAGCCTATAACAGACATGCAAGTAGGAGAGGTATCGCTAAATTCTTTTCCTAGCAAGGAATATTAATATTAATACCCTGGGAAAGGAATGCATTCCTGGAGGGACGTCTATAAATGGCCGCTCTTGGAGTGTCTGTCTTATGTGGTTGAGATAAGGACTGAGATATGCCCTGGTCTCCTGCAGTACCCTCAGGCTTACTAGGGTGGGGAAAAACTCCGCCCTGGTAAATTTGTAGTCAGACTGGTTCTCTGCTCTCGAACCCTGTTTTTTGTTGTTTAAGATGTTTATCAAGACAATATGTGCACCCTGAACATAGACCCTTATCAGTGGTTCTGTTTTTGCCCTTTGCCCTGTGATCTTTGTTGGACCCTTATCAGTTCTTCTGCTTTTGTCCTTTGTCCTGTTCCCTTAGAAGCGTCTGATCTTTGTTAGATATTTACTAGTATTTCTGCTTTTTGCCTTTTGAGGCATATGATCTTTGTACCTGCTCCCTGTTCTTATACCCCTCCCCTTTTGAAACTCTTAATAAAAACTTGCTGATCTGAGACTCAGGTGGGCATCACGGTCCTCCTGATATGTGATGTCACCCCCGGCAGCCCAGCTGTAAAATTCCTCTCTTTGTACTGTCTCTATTTCTCAGCTGGCCAACATTTATGGAGAATAGAAAGAACTTATGTTGAAATATTGGGGGTAGGTTCCCTCAATAACTAAAAGCCACCTAGCTCCAGCATACCCAATCCATTCTTGCCAAGCCCTGACAAAGTCCTTGATTTCGTCTGCTCCACCTGCATAAATTCTTGCCTCTGATGAAGTGCTAGAAATCGGCATCAATTTATTCTAAGTTGGTGTCAACCTATTTTCTTTAGCAATCAGCAAACACATACAAACTCATCATGAGATTATGTCAGCATCTCCCACTTACTACTTCTAACTATATATTGGCCCAGTCACAAGTCCATTCATATAAAAAAAAGTAATTTATTATTCATTTATTTATATTTCATATACTTCCTCTCTAAAAATACTCACATTTATCAAAGGAAATGTGTTTTCCATTTCAGAACAAAAATGAGATTTTTACTTGTATAAAAAGCATTGTCAACTGACATATTAAATAACTGAAAATATTTTTTATTTCTCAAAAATATGTAAGTTCTTGAGGATCTTATAATGAATATATTATGAATGCCTTATTGATGTAATGCATGCATAATTAAATGTAGGTCATCATGACTTTCTGAGGAAAAGGAACACATAAAGTGATGGGCTATAGTTGTGTACTGCTTTCAAGCACCTAAGAGTCTAAGTTTCCTATAATCAGCTTCCCTTTTAACCAAAGAACCTTGTCCAAATATAATTACTTTGAATTTGAAATCACATTAAATATAAGAAGAAAGGAGAACTAATGAAACTCTTGTTCAAAAACATGGCTATACTTCACTAATTTTCTGTTGATATCTAATTATATTCTGCTGGTGGAACAAGAACAAATTAAACTCTACCACATTTATGTCCTAAGCCTATAGAATGCTCTCTATAGATTCTTTCTGCACAGTGCCAAAATGCAGATCTTCTATTTAAATATGAAAAGATAAAGTTTTAATGATTTGAATGTATTTTAAGGAAAATACAAAACGCAATGTCATTTCATTCATCTTTTGGTCTATGTTAAAATAAATTACAATTATAAACTGACAAAAAAAGCAGTTTTATTTTTAATATCCTTCACTCAGATAGATAAAATTTATTTTGCAACTTTAAGCTATCTTATTTTTGTCCTATTGCAATTTTCTAGCTATATATAGTATGCACCATAAGGTAAAAATAAACACACCTTTCACTTCAACTTGCCTGTACTAACACACATACATACACAAACACACACACACTCCAGTAGCTTTTTTGTTCTGTTTGTTCCCTTCTTTGTTTTATTCTTTTATACCTTTTAGAGAGAAAGATATTTAAAAGCCTTCTTTTCTTTTTAATTTCAAGAGCAAAATACTTTAAAAAAAAAAAGGTTTTTGGACTTTAGAAGCATTGACTTCCCGTATCAAGGAAAAAAAGCATGAAATGTAAAATAATCATAAATCCATAAACATTAGGTTAGAGAAATCCATACAGTTGCTGCTTTCCTACAAGATAGATAAAAAGAGCATAAACATTTTGGAGGATGGTAAAGGGAGTTTTAAGTCTAGGAAAGAAAAGTTAAAAGAGACTGGTGTTTGTTTTAAGAAAGGGTTCCATATTCTCTCTTTGCTAGGTTCAAAACCTAAAGGGGTATGGTGAAGTTAAATTATAGAACTCCAAGTAATTTTACCAGACCCTTAAACTGCAGATTTAAGAATCTCTTTCCTAGATATAATCTGTGGCACATACAAATCTCAGAGAAATCCATATTCGGCAAGTCCCAGAACCATGGGTGGCCTGAAGACAGGTTCACAGAGAATCCCGAAGCCTATTTTGGAGACAAAGCCAATAATTCCTGAGCCACCCAGTGAGAAAATCAGTGCTGGGATTGCTGGTAAATTTTCATTGGCATAGATTTAGGCAAGGAGATTGAATAGAAGGCATATGCTATGGTTTGAATATGTCTCCCAAAATTCATTTTGTGAAATACTTAATTCCTAATGACACATTGTTGAATCACCTCCAAATAAGACGTTATTAGGTCATGTGGGCTCTGCCTTCATAAATGGATTAGTGTCATTATTGCAGAAGCATTTTACTTATATTGAGAGTGGGTTTGTTATAAAAGCAAGTTGAGTCCCCTTTTGCTCTCTCAAACTCTCTTGCCCTTCTACCTTCTTCATGGGATGATGCAGCAAGAAGGCCCTCACATAATACCAGCAACTTGGTAATGGACTTCCCAGCCTCAAGAACCATAAGAAATAAAACTCTCTGCCTTATAAATTACTCAGCCATGAATATTCAATTATAGTAGCATAAAATGAACTAACTCCATATATTTGATTGGAAGCTATGCCAAAACAGCCAACATCAATAGTGGATTCCAGCACAAACATTAAGAGCCAGTGGAAGCAAGTTCCCTCCCAGTGAATATCAGAAGAGGACAAAGGGCTAGGAGAAAACAGGAAGTCTCCTGATTAGAACCTGAATGATATAAATATTCTCTTTAAACTTGGACTTAAATTTCTGTGAAGGACAGAAAAAGGAAGAGAGAGAGAGTTAAAGCCATACATTTGACTATTTGGCCAAGGAGACTAAGTTTAAAATCATATACAAATAAGTGACCTAAAATTAGCAAGGTAATTGGGGGATGATAGGCTGTTAATTTAGAGAGAAATCACTGAAGATTCTCATTCAAAATTTTTAATGGATTACTTTTTAGAGCAGTTTTAGGCTTACAGATAAATTGCATGGAAAGTCCAGAGTTCTCTCATGCATTCTCACCTCCTACACAGTTTCTGCTGTCATTAACATCTTACATTAGTGTGATATATTTGCTACAACTGATGAACCAATATTGACAAATTATTATTAATTAAAGTACATAGTTTACATTTACAATACTTTTTGTGTTTGGTTTATGACTTTTGATAAATGAGTAATGTCACATCCACAATTAAAGTATCATATGCAGTTCACTGCCCTAAAAATGTACTGTGCTCCACCTGTTTCATTCCTCCCTCTTTCCCTGGACCCCTGAAAAACCATTGATATTATTATCATTCCAATAGTTTTGCCTTTTTCAAAGTGTTATATAGTTGGAATTTTACAGTGTGTAGCTTTTTCACACTGGCTTCTTCCACTTAGCAATATGCATTTAGGTTTAAAGCCTTAAAAACTCCTTTAAATATAAAGTTGACCCTGCCTATACCAGCATTTTAAAGTATCTGAATTATTATGTCATTAATAGAGGAAAGTGGAGGCTGAGAAAAGGATAGATCATTACATTTAAATATATATTTATTAATTATATATTTATTATACATTTATAAACGTTGTATATGTATATATCATATATGTGTAGTTCTAATGTGCACCTTTGGAAAGATGGTCATTTCTCAATCAGACTATAGAACTGTAACTGATGTATTAATTATAAAGCTAAACACAGTGAAGCCCAAGGGATTATATAATTCATCCAAGTTCACACAGTTAATAAATGCAGAGATGGAAATGACAGGAGACTGAAACTTCTGTCACTTATCCCAATAACCTTTCCAAGAGTTTTCATGATTCAAATCATACCTGTCACCATCTGTGCTATTTCAGTAGGTTCCGGTTGGAGAAAATGTTACAGAGGTCATAACCCTCATCTGTACACGCCATTTATTAGGGCTTGCTAGTTTCAGACACACTTAAAAGAATATGAATTTGCTGTTGTTGTTAAGTCAAGATCAGCAGAACTGACAATCTGGGTCATATGTGATTGAATGTTAGTTGGTGTGGACTCTTTAGGGTTGTATTAGTGGTGGAGCAGAAGGCCTGAAACACCAGAACCCTCTGTAACCTGCATTCATGACTTCTAGCAGGTGGCCATGTGATCTACAAACTCAAATATATGTTTCCTTCCCTACTACCAATTTCTATAATTGTAACCATGTTCTATACCCTAACCATCCCCTCTTTATTTTACTACAGTAGCTCCCTTTTATCTGTAGTTTTGTTTTCTGTAGTTTCAGTTACTTACAATAGAGTACAGTAAAATATTTTGAAAGACTGCATTTAAATAATTTTTATTACATTATATTATTACATTTTCTTCCATTTTATTATTAGTTATTATTGTCAGTCTCTTATTGGGCCTAATTTATAAGTTAACTTTATTATGGGTATGTATATATAGAAAAAAGCAGTATATATATAGGGTTTGACATTATCTGTGGTTTCAGCATTCTTTGAGGGTCGTGGAAGGTATGTCCCATGGATAAGGGAGAACTATTGTAAATAAAACGTAGGTAAAATTACAAATAGAAAAAAAGAGATGTCCTTTTCACATATGCTAAGGAAGTCTAGTCATAGATTAAATCCATCCTTCATCACTCCATTTCTTATATGATTTGATTCTATAGTTGATACACAATGTTTTGATTATTTTAGGTTTTTCTTTACTGTGTAGCTAAATGTTAACACTCTTTTCTTCCTACTTTTCTGTCTCTTCACATCTGCAGTCAATCACTACTTCTGGGTTTCCACAAGTCTGGTCTTCTTTTTCTCTAACGTGCATGGTCTGTTTCTTCTGTGCAATACTGCCTCTTCAATCTAGAACAGTTCACCCATTCCTCCATTCCTTTTATTCATCTTAGTTATATTTATTGTGTTCCTACTCTGAATTAAGGTCTGTTCTTTTTGCTGAAATTATGGACTTGAGAAAAATCAGTAAAAATATTTGTTTGAAATTTGTTTGATGTGAGAGACACAATAGAGAGCCAAAAACCAATAAAAAGAGACAAAGAGATAAAGTAAAATAAGTTGTATAATTTATTAGAAGGTCCTATGTACTATGGAGGGAAACAAATCATGGAGGGAGATAGAAGCTCTAGTTGAGTTGAGGAACATGGTGCTTTTAAAATAGGATATTAAGGAAAGCTTTCACTGTGAAGTTAACATTTGAGAAAAGATGTAAACTATATGAGGGAGTCAGTTGTAAGAATACCTACAAGAGACTGTTACAGGGGAAGGAGGACTGAGTACAAAATTTCTATAGCTGAAAAGTGCCAGGACTATTAAGCAAACTTCAAGAAGGCCAGTATAACTTCAGCTGAGCAAACGAAGAGGAAAAGCAGTAGGATAAAAAAGATAGAAAGCTGCTGGGAGCTGAATCATAATGGACTTTGCAGGTCATTTTAAGGATTCCGATTTTCTAGTATTACTAAGAGCTATTGGAAGGATATAGGATATATATAGGATATATAGGATATAGGACATAGCAGAGGAATGATATAATTTGATATATATCTTTAAAGAAATATTCGGCCTGCTGAACTGAAGGTAAGCATTAGAAGGCAAAAACAGACACAATAGGGTAAACTGGAGGCAATTGCTACAATTTAGTCAAAGACTATGCTAGTTCCAGCCAGGTAAATATCAGGGAGAGGTGAAAAGTTTGGATTCTGTATATATTTTGAATCTAAGATATGATGATACTCAGCACCATCCCTAGACTAATAAGCTTTCCACTCTGGAGGAGGACTAAATGCCAGGTAATTGCATTGTCAAGGTTCCATTGTCAGTTGCGTTGCTGTCTGGGAGATTTTACCAATAATACCCATTCATACAAGACTTGGAAGGCAAAAAAGCAAGATTCATCCATCATTATTTCTCTTCCACACCAGTAAGGGCATTGTGGGTAAATATAACACATAAGGTCTGCAGGTGCTCTGGGTGAAGACCTGTGAATCACTTATTTTAATGCAATGGGCAGCTGAGATCATTGGCATTGGCCTCCCTGTAATTCTTACATGCCTGGTTTTCATGACATCTAGTAGCATCTTTTTGTTTGTTGTTGTGTTGACATATTTTGTTTGTTTTTTACTATTTTGTGTGATTTTCGTTTTTCCAGCATACTTAGTAGACAGCAAGTAGCTCCATGCATTGTACACATATTATCAATGATTGCCAATAAAGATATAAGAAATTACACTGGAGAATTATCATTGGCCACCTAGTAATGACTACATTGATATCATGCTAAGGACTCTAAATATATCTCTTAAGGATTGATAGATTTCAAGCAGTACAAATGAAAGATTATGTTTCACTTTGAAATCACTAAATTTGGCAAATTTTGCATGTGTGTGGAGGATAGATTGAAGAGAAACAACAGTTCAATGGTGATTAGAATAATCTAGGTGAGAAATGAGAACACAAACTAGGAAGACACTGGCATTGCTATTTGGTACACAGGTTGTATTAGGGTTCTCTAGAGGGACAGAGCTAATATGATAGATGTATATATAAAGGGGACTTTATTAAAGAGTATTAACTCACACAGTCACATGGTCCCACAATAGGCCGTCTACAAGCTGAGGAGCAAGGAAGCCAGTCCAAGTCCTAAAGCTGAAGAACGTGGAGTGTGATGTTTGAGGGCAGGAAACATACAGCAGGGGAGGAAGATACAACCTCAGAGGCTAAGCCAGTCTAATCTCTCCACGTTCTTCTGTCTGCTTTTTATTCTAGCTGCACTGGCAGCTGATTAGATGGTGCCCACCCGGATTGAGGGTGGGTCTGCCTCTCCCAGTCCACTGACTGAAATGTTAATCTCCTTTGGCAACACTCTCAGAGACACACCCAGGAAACAATACTCTGCATCCTTGCAAGTCATCAAGTTGACATTCAGTATTAACTATTTACACAGGTAAACTAGGAGGAGGAGTAAATTTAGAGCAGCAAAGAGAAATTTCATTCTCATACTGTTGAGATTGCATGTAAGACATAGAGTTATGCAATGATTAAGAATGCAGACTTTGGAATCAGAGAGGCTGGGTGCAAATTCTTGGCTGTTACTTCTAGATATAAACCTTTGGGTGATCTACCTAACCTCCGCTTGCCTCAGTGAGTACATATTGGGTATGCTGTGAGCATTTAATAAATAGATTCATGAAAATTACCTTGTATAGTGCCTGGAACATCATGCATATTCTCTACACATTCCTTTTTATTAGTAGGAAATCATGATAATAAACCTGATAATGATGATAATTCAAGCCAGAAAAATATGTTAAGTTGGATATGTGGGTTTCAATTAGGAACTGAATTTGTACTAGTACTTTGAAATGCATGCTGTGCAATTCGATTATATTTAGAGAGAAAAATGACAAATTTTTGGGAAAGTCCCTCTCTCTCCCTCTCTCTCTCTCTATATATATATATATATATATATAATATTATATACATATATACATATATAATATACGTATATAATACATATATACATATATAATATACATATATAATATTATACATATATATGTATATATATAGTGTGTGTGTATACAGAGTATATAGGTGAAACATGTGGCCTAAGAACCTGCATGGCTCATTGAGAATCAGAGTAAGTAGTTTCCTGTTAGCATAGCCAAGAACATCTGATACTCAGTGGGTAAAATCAATTGGTTCTTAATATTGTGAGGATACAGCACCAAGTCACCATTTTAAGTCATGTGGCTTTGGCTTAGTAGCTCAATAAATTTACTGGAATCTTGAAATAATGAATTTAATAATAGGTCGTTTCCAAATAAACCTTAAAAACATACACTATATTTCACCCACCTGCCTATTAGGAAATTATGCTACGTCTTCTTGTATTTCTAGGGTTTGAATACCATTTCTTTATCTAGCATTTATGACTATCATGGTACTCATACCTATGAAAGTTAAATAATTATGCAAGGCAGTCATGCAAACATTTTAAATCTGTTGTCTCTGTTTTCAATATACTGTTCTGAATAACAACATGAAACAATATTTTAAATTATAGATATAGAGTTTAAATAACTGTTAAATACTTCTATATATAGTCTATTTTCTCTTATTTATTTTTAAAACATTGATCATCAAAGCATCATCGCCAAATGACAAAGGAATTTTTGAAGAGCGTTTTTTAATAATGAGTCTTTGTATGACCTTTTTCAAATTACCCTAAGGTGTTTCTAAATTAACTTTTCCTATGTTGCAGTCTTAAGATGAGTGAAATTAGGATTTTCAAATTTCTTTCAATACTGTCTCAGTTTTAATCTATCATATATTCAGTTGTGTAATGACACAGAGCTACTTAAAATATAAAGCAGTGTAGTAATACACATGTAATGATGAGAGCTTATAGTTCTCATTATCTACTAAAATAGATTTAGTAGAATTATGTTTCAAAAATCAAATTAATATTGTCTGTAAGCATGCACTATTGGATAATTAAAAATACTATAGAACTTAGACTCTGATTCCATTTTTCTATTTATTTGAAGTAACTTATCTTCACTTAAGACCATATTAAATGTCTCCAGAACAAGAATACAGGGAAATAGCTAGATCAATAACTACATCAGATGAGAAAATTCTATTTAGTTGACAATTCAGGTTAACCGTGTAAAGTGAAGATGGTCCTTATGTGGTTTCACAGAATCATTTGATTAAGCAAGACAACACATCTCTTTGGCAATCAATTTGTTGCTACTTGAGAGCATTAAGATTTCTGGGAAGAGTTCATGGTTGCAGTGTGCTCTCATTGTGCCACTGGACTCCAGCCTGGGTGACAGAATGAGACCTTGTTTATATATATAAATTATATATAAAATATATATGTAACATATATATAATATATATATAATATAATATATATACACCATGAGAACAGTATGGGGAAAGCCACCTCCATGTATGTGTGTGTGTATATATATATGTGTGTGTATATATACACATATATATACACACATACAAACATATGTGTGTATATATTCACCCACATATGTGTATGTTTCTGAGATAAGTTTTGGAATCTAATTTGCAATTGCAAAACTGGAAAAAAGTTTCTAAAAGTTGAGGTAAAAGGAAAATGGTGCCATTGTAGATTGATGAGGTAGCAGTATATAGTTCTTTCATACACCTGCATTTTGATCACCACTGCTCCCTCAATGTTTATTAAATTGTATATATGATTTTTTCATCCTTATCACAGACAAATACACTGATACTAGAAAGATAAGTTATTGATGTCATTTTAGGAAAAAATAAAGGCATAATTTTAAGAAAAGTAATGCAAGTATTTTTGTGCAACACAATCTTGTCCAGCAAAAAGAAATGCTCAATGAAGAATTACCTTCAAGTGCATTGATATGGTTTGGCTGTGTCCTCAACCAACTATCATCTTGAATTGTATCTCCCATAATTCCCATGTGTTTGGGAGGTACGTGGCAGGAGATAATTGACTCATGGAGGTGGCTTTCACCATACTGTTCTTATGGTACTGAATAAGTCTCATGAGATCTGATGGTTTTATAAGGCGAAATTCCTTTCACTTGGCTCTCATTCTCCCTTTTGCCTGCTGCCATGTAAGACATGCCTTTTGTCTTCTGCCATGATTGTGAGGCCTCCCCAGCCATGTGGAACTGTGAGTCCATTAAACCTCTTTTACTTTATAAATTATACAGTCTTGGCAGGGCACTGTGGCTCACGCCTGTAATCCCAGCACTTCGGGAGGCCGAGGCCGGCAGATCACGAAGTCAGGAGTTTGAAACCGGTCTGGCCAAGATAGTGAAACCCTGTCTCTACTAAAAATACAAAAATTAGCCAGGCATGGTGGTGTGTGCCTGTAGTCCCAGCTACTCGGGAAACTGAGGCACGAGAACTGCTTGAACCTGGGAGGTGGAGGTTGCAGTGAGCCAAAATCGCACCATTGCACTCCAGCTTAGGCGACAGAGTGAGACTTCATCTCAAAAAAATAAATAAATAAAGTATCCAGTCTTGGGTATGTCTTTATTAGCAGTGTGAAAACGGGCTAGTGCAGGCGTATAGTAGTCAGAGTTCCCTAGAGAAACAGAACAGTCATATAAATATATAATAGGTACAGATATAGGTATAGAAATAGATAGAGATAGATACACACAATTCTGCAAGCCAATTGCTTAAAATTCCAGAGGTGTGCAGGGTAGGCTAGCAGACTGAAGACCCAGGAAAGAGTTGCTGTTTAAGTCCAAAAGTAGTCTGCTGACAGAATTCCTTCTTGCTGGGGAGAGAACCATCTTTGTTCTATCAAGGCCTTCAACTGATTGGATAAGGCCCACCCACATCATGAAAGGTAATCTACTTTACACAAAGTCTACCGATTTTAAATGTAAATTTCATCCAAAAAACACATTCACAGAAAAAATACAGAATAATGTTTGACCAAACATCTGGGTGTTGGGCCTAGTCATGTAGATACATTAAAATTAATTATCGCAGGCATAATGCTTGTAAAATCTTTTCATCATATGCAGATAGGACAGAAATAAAATACTAGGCTTTACATAAGCCATGTTTTTTGTGGCAAAGTAAGAGGTATGATCATTTATGGGTGGATACTTTATGCATTTAATCTACTGATCTATTCTAATTATATTAACTTTATTTCTTTTTATTAAATGTCTTGGGCTGATAAAGATACTTTATATTTATACTCAAACTTCTAATAAAATACAATTATTCAGAAAATACTAAATGTACATAAAGGTTATATACAATTTAAAGAATATTTGTACCACTGATAATCTAAAGGGTGATATAAAGTTATTATTGAAGCTTAGAAAATAAGAATCAGAACATAAATAGAATACATAGAGATTTAAAGAAGAATGAGAAAAGGAACTGAGAAAATATTTTTAAAATTTAGCTATAATCAGTTTTTATTTTAAAAATCACGACAGAAATTAGCAACTAATCATGAAGATGTCACACATAGTAAAATATAAATTCTAAAAAAAGACTTATACAGTACTAAATAACATAGGAAGCCTGCCAGATAAGAATGTCAAATATATAAGAAATGAAATCAAAATAAAAATATATTCTTAAGCACATATAACATAGAAATCCAAAGACAAGGTTAAAAACTAAAATGCTAAACAGAAGAAAGGCTGAACATTTGAGAAAAGCAATAAATAAGCATTTATCTAAGTTAAAAGATTGTATTTTGCTTATGTTTTCGTGACTTATCTTTAATAAAGTAGTATGAGTTTCTCCAGAAAAGAACTAGTGTTATGTTTTGACCTCTTGCATAGTTTTCATGACATCTGGAATGCAGTAGAATACTGAAAAAATGACATATTTATTTGAATTGAATAAGTGAACCAAAAATGTTTCAGGAAAGTAGCAAGGAAAGTGAATTAATGGCCTAACTAAAGGCAGCACCATTTGAATGAAGGAATTAAACTGTCTTGCTGCAAATTTGATTAGGTATATTATAGAAATCACAAGTAGAAAAGCTTATCATGGTATTATCAAAGTCTACTTTGAACACCATGGAGTACTTTGCAGAAAGTAGGGTATAGAAAACATAATTTTGATTTATAGCCATTTACAAAGGAGTCAAAGCAAAATACATCATTTATATATTTTCAATGGCCTTTACTATAAAGTATTGAAATAAAAACAGTAATAGTAAAATCATATTAAATATTTGATGAAATAATTATATATAATATTAAGAAAAGAATAATAGGAGAAAATAGAATTGATATTCTTATAAAACCCAAACACGGAAGAAGAAAATCTAGTGATTAAAATAAAGAATAACTGCATACTATTAAAAAATAGAAACAAAATAAGAAGGGTTAGCGAGGATGTGGAGAAATTGAAATCCTTGTACACTATTGGTAGAAATGTAGAATGGTTCAGATGCTATAAAAAACAGTAGGATAGTTCTTGAAAAATTAAAAATAAAATTACCATATAATCCAGCAATTTCACTTCTGGATATATAATGAGTAAAACTGAGAGTAGGGTCTAACAGAAATATTTTCACACCAATATTTAAAGCAATGTTATTCACAATAGCCCAAGACTGGAAGCAACCCAATTGTCCATCAAAGAATGATAATGTAAACAAAATGTGATATATATTTTTGTTTAAAATGGAATATTATTTAACCTTAAAAAGGAAGGAATTCTGATGCATGCTATAACATAAGTGAACCTTGAGTACATTATGCTAAGTAAAATAAGCCAGTCATTAAAGGACAAATACTGTATGATTCTATTTATATGTAGTATCTAAAGTAGGCAAATTCATAGAAGCAGAAAGTGGAATGATGGTTGCCAGGGTATGGAGGAGGGGGAACTGGGGAGTTGTTCAATGGGTATATAGTTTCACTTCTGCAAGATAAAAAACTTATGGAAATTGGATTCACTACAATGTGAATATACTAACTACTGAACTGTATACTTAAAATGGCTAAGAGGCTAAATTAATGTTATATGCATTTGTGATAAAATTAAATCAGATTAAAATATAAACAAATAAATCAATAAATCTCTCTATATAATAATTAATTCTGTGTGGAGTATATAGAAATTATAGAAATTAATTCTTTTTGCTTTTCTCATGAAACTGAAGCCAGATAAAATGGATTATGTCCTTTTAATCTATATATAGCTTCAAGTTTTGCCCAAATGTCACAACAGATGATCAATGTCTGAGTGAAGCTGAGAGCATATTTTTGTATGGTTCTAGACCTACTACACTATACATCAGATCTTTTTTTGTGGACCTTTTTTTGTGTTCTTGCTTTTGTTGGTTCTGTGTTTGGATTTTCTTGGAGAAAGCCAAAATTAGCATTCTTTTTATTTTTATTCACGGTTAATTTGCTTGACAATTTCAAAAAAAAAGACTGAAACACTTCTCTTTTGAAAACTGAGAACAAAATCTATTCCTATGTACAAATATTTCCTATCCACCCCATGACAGCAACCTAGTAAAACTTTAATCAAAAAATGATGGTTTGCCTAGGACACATCTCTTGAATACAATTTAAACTAAACATAAATATTTTGATTTGCAACACTTTCAATTTGTATCATACCTCTAATTTAGTAGATATTTAAAATGCCTCTCTCAAATCCATTGCCCATTTACTGGATGATTTACCCCCCTTTTTTTTTTCATCTGGGTGTCTAATACTCTTCCTACAGAAGAGTGAGAAATAACACTATATTGGATAATAGAGTGCAATGGGAGCTCAGCCCTATAAATATCATCATTATCAATCCCCATGTTCAGAAATAGAAACATGAACTAATCTGGACCAAGAAATGCATGAAGATTATGGGAAAGTAGATTGTACTGACGTTTTGAGAGAGCTTCAAGCTCTCCTCCTTCACTGACCTTTCCTTCCTCCCCTTGTATGTAGACTAGAAAGTGGATACCTAATGCATTGTTGCCAGCACCTTGATAACTTTGCAAGGGAATTGATCTGAAAAGAAGAAAATTAGTGTGACTTAATGGAAACAAACTTAATGTGCCTTATGATCTTATTAACACATTGAAAAAAACTAGTTCTGAAGCCTATTCTTTGACTTTTGTTAATAATAATAAAATCATGTTTATTGGCTGGCAAATTTAAGCTAGGTTTTCTTTTACTTGCAACTTAAATTAGCACAATTACTACATTTGATAAAGTCTAACCTACCTGGTAAGTGTAGAACATATTTAAAATTAATGATGCCCATTCTTATGAGAAGGGCAAGGTTAAAGGAAGTCAACCTATAATCAAAATATATTTATCTTTCTTAATTCCAGTGCGTATACTACATCATAAATGTACCACCAAAGTATTCTTTCATAAATTAATGCAAAATACTTTAGTGCAAATACATGTATCTTCAAATGTTATTCAAGCTCTATTTATTTTTCTGTAAAGACTAATTTTCAAACCAAAAATTTATACAATTGTTGACATTAAATAAAATATTTTTAAAGGTTAATATTTCTGAATATCTATTATTTTAATATATGAATTCTAAACAATAATAGCACTAGCACAGAAGTCTCAAAATTTAAGGAAAAGTTTAGCATTAAAAACATATAAAAGTCTCATACTTTAGAGAAATCAATATTTTCAGTTTCTCATATAATCTGCTTATATATTTTAATATTCTTCTAATAGTGCAAATAAAAACAAATCAACCATCACATTTCCATAGGTCTGAGTCATTCTCATTTGTATGATTCAAAAATATTAAGTCTTGAAACCAAATTAAGGGATGCCCAGAGACATACTGCCTGTAACTATCTGGCAAAAGTAAATGAAAATGCTCTTTCAAGGATGATATTATTACCATTGGCCTCAAAACATGTAAAAATATTATTACAAAATATAATTTTCAGCACATAAAGATAAAAAGACATACATAAAGAGAAGACACAAAAAAAAATCCAGAAAAGTAACTAATAGTAAAAATATTCTCAAACATTTTTCACATTTTAGATCTTCAGGCTTACATAATTAAGCAAGTATGATTAAAAAGCCAAAATAGTAAAATCTGATCAGGAAACTGGTTACTTATAAAATAGAATAAAATAGTATAAAAACTTGTAAATGAATGAAGTATAATTTTTATAACTGAAAAGTATAATAACTGAAATTGTTCATTTCTTCATTATTAAGTGGGATTTATATCAGATTATATTTAAATGAAGAGAAAGGTCCTAAGAAAATATACAGAAAGTAGCCTAAAAATGAAAACACTGAATAGAGGGTAGGAAACTTTGGAAATATGTCAAGACAGTCTAACATGTATTTAATTGGTATATGCCTGGAGAAGTTGAGAAAATAACACATAAGTAACATTTGAAGGAAAACAGTTGAGAAATGCTTGATTTTTTAGAATCAATAAAATATCAGTGCAAAGGTTTGATAGAATCAATAAATCCCAAGCAGAATAAGTAAAATAAAATTTACACATTGACAAACTATAATCTTACTATGGAAAATCAAGGCTCTGTGCAGCAGCAGCCTGGCATAAGAAACCCAAAACCATGGTCCCACCCTTGAAAGTGAGGGGAGGCAGTCCTGATTTCCTCCCTTTGCCTGTGGTGGGAGAGCAGCCCTGACGACCTCTGAATCGCATTCCTGGTCATTCTTTTCTTCAATGATACATGTTTCCAGCCAAATACCTTTACTGTCGTGTCCTGCAGAATCCAGGAAGTTTGAAAGACTTCCTTTATCCCATCCCCCTTTGTCTTTCCTCTTTGGTTCACCTGGCTCTCTCTCTGCCAATATAATTCTGTCTTGGTTCCTAGCTTTTTCTGAGATGGCTGATTAAATCCATTAGTCACACCCATGATCTGTCCACCTAATAGCTCTTCAGCCCCACCTTTATTTTTCTCTTCATAACGTGCTTCTTATCTTTCACAATATATAAAGGCTGAGGGTTTTCCAAATATTCACTTTTTTCTTTTTAGTTTAACTATTATTTTAATTTATCTCTTTTCTCTTGCATTTTACTGTAAGTGGTAAAGAGAAACCAAGCCAGTCATTCATCACTTTGCTTAAAAATGTCCTCAGCAAAATATCCAATTTTCATCATTTGTAAGTTCTAGCTTTCACAAAACATCAGACCAATGCACCCAAGTTCTTTGCCACTTTATAACAAGAATCACTTTTCCTCCAGTTTCTAATACCTGAATCTCATTTCCACATGAGATCTCACCAGAATGGCCTTTAATATTTATAATCGTAGCATTATTTCTGTTCATGATGGTGTATGCATTTTCAAAGCCAATAGAGACATTTTTAAAAACAGCTTATCTCTTCTCTTTCTCAAGCAGCACCATAATCATATTTAATGTCCATGTTTCTACCAACAGTCTCATCAGGGCAATCTAAGCTTTTTCCAGCATGCACCTCAAATCTCTTCTAGTCTCTACTCATCACAGTTTCAGCCACTTCCACAATTTTAGATATTTTTTATGCAGCACCCCACTTCATAATACCAAAATTTGTATTATTCTGCTCGGGAAGCTATAACAAAAATACCATGGGCTGGTTGGATTAGATAATCTAAAATATTTTCTCACAGTTCTGGAGGCTAAAAGTCCCAGACTCAAGTACTGGCAGACACACTTTCTCGTGAAAGCTGTTCCTGGCTAGATGATTGACTTCTCGCTGTGGGCTCACCTGACCTCTCCTTTGTGCTCACTGAGAGAGCTCCAGTGTCTCTTCCCTCTTCCTATAAGGACACCATTACTATTATATTAGGGTCTCAACCTACAATCTTACTTAATGTTTATAACCTCCTTACAGGCTCTATCTCCCATATTGGGGGTTAACACCTCAACATATGAATTTTGGGCAGATATAATCCAGTCCATAAGAGTCAATATGGTTCATGATTCCCAGACTCCTTAACAAAAAACATTTTTTAAAACAGACAACTTTATCTCTCAGTCAACAATAATTAATCCAGTGCCTACTATGCATTAGACATTACATTAGGTCGTAGGAATGCAAACAGATAATATCCATGTCTTCAAAAACACCAAAAATTTATCAAGAAATCACAGTCTATCCTGAAACAACACAAATGCATGCTGTGCTATTTTCTATGTTTCTAATTACATATGAATTTCAAATATTTGTAAAGTAAAAAAAAATTTGAAGTGAATACCTTCAAATTAGAGGACATAACCCATAATCTGCGGGTGAGTCAGCAAATATTGTGTTTGGTTTAGTGCACAATACAATTTTTAGTAGATTTTTTTTATAACAGATTTAGATTCACAGTAAAATCAGGCAGAAAGCATAGAGATTCCAAAGATGCTCTCCCCTCACACATACATAGCACTTGCCACTATCGACATTTCACACCAGAGTGGTACATTGTTTATAATCTATACATTTACATGGACATCTCATTATCATCCAAAGCCCACAGTTTACGTTAGGATTTATCCTTGGGGCTGTACATTTTACGGGTCTGGAAAAAGGTATTCACAATTATAGTATCTTACACAAATAAGGACACAGTACATACTATATATCTTGCCACAATTAACATAAAAATACTTATAAAATAAAATTAAAATATATATTAAATATATTTTTTGAATTTTGATGATTTTAGAATAAATATTTTTCATAGAGGATAATAAAATATTAAAGAGTACATTTGAAGCTATTAAAAATTTAGTATTATTTTGCTTAACTATCTCAGTCATATAAAATATAGATTTTGCTTTAAATATTTGAAGCAACATTTTTCCCTTATAATTTTACCCAATTAAATAACATTAACATTTTTCCATTCAATTGAAAATAGTGAAAGACAAAGGGGAACAGAAACCCTGCCAATTTTCAATTGGCTCTACACTAAGAGCATAGACAAGCCTGTCTATTCAAAATGACATATTTTTTCTTTGTGCAGATTACATTTCAATGCATCAATGCATCTGTACATAAGATAATTATTTTGTTTTATGCCAGCCTTATGCTTAATATGTCAATTTCTCAACTTCATTAATAACCATTCCAGGAAAAAAGTTCACCTTTAAAATATATTATTGAGATAAGCCTCATTATTCTCATAGTGACAGAGATTCTAAAACCAGCAATAACAATTTTAAGGATCACCATTGGAGAAAACAAATATCTACATGTTTTTTTTGTAAGAGTCACACTTTTTATCATGCCCTCTGGAGTGTCATTGACTAGGTTCACTCTAGACTGCCAGGGTGTAAGTATCACTCACTGTATGAACTTGGCCAAGTCCTCTAATCTCTTGGTGCCTGTTTACTCACCTCTAAAATGGCAGGAATATTAATATCTCATGAGATTCTTGTAAGTTTTAAATAAACCAGTAAATTTAACACACTGAGAATGTTGCCTAGCATGTAATAAAATTTAAGAACTGTCATCATTATGTTAATAAATATTTTTGCCATCTCGTCAACCACTCTTGGATTGCTTGATTTATATTCTTTTCCGTACTATTTGTACATACTTAAAAACATATATTTATTTATTATTTTTACATGTGATCTTGGCTGTCTGCAGGTTCTCATTCTTATAATTCATTCTAAAGATAAGTGTACTTTAGAGCTTAATTATAAAAGTGTATATTGTATGCATCTCTGTGGTTTGGCTGGGAATGGGTAAATTTTCATGTTAAACCACTGTAACCAAATGCATATCTTCAACTCTCTTTAGAGAATATCTATGGTTTTAAAGGGACGGCATTGTGAAGCATATTCTGCCTAATAATTTTGCCGATGAAACTTAAACGATTACATTTTATTTAAGAAGTTTTACAAAAAAGCCCAAGAGGACTTATATTGCTCTTACCTATTCATGATTGATTTTAAAATTTAGATTATAGAGGGTGGCTTATAAAGAGAGATTCAACTGCAGAAAACATAGAGATTGGCCAGGCATGGTGGCTCATGCATGTAATCCCAGCACTTTGGGAGGCTGAGGCGGGAAATCACCTGAGGTCAAGTGTTCAAGACCAGCCTGGCCAACCTGGTGAAACCCCATCTCTACTAAAAATACAGAAATTAGCCAGGCATGGTGGCGGGCGCCTGTAATCCCAGATACTTGGGAGGCTGAGGCAGGAGAATCCCTTGAACCTGGGAGGTGGAGGTTGCAGTGAGCCAAAACCAGGACATTGCACTCTAGCCTGAGCAACAAGAGTGAAACTCCATCTCAAAAAATAAAGAAAGAAAAAGAAAAGAGAACATAGAGATGAATTTGTGGAATTAACTAGTAATGCATGAAAAAATTGAAGATAATTTTTAAATTCCATGTATACATATATGTATATTTTTAAGTGAAATCATGTCTTTTGCAGCAACATAGATGGAACTGGAGGTCACCATCTTAAATGAAACCACTTAGACACAGACAGACAAATATGACACCTTCTCATTTACAAGTGGGAGCTAAATAATGCATACACATGGACATAGGGCATGGAAAGATGGAGACTCAGACAGACATGGTAGAAAGGAGGTATGACTTTTTACTTCTATCTAGAAATCCAGCAAGTGACAAGCATCCCATAAAGTGTCTCCTCCAAGTTGTAAGATAGAGTGTTTTAAATTACTTTTCACAGAGGAAATATTTTGGTGTTTCTAGATCCTAAAGATTTCTTTGTCTTTCTTTGAGGCATGAATATGTTTTCTATGATATTACGTTTGATGTAGTTGTTACATGTTTGCTCTGTTTTTATGTGACTGGAGTGGAAGTGGGCCCATTTTATATTATTATGTCATAATCCTTGCAAAGTGTATCCGTCTCTCTCTCTCTCTCTCCCTCAAACCCCATGCTCTTTCTAGTAAATTGTCTCTCATATCTTTAATTTAAAATTTATTTATTTTAAAGTATACCCTGAATACTGTACATTTTAAGCGTATTTTTGAAAGTTTAAAAAAATAAAATGTGGAAATATTAATAAAAAAGGCTATATATATATAATATGCTGCTATATATTAGATTTAAATGTTCTACTGACATGATGTACTGAAATAATGTTGGTTTTCTATTGACCAAAATTTATCTAACATTCCATAACTTATATGACGGTTGATTAAAATTTCCTCTAATATAATGTAAAGCAACACAAAATCAAATTTTTAATTCAGGGGCTGTCATCCTTGAAGAATCGGAATATATTGTAAAGTTTAGTTTGGATATTAGATAACCAGGAATTGAGGAATACTACTTAAGTATGGAGAAACAGCGTCCTCCTGTGTGTAATAGGTTGTTTCTTCATGTGTGTAATTGCTTGGGTTAGGGTTAGTGGGAGAGGAAAGATAAAAGCCTAAGGAAGAGATATAAAGTACATTTACATACACACTATATTTTACTTATTCTTTTTTGGAATTAAAAATTGCTGAAATAATTTTACAATGTTTAGAAAAAATATACTAGTAGAACAGAAAATAACCAGAAAAAACATAACATGATCACTGAGAAAATAAGTTTATGTTACTTTAAAATAACAATTTTGAATATATTTATGTCTCATATAAGTTAAATATTTTAAGTTGCTTGTGGCACTGAAGTTTCATAAGCAAACCTGTTATGTACATTCTCTTATGTTCTTGTAATTTAGAGAAGATTGTATCAAATTATCCACTTCATGCCCTCTGAGAGTCAAACATTATAAAGATTTTGTGAATACTGAGAGAGAATCTATTTCAGGCGGGTAACTTTTTCTTTTCTGTTTCAGTTCAGTCACCATCCTCATTGCTTCTCAGCTTGCACCCACTTTTTAAGAACTAAATTTTAGGTTGGATTTATTTAATGATGTATTTCCTTATGTCCCAACTCCCATCCATATTTAAACCACAGTCACCTGTATTAGATGATTAATCTTTAAAAGATGGTATTTTAATCAGGTTGGGATATTGATATTATGAGTGAAAATAGCAACAAATGAGCTCAAGTAGCCCCATGAGATTTAAGCACAAGGATTAATTTTGACTCCATGGATAGAAGACAAATGTACCTGTTATACTCTATATCTGCAAAAATGCAACTCAAACTCTTTTGTCAGGTAGGAGACATTAAGAAAATTGGTAACTCTTTAAAATAATTGTGCAATTAATCACTGCCGAGCTCACTGTTGTAATCCCAAAGAACTAGTTATGACATGCACATTAATAGCAAATGAGTTCACCATGATTAATATTGTGACAATAAACACCTGAGGAAATTAATAATGATCAGCTATTATTTTAAAGGACTGCAACATAATTCAAAAAATTTTCCTCTCAAATGTAAGCACTTTTAAGGCACATGCGACATACAATTTTCCTTGTATTTTTTATCCAAATTGGTATACAATTACACTTTCAAAGTACTTTATTTTATAAATACTTACTACTAGACAGTATCACTTTTTCTCACTTTCACTAAATTAAATAGAATGAAGACATTAGACAAATAATTTGATTCAACCTTAGGTAATAGAATTTTGATTTTTTTAAAAACAGATTAAAATTTTCCAAGCAGTGCATGTCTACTCTAAGTACATGATTGTTCCAGGGTAAAACTCATCAGTAAGTTTTAGCAGGGCATTATTAATACAATTTACAATCTGTACAAATGTTAGTAAACTTCAATAGATCAAGAATTCTACTAAGCAAACTGTTTTCATAGGTCAATATTGATTTTAAATCACTGCCTCCCTGCTGGCTTTAATCGTCACTTCTGGAGAACACTCAAGAAAGGTAATCCCTAATCTCTAATCCTATCCATATATAGGTTGCATCCTTCTGAAGTCTCTTTGATTTTCATCGATGTTATATTTTTGGTAATCTTCTGTTATTGCTACCTATTTCAAGGAGTTTCTGTTCTTGGTTCATAGGGACTTCCCATCCCACTCAGCACACCATAAAAAATGTTACGTTGCCCACTACTTAATTCTCCAGTTTAAACAACTGTCCTTGAACTTCACAAATCCCTATGTACCATACAGAATAAATCAATATGCATGCCTGATATTTTTTCACTTATGGACCCCCCTATGCAGAATTGCGCTCCTTTAACCACACAGTTTTTAAATGTATCATTTCTCTGCAAAGTGAAATAGCTTCAGAATGTAATATATCACTAACACAACAATCTTTTCTCCTTCCTACACAGTTAAGAATGACTCTCCACCCTCCCAACCCGCTTTTTTGTCTCCTCTCTCCTGGGTGGATCATTACTGCTGCAGCATCTAGTTTCTCAGTTAGACTGGGGTTCTTGTATTCTGATAAGACTTTACTCCATCTACTAAGAAAACCCATATTCTTCCACTGCAATAATCTGTAGCATTGCATTTCCTGACAGCTCACTGATTAGTAATTGTAGGGCCTCTTTTTGTCTCTACCCACATTATTAATATTACTATAATTACTGGTCCACCACGTGCTTCCACATTTCACTCCACCCACCAATTAGAAAGGGAATATGCCTCCTTCTCTCCTTGTAGTGGGCACTGACAATGACCAGTAACCGTAATAGATATTTGAGGTTTATATATACATTACTCTCTCACTCACTGCTGGCAATACTACTTTTTTTTTAAACTTTAGGTTCCGGGATACATGTGCAGAATGTGCAGGTTTTTTACATAGGTATACATATGCCATGGTGGTGTGCTGCACCTATCAAACCATCATGTAGGTTTTAAGCCCTGCCTGAATTAGGTATTTGTCCTAATGCTATCCTTTCCCTTCCCCCTGCCCCCCAAAAGGCCCCGGTGTGTGTTGTTCCCCTCCCTGTGTCCAAGTGTTCTCATTGTTCAATTCCCACTTATGAGTGAGAACATGCCATGTTGTTTTTGTATTCCTGTGTTAGCTTGCTGAGAATTATGGTTCCCAGCTTCGTCCATTGTCCCTGCAAGGACATGAATTCATTCTTTTTTTTTATGGCTACATAGTATTCCAATGTGTATATGTGCCACCTTTTCTTTATCCAGTCTATCATTGATGGGCATTTGGGTTGGTTCCAAGTCTTTGCTATTGTAAATAGTGCTGCAATGAATATACGTGTGCACGTGTCTTTATACTAGAATGATTTATAATCGTTTGGATATATACCCAGAAATGGGATTGCTGGGTCAAATGGTATTTCTGGTTCTAGATACTTCTTATACTTAACTTAAACTGAGTATCAACACGTGAAGATAACTAGTCTGGAAAGGATTTATGTAAAAATCACCTTTTTGCATCTTAAAGTACAACAATCTGCTGGTCCCAAATTCTGTGGCTAAGACCAGCTCATCATGCCAGATTCTTCTTCAGTTAGGGTAATTGCCTTTTAAGTGAGACTAGAGTCCCATTTGTCTTGTAATAATTGCCTCTTGGTCTACCATTTATGTTATTTCTCTAGCAGTTTTCTCAGACTAGATGCAAATAAGAAGACACAAAAAGGTGTTGGTAATATAGTGAATGGTCACCAAGAATATATATCTAACTTCAGTTTAGGCTCAATTACACAATCCTGTTACATTAGGAGAAAATAAGCCCTCATAATTTATATTGCATTATTAAATATTGTGATTGCATTAGCATAAATAAAATCCAATATATGTTTGAATAATAAAATTACAAGGTGCAATAACCTGTAGCACATTACTTTCTAAATGCACATAAAGTCATTCTTTAATCCACATAATGCATCGGTTAGTTGATAATTACAGAAAGAGCACTGAGTCAGCTATTGTGAATAAAGAATAAATAACTTAATAAACATTTTATGATCTACAATTGGACATGACTTTATACATCCTTAAAAAGTGGTTGTGCCTTTTTTATGGATGTGTCATTGCAGTATTGTGCCTGTCCAAAAGAGAATTTTCTACAAAAATTATTTTAAAATAGCCCCCCTTTAATTTTTACTTAAAATATATATTTTTGTTACGTAGATACAAAAACACATAGGGTAGAATGTCAGCATACATCCTGAGCAAGCCAGGGATAATGTTGGAAAACAAGTAAAACAGGAATACACAGTTTTTCAAATTTTATTGGCAATAAACAGCCCTTCTTTACCTTCAGAGTTAGTAATGATGCGTCTATGATGGATTTTTAAAAACTGTATATGCTAACAACATTTCTGCTAAGAGAATTATGGTTCTTAACATAAGATAGGGCAAATCCCAGTTCAAAGAAAGCACTGTGTGTGTATGGAAAGCAAACAGCAGACTGGAACAGATACGCATTTGATAAGCAAAATAAAGTGTTTTCTGTATAAAATGTTCATACAGATAAATATTTGTGTGTGTTTGCATCATTTAAACTGACATTAGCACATTATAATTATCTTTTTATTTTGAAATTTTAAGTTGCCTAATGAAGGTAGCCCAATCACATTGGCTGTTTTAATTGGTCAATTCAATATTATATCATTATCTATACAAGAGGCCCACCTTTCTTCTCTTTCTCCTTTGATTTGTGAGTGATAGATAATTTCGCACAGGTTCTATGTATCATCCCAACATGTAAGAGGCCTTTAAACTTTCCTTTGCCCTTTCTGCCATCTGCTGTTAAATAGCTGGGCTGCCTCATGTCAGTTGTCCTGGGGTGGGGGTTCTTTAGTGCTGCTTCTGGTCATCAGATTCACAATATGTCTTATATTCCCAAAGTCAGACTTCTTCTCAGACTACTTGAAAACTATGTCCCTTTCTTAAGATCAATACTTTCATCCAAACTTCGAGTTCTCTAGGGTTTTCAATTTCCTTCTTTGTGTTATGCATATTATTTAGGATGCCCAGAATCCTGGAAGGCTGCCATATTGTGAGTGAATCATTTGCTTTGACTGCATGGACGACATGAGTCATGGAGGATAACTTGTGGTTTGCTCAAGGTAACAAAACAAAAGGTATTATTTTACAAATACAAAAACAGTCTTAAATCAATCCTGTAAGGTGTGTGGAACTGAAAGCTATAGACTAGAATATTTTTAAATATTCTGAAATCTCTTCATACTACTCTCTAGCTGAGTATCAGTTCTGTCTTTGTTCTAGATTATTTATCCACAATATAATCAAATCACTCTGTATTACAACCTGTTTTCATCATAAGCCTCATATCATATGTGTTTTGTTTAAAATATTATTTATTAGATGGATTTTATTATATATGATAGATTTTATCATACTCAAGTAATTCATACTAAAGCATTTGAGTGTGTTTCAATTTGTAAATAATATTAGAAATAAGTGGAGCAACCAGCTAGAAACTTAAATATATACATACATATATTCATATACATTTCTGATAAAATGTGTAAAAATTTAGGAAACTTTATAGTAAGGAAACAACTGGATCAAGAAGTTTTGAGTCATTTTAAAAATGCAATTAAAATGGCTTCTAGAAATACTGCATATTTTTATATATCTAAATGATGTGTATATTAATAACAATTTTCTACTCTCCATACTATTGTAGGTATAAGTAGATGTGTAAGTTGCAATTTAATAAGAAAAATAGCAATATAATAATTCATTACTATGTCAAACTAAAGCTAATGTTTATGTCTTTTGGTGTGATAGTGAATTAAGTTCATAAAGAGTTTCATTATAGTTTCTCAAATATTTTATTGACATTGTTTTGTTTGTATCTGATATTGTTTCACAAACATATTTATGTGCTATAATTTATATCTAAGAATATTAACTATTTTTATATGGTGCATACATTTTTTCAGTTTATATTTTTCAGGCAAAACATTTTTTGCTACATATAAATTTTATTTTCCACTATGGTTTCAATATTACTATTTTAAATTTATTTTTTATTTTATTTTACTTTAAGTTTTGGGATTCATGTGCTGAACGTCCAGGTTTGTTACACAGATATACATGTGCCCTTGTGATTTGCTGCACCTATCAACCCATTATCTAGGTTTTAAGCCCCGCATGCATTAGGTATTTGTCCTAATGCTCTTCCTCCCCTTTCCCCTCACCCCCCAACAGGCTCCAGTGTGTGATATTCCTCTCCTTGTGTTCATGTATTCTCATTTTTCAACTCCCACTTATGAGTGAGAACATGCTGTGTTTGGTTTTCTGTCCCTGTGTTAGTTTGCTGTGGGTGATGATTTCCAGCTTCATCCATGTCCCTGCAAAGGACACAATCTCATTCTTTTTTATGGCTGCATAGTATTCCATGGTGTATATATGCCACATTTTCAAGACTTCATGACTGAAACACCAAAAGCAATTGCAACAAAAGCCAAAATTGGCAAATGAGTCTAATTAAACTAAAGAGCTTCTGCTCAGCAAAATAAACTATCATCACAGTGAACAGGCAACCTACAGGTTGGGAGACAATTTTTGCTGTCTATCCATCTCAAGAGGTCTAATATCCAGAATCTACAAGGAACTTAAGCAAATTTATAAGAAAAAAACAACTCCATCAAAAAGTGGGCAAAGGATATAAAAGACACTTCTCAAAAGAAGACATTTGTGCGGCCAACAAACATATGAAAAAAAGCTCATCATCACTGGTCATTAGTGAAATGCAAATCAAAACCACAATGAGATACCATCTCACGCCAGTTAGAATGGCGATCATTGAAAAAGTCAGGAAACAATAGATGCTGGTGAGGATGTGGAGAAATCGGTATTCATTTTTACATTTGTTTGACCCATATTAGATAAATATCTTTTTCTTTATAGGCTTTAATGGAGTTGTAGTTGGATATAATTATGTTTTCTAAATAGAAAATTTATTTTGTTTAATTAATTAAACTTTTTTTCAACTTTTATTTTAGGTTCGGGGGTATAAGTGCGCATTTGTTACATGGGTAAATTGCGTTATCACTGAGGTTTAGTGTAAGAATGATCCCGTCACCCAGGTAGTGAGCAAAATACCCAATAGGTAGTTTTTCAATCCTACCCCCAACCACACTCCCTCTCTAGCAGTCCCCAGTGCCCAGTGTCTGTTGTTCCCATCTTTATTTCCATGTGTACTCAATGTTTAGCTCCCACTAATAGGTAAGAAGATTCAGTATTTGGTTTTCTGTTTCTGTATTAATTTGCTTATGATAATGGCATCCAGCTGAATCCATGTTGTCAAAAACATATGATTTTGTTCTTTTTTATGGCTGCATAGATAAATATTTAATAATGTTTTTCTAGTACTTTTGTGTGTTGTAATGGTATATTTTTAAAAATATTTTAACATATTTGATGCATTAAAAAGGATATGCATAAACATATTACTTTATAATTCTTAATGATAATAAATTAAAACCTCAGTAACATACTGTCTGACTCTAGATCTCCTATCTGTCTGTCTATCTATGTTATGGACTGAATGCTTTTGTCCCCCCAGAATTGGTATTTTGGATTCCTAACCTCATGTAATGGTATTAGGAAGTAGAAACTTTGGGAGGTGATTGTGTCATGAAGGTGGAGCCTGCATGAATAAAATTAATGCCCTTATAAAGAGACACCCTAGAGAGTTTTAGCTCTCTTTCTACGACGTGAGGATACAGCAAGAAGGCAGCAGTCTGCAATCCAGAAGAAGAACATCACCAAAGCACAACTATGCTGGCTGGCAGCACAACTATGCTGGCTGCAATCCAGAAGAAGAGCATCACCAAAGCACAACTATACTGGCTGGCATGACTCAGATGTCATGCCTACAGAACTGTGAGAAATAAACTTCTGTTATCTGAAAGCCACCCAGTCTATGGTTCTTTGTTATAGCACCCTGAACTAGCATTCTATCCCTCTGTCTCTATCAATCTATCGATCGATCAATCGATCTATTTATCTATCATAATTATCTATCCATCCAGATATGTATGCCTTAACAATGTATGATGTAGTTTGATCACTCTTTCTACAGTATTCTGTTGGCTGTTCTAGACCTTCTCCATTTCCATATGAACTTTATAATCAGCTTATCAGTATCTACAAAATAACTTGCGAGATTGTGATTGGAATTGAGAGGAATTTATAAAACAAGTTAAGAAGAATTTGCATCTTAATAATATTGAATTTTTAAATCCATAAACACTAAATATCTCCAATTACTTAGATCTTCTTTGATGTTATTCTTCAGTTTTAAAGTTCCCTGCATTTAGATCTTGTATATATTGTGCTATACTTATAACTATGTATTACATTTTTGTGTATTATTTTAAATCATTTTTCATTTCCAATTCCAATTGTTTATTGATGGTATGTAGGAAAGCAATTGACTTCTGAATGTTATTTTCGTATGCTGAGAACTTGCCATACTTGTTTATTAACACTAGAAGATTTTTATTCAAAAATGATTCTCTACATAAGCAATCATGTCACATGAACAAATACAGGTTTATTTCTTCTTTCCCAAACTGTACAGATTAATTTCTTTTACTCACCTTAATGCACTAGCTAGAAATTACAGTACAATGTTGCAGGTGGTGGGAAGAGAGGAGACTTTTGCATTATTCATGATCTTAAGAAGAAAATATCTAGTTTCTCACCATTATGTTTGATGTTTGCTGCAAGTTTTGCTATAGGATTTTTATAGGTACTCTTTGTAAAGTTCAAAAACTTCTCTCTATTTCTACTTTGCTGTTGATGTAGCAGATTACATTGACTGATTTTTGAATTTGGATCCAACCCTACATACTTTAATAAGTTCCACTAGGTCATGTTGTATAATTTATTGTTGGACTCAATGTGCCAGTAGTTTATTATGGATTTTTGCATCTATGTTCATGAGGAAAACCAGTCTGTAGTTTTTCTCAATGTCTTTGTTGGGTTTTAGCTTTAGGGCAACTGTGTTCTTAGAGAATAAATTGAGAAGTGTTCAGTCTGCTTCAAGTTTTTGGAAGAGCTTCTGAAAAATTAGTATTATTTCTTGCTTAAATGGTTAGTATAACTTATCAGTAGAAACATCATTTTGACCAGGTGTTTTCTTTTTGGGAAGGTTATGAATTATTAATTCAATTATTTAGTAGACATAAGATTATTTAGATTATCTATTTCTAATTGTATCATTTTGGTAGTTTGTGTATTTTAAAAAATTGATCCTTAAATTAATCTATGTCATCAAATCTGTGGCCGTGGTGTGTTGTTCATAGTAATCCTGTATTACACATTAAAGTTCCATGAGATAAGTGGAGATTGGGGAGTTGGGACCCAGGTTAAAATCTTGTGTTTAATCCTTCAAGGCTGACCACAGGCAATTACAAGGGCTTTCCCTGGCAAGCCTCATGGAGTAGCTGCCCTTCCCACAACAGATTTGGTACACAGTCAATGTGTCCCCATTTTTTAGAAAGAATTATAATAAAAAACAAAACAAAAAAAAACTCAGTCCCCTCAACCATTTTAACACTTCTTCCCCTATTTCAGCCATGTTCATACACATATCTGCATTACTGGCACTGAAGCTGTTCCTACTGAGACCAGGCTGAAGAACTTTCAGGTAGTTTCTGCCAAGATTCATTTTTGATAGGCATATTTACTGAATCGTGAATTCTAATTTACAGTCACTTTTTGTAATAGTTTGATGATAACATCCCATTCATGTTCTGGTTTCTCTTTAGAGATAAGATCTCTAATGTAAGTCTCATGTCGTTATTTACTGGAAGATTTCATACTCTCTCTGGTGACTTTTCAGTTTTTTAATATAGAACAGACCATTGATATCTTCCCTCCCCTTTCTGGTAAAAAGCACACAGGTAATGGTCCTGTTTCCAAGAACTGTTTTATGAGCTATATCTATAGCACTTAAAAACACACATATTTTTATATTTATCATATATATGCACAAATACATTATATATACTTTATATATATATAAAATTACATTATATATGTGTGTATATATATATGTTGGTGGTGGTTGTTGTTAAGAGAGTCTAGTGTGCAATTTAGAGCTCAATTTATAAACTTTTGTATTTTTCTTTCCACTATGTGGAAGAAACAGCCATTCAAATGAAAGCAGACTCCTAACTATCCATTATACAGAATCCCTACCTAAGGAAATACCTAGCTTTAAAAGAGCCTTACTTATAAAAGCAACTCCCATGCAGTCTTTTTGACTTAACATGTCTGGGTGAACCAGAATCAAAAGGCATACTAAAAGAACAAGTTACATGACAAAGATAACACACACATACACACACACACACACACACACAATTTGACCAAAATATGTTTGAAGAACTTAGTAAAATTTGAATTTGTATTCCCATGATTTTAAGATAATTTTTTCTCCACAAATCAAGAAAATGCAATTTATTTATAACAAACATTTTAAGTAAAAAGAAGTAGTCATAGAGAACAAAAATATGTTGTAAAAATAATATGACATTAATTTTGGCTTTTTGGCTCATGTTCTTAAACAGGCAAAACTCGTTGCCAAAGATGTAGCTAAAAATAGAGGAAAGCAAATATTATGTAAATAAAATTATTTGTTTAATTGAAAGTAGTCTTTCTACTATTTTCTCATATTCAATAATATTAAATTTGAAATAAAGTTATCTTCTAAATATGCAGAACTGCAATTTTATGGGGCAGTACTAAAACAACTTTTTTTTTCTTTAGTGAACTTGAAGCTTGAAATTAAAGTCCAATTCTAATTTTTATTATTGTGATATGATTTACTAATGCAGTGAAACTTAGTGCAGTATGAATGAGGCCTTAAAAATGACATATTATTATCAGAGTATAAATGAAGAATTGAAACACTGCAAGGTTGTTCAATCACAATAAATCGTCAAATTATCTACTGCCTCAGAAGCAAATTTATCTTTGCCATGCAGAACCTTAAATTTCTAAGACTTTGTAAGTGGATGAATTGAGTAATAATAAAATATAACATATAATTGCCTTTGTATTTAACAATTGTTGTATGAGTTATAAGAAATGTCAGATTGGTTTTCATTATTAAGAATTAATAACTTGTAGTTACAATATAAATAATTACAATAACCAAAAGCTATAAGTATTTCCTAGGTGACAGGCAGTATGCTCAGGTTTTCACATGCAGCATACCTATAGGTAGATATTAGTTTACTCATTTTACAGATGAATAGACTCAGTCTCAGAGAGGAAAATTAAGTTGCACAAAGTAACGGGGCCAAAATTAGAGACTAGGTCTGTATAAATTAAAAATACTTTCTTTAAACTTACTCTTTTTTAAATTGTTTTATTTTATTTGAGATGGAGTCTTGCCTTGTCGCCCAGGATGGAGTGCGGTGGCGCAATCTTGGCTTACTGCAACCTCCACCTCCAGGGTTCAAGTGATTCTCCTGCCTCAGCCTCCCGAGTACCTGGGATTACAGGCATGCACTACCATGCCCAGCTAAATTTAATAGAGACAGGGTATCACCATGTTGGCCAGTCTGGTCTGGAACTCCTGACCTCGTGATCCACCTGCATCGGCCTCCCAAAGTACTGGGATTACAGGCATGAGCCACCATGTCCGGCTATATAATTTAATATAACATTATTATATTATATTATATTTGCCATATAATTTTTGCATACTGCTATTTAATTAGTGTAAGTTACTTAAAAACAAGGATTTTGACTTCTATTTCCTTTATCTGGAACAACTAGTCCAGTGGTCTTCACAAAACATCAGTGAAGGATTTTCAAAGGAATGAGTAATTATCAAAAATTAAATAGGATTAAGCCATAATAAATGTCTTAATATAAGCCAAATAATATTTGCTACTCTCTACATTTAAAAAATAGATAACTTCTAAAAGAAAAATATTTTCTTGTAAACTCATTGTAAAAACTAATGCAAATAATCTTTTTATGATAAACCTAAAATTTAAATGCCAATATTCTACATGTCCTAGTTATTTCCAGACTGAGAATATTTCATGGATTCAGCAAAAAACTCCTTTGAAGTAAATTGGAAGGATCTAAACAGTAATTTTTTACTGTTTCTCTCTTTTTTTTAAGTGATATCTTGTTTTTCTATGCTAGCTGAATGTCTTTCACAAGCTTAATAGATGGAATAAATGCCACATTGAATCTAGTGAAAGAGAATATAATTATAACTTCTCAGGATCTTATAAAAGATAAATTAAATTTAGTGTGAGTTCATTATCCTTAGAAGGATTTTTTCTTAAATAGTTTTAATATTTTGACATTTTGTTTTCTAGAAATGTGTCTTTAGTTATAATAGCTTAGTACATTAAATGTCCATATTTTCTCACAAGTATATTTTGTGTCTGAAACATTGCCTATAGACAGTGCAACCAGATAATAAGCAATTACGGTTTTGGAGCTGGAATACAATTCCTGTTTCAATGCTTAGTATCTGTTCATCTTGGCATAAATTACATAAAATCTCTATTCTTTCTTTTATATGATTAAACAAATTAAAATGATACCACTTCATCGGGTTGTTTTGAGGGTTAAATGTGTTAATATTTTAAAGCACTTAAAACATGCATAATAATAAGCACTCAAAAATATTAACTATCATTACTGGCCTTCCTTCTTTACTTAGTTTTACAAATTTAGAGTAAGATGGTCAAACATTTTATATATCTATGATCTACTATCGTTGTATTGTTATTGTCAAATTAAATGTAGTTTAATTACCATAATAACTATGAGACTCACACTCTCTGATATGAGTAAATGCATGGAAGAAATTGGATCAAGTGGTTTAAAGAAGCCAACATTCAGTTTTGAGTTTCAATTACTTGCAGTTAATTAAAAAGATATACTTTAATAAGCTATATAAATATGAAAGCACTGAGCAAAAGAAATCAAAAGCTTGGCCAGACATAGTAGCTCAGGCCTTGAATCTCAGCACTTTGGGAGGCCAAGGTGGGAGGAATGCTTGAGCCAGGAGTTTGAGATCAGCCTGGGCAACATAGTGAGACTTCATCTCTACTAAAAATAAAGAAAGTTAGCCAGCTGTAGTGGTGTGTGCCTTAGTCCCAGCTACTCAGGAGGCCAAGGCAAGAGGATAGGATAGCTTGAGCCTGAAAGTTCAAGATTACAGTGAGCTATGATCATGCCACTGCACTCCAGCCTGTCTCAAAGAAAAAAAAAAGAGAGAGGGACAGAGAGAAGAACTCAAAAGCAGTGTCTAGTTTGTCCTAATGCTATAGATTTGCATTCTATAACCACAAAGCTCTTCACAAATTCACATATGAGAATGTGGCAAACTACTAGGATCTAAATATTTTCTAAGGAAACAATGATTATTAATAACATCTTATCCTTTTAGTGAATTATGAAATAAAGATGCTCCTCCATCATTATATATCCATGTATTGCAATAAGTATTTTTTAATGCAACTTATGTAATTACATATGCTTTAATTTTATATATAAAACTCACAACAGTATCAACATGTTTGAAAAAATAATAACTATAATCAGTATAACTGTCATTTATAATTGATTGCTTCTTATATCAGTTGAATTTGGTCTTTGCTAGCTAATTTACTAACAAATGGAGCAAAATCACCATTAGCATGAAAAATTCATATAGATGCACTGTACACACAGTATCGAATCTCAAACATGGCAAATTCCTCGGATAGCAAAACTACTAGTTGTTCTCATTCTATCATGTGAAATAGTTCAACAGAAACAACTTATTTCTCTATATTTTAGTTGATGTTGTATAAAAAAATGCAAAGTAATTGTATCTTAGTATTTGAATCTAAAATTTGTGTTTCACAACTTTAGAATAGACATGCCACTATATGCAGGTTATAATCTAAGGCTGATAACACATTATTCTCTATAGAAACAAATTCTCTTTTATACTTACCTGTTTATTATTATTGGTCAGAAAATTTTACTAATGGTATTTTCCCCAATGAATGTATAATTTATACTGAAATGCTATTTAAATATTTTTATTGTGTTTTCCAATGGAGCACTTAAAATTATTTTTCATTTATTATTACAGTCTATTGGTGGTACTTGGTGGATTAAAATAGTCTCATAAAATATGCCTTGGAACTAATAAAGATTTTTTTAAAGCAGCCTCTGTCACATAAATAAATGCAAATAATAAAAGTTGCTAGCATGGAAAGCTTGCTAAAGATCACCTCATTTTAGGTTTTATTAACATCGCAATGGAGATGTATGTATGTTAGAAACCAATGTAAGCGAAGTCATTATTCTTCAAATACAAGACTTTTTAGTAATATTTATGGTCATAATAAGCACATTGTTTTCAGAGAAATGAATTTTATAGGTTAGAAAACATCACTATAAAAGTATTTCCCCATTAAGATGGACAACTAATAAGACATAAAGTTTACTAGATCCATACTGACAGAACATATAGATAAAAGTAGTAACTAATCATATTAGAAATTTTCTTGAATTTCAATCAAGGTGACTGAGTTCATTAAATTATCACTTTTGATAATAAACATAGTATTTCTACTGTAGCATTGTCTATTCTTCATGAATTTATATATATTATATATATATATATATATATATATATAATCACATATTACATTGGCTTCTTTTGCTAATCAATTACAGTCATGTGCCCTGTAATGACATTTCAATCAATGAGGGACTGCATTTACAATGGTAATCTCATAAGACTGTAATACCATATTTTTATTGTACCTTTTGTATATTTAGATATGTTTAGTTACACAGATACTATTATGTTACAATTGCCTACAGTTTTCAGTACAATAACATGCTGTACAGTTTTGTAGCCTAGGAGCAACAGGCTAAACAATATAGCCTAGGTGTGTAGTAGGCCATACCTTCTAGGTTTGTGCTTTAACAAAGAGGAGAACACATTTAAGTAAATATGTATAGGTAATGTGCAAGTATGTATAGAAAATGTCTCAGAAAACATCCCAGAATATAATCTTGAAAGTTCTTCCTGGATTTCCTATCGAATTTCAGCGCTCTTAAATGTACATGGGAAACATCTGTTCCTTGCCTCCCTTTTAAAATATTTGTTATGCAATTGTTTTTTACAATTAGAAATAATGTTTGAGACTGGAGAACTAGATTAGAGAGAAAACATTGAGTAAGTTTTAATGCACACTACTCTGATCACTAGAAACAGCTATTCAAATGGAATTCAGGCACTGATATAGATTTAACAACAAATATAAACATAAATACAAATACTGTGTATGGTTAAAACCATGAGTGATGTTTCTGGGTATTTTATTACCTCAAACTTTCAAGTCATTAGATAGATATTCTTTCAGAAAAATATATCATTCATATGTTCATGATAATGATTAATGTGACACTGTGAAAGATGGGTGATTCGTGGGTGCATCAACTAGTGTGATCATGAAGTTTATGTGTCATCTTCACTGGACAATGAGGTGACCAGATTAAATACTATTTCTGAGTGTCTTTGTGAGGGTGTTTCTGGATGACATTAGCAATTGAATCAAAGGACTCAGTGATGTAAATTACTTTCCCCATTCTGGGTAGATATCCTCTAATTCGTTGAGAGCCTGAAGAGAATAAAAGGCAGAGAAATAAATAATTCACCTTTTTTTTTCTGCCTCACAATTTGAGCTGGAGCATTTCATCTCATCTTTTCCTACTCTGAGACTGAAATTGATATTATCTGTTCCCCTGGTATTCTGGCCTTAAACCTTGGATTGAATTACGGTCCAGAATTTCTGGGTCTCCAGTTTGCAGCTGGCAGAATATGGGACTTTTCATCTTCCATAATTATATGAGCTAATTATTCATAATAACTCTAAATCTTTTTCTCTCTTTCTCAAATTCTCTCTCTCTCTCTCTCTCTCTCTTTCTCTGGAGAGAATTGACTATGACAAACTAGTGACAAAAATAAAATTTTGGCTGTTTTTCCTTGAAATGTACAAGAAATTTGAACCAATATCATTACCCATCACGCTTATGTCATAAACCCAGTGTGTTACGGAAGGTGGGTTGGTAAACTGATGAGTAGTTACTTCCAGACTACATACCATTAAAATGATTTTATTTTTTTGTTTGGCTTTGTCATGTAAAAAAATGTAAAAACTAATATTTTTATAATATCCTTATGCTTATGTGGAAACGTCACTAGAATTATCTTAGATACAAAGGGAAGACTTTAAAACTAGGTGTTATAAAATTCAAAGAGCATTTTGAGAGAATCAGTTTATCCTATTTTGAGACCAGTGTAACTTATGAGGATATTATTAAGGATGGGGAGATCATGACTTATTCTTCATTATATTGCAATCACATTTTTTGAAATGTTAATTTACATTTTCCTTTTATGATAACTGTACTAGTTATATACTGCTGCTTAACAAAGTATCCCAAATTTAAGTTACTTAAAATAACAAAATTGATTAAAATTCCTGTATCCAGGAATCTGGGCAAAGATTAGCTGAATCCTCTCTCCAGCATCTCTCACAGGATGCAAGCACAGTATCCACCAAGGCTGTGGTCTCATCTGAACGTTTAAGTGGGAAATGGTCTGCTTCCAAGCTCACTTATATCATTGTTGGCAGAATTCAATTTATTGAATGCTTTTGGACTGTTGGCCTTATTTTCTCACTGAACATTTGCTGCCTTCAGTTACTTGCCATGAGACCCTCTCTGTAGAACAGTCCACAACATGACAACTTGCTTTATCAGATAAAGCACCCAAGAGCCACAGAGAGAGAAAGGGTACAAGCAATATAGAAGTTAGTCTTTTGTAATCTAGTCTCAAATGTGACATCCCATCATTTTTGCAATATTCTACTTTTTAGGAAGACATCACTAGGTGAAGTCCATATTCATTGGGAGGATATTACACATGGGCTAGAATGTCAGGAAGCAGAGATCACTGGAAACCAGGTTAGGAAACTGCCTATCACCAAGCTGTTCTTAGGAACAAACGAATAAACAAAAATTGTGTTATTGAAATAAACTCAAACTTCTTTATTTGGTTAGTCTTTTTTTTCCCACTTACCTATTACTAATTCATACTAGAACATTTCAATGTTATTTTGATTTATATGCTGAGAGTATTTTCTTAAGATTTCCTAAACTACACATTTCTTTTCTATATTGCAGCCTTTACTGAGTGAGAGTTTGCAGTGGTATGCTGGTTAATGTTTAACAGTAAACCTTGAAAAAATGTTTGAGTTTATTATATTTTTACTGATATGATATAGGACACAGTTTACAAATAATAATAAAAATACAATACTCTATTGCAATTCCATGTAGCCAATTGATTTTTACAGAACATTTTTATTGATTTTTGCTGACCTCTTGTATCTGAGGCAAACTTATGTTTGCAATTTAACTGTGATTTAACAAAATCAGACTACAAATAGATGCTGAATCACTATCCAGTTCAGCATTCATCCACATCATTGATGAGAGCACATTTTTTCGACATGAATGTTAGTTGATAATTTTATTTGTTTAACAAGTAAGATGAGAGTAAAACCACAAAAAGGCATTTTGGCAATTCACTCATTTGTCAAGAATATGGATGAGTTCTTTGCTGAATCAGATGATAATGTTTGACTACTAGAAGAATATGTTTTCATTTTTGTTGTGTGTGTGTGTGTGTGTGTGTGTGTGTGTGCACTAGTCACAATGTAATGACTACAAACCTGGCAGCTTTTTAAGTTTAATTTGCATTATTAACATTTTCACATCACTTTCTTAAGTCTAAGCATCAACAAAACAATGAATCAAATTTTTGTTTCCAGCATTTGTCAAATTCTATGATGTAAATATAGTCCCATCATGAGTAATTTCAATCTACCAACATGATGTCACCTAACACAAAACAGAGAAGAGATGTGCAGGAACACATGATTATTTAGTATTTTACCCTCCAGACATAATGAGCACAAATAACTTTAAAAACATAGATCATAGTTAACATAGTAAACTTATGAGAAAATGACAAATATTGAGTATTTGCCACCTTCGTTTTTAATAATGTGTAATTGCACATTCATAAGATTTCGTTTTAAAACGTGATTGTATTTAAAAACATACCCATGAAATCTATGAAAACTTAATAATTGACTTGCATAAGCCAGCACAAGCCAGCTCTAATACACATGGGTTATTTACATCATTTTTTCTCTTAATATTTAAGTTCCAAAAAAGGCTGCTTTGCTTTTTGCTTACAATTTTTTTCTACTAAAAAAGTAGTAAATTGATAGTTAATGATTTTATGAAGAATCATAATTTATAGTTGTATTTTTATGTAGCATAATTTCAACAAAATAGATGAAAATAAATGTTTGCTACACCTATTCTTAGGCAGTGGTCATGAAAGTATGAAGAAAGTAGAGGTTAAGGAAACTTACTAGCTCTGTTTAGGCTCGAATGATCCAGTTTCCTCGTTTATAAAATGAAGAGAAACAATATTCATCACATTGAGTGTTAATAGAGCTAAATGAGTTAAGGTAGTCAAGTATTAATGGTGAAATTGTAGATCAGGAACCAGTAAAGCAGGCAATGCCTCAAGCAGTATGACCTAATGAGAATTCGAGAGGATCTTATGTTATGAGAAGGAACGTTCTGTTTTTCAGATATGACCCTTACTAGCTTGATACTTACCATACTCAGGATTGAGCCATGTGCTAGAGTTGGCATATAAATTATTCTACCTGAATTACTGAGTATGATGTACCGATGCAGCAGTGGTACCTCACATGAAGAAGACGGAATTGTATTTCATTTCAATTTAAAACATTTGGGAGAAACATTTTCTTCAATGTAGAGAAATAGGCTTCATAAATATTCATAGAATTTAACATTCTGTCCCCAAAGCAAAATAATTCTGCCGTGACAAAATAAGCAATCTGTTTCTATATTGCAATGGCAATATATATCTATATCTTGAAATATATTGCCTATGTAATTCAAAATATACAGCTATAGTAAATCAGCTCTAATTCCAAATGTATTTGAAGTAAACTTCAACTTGTCATTGCTAAAACATTCTGTAAACATCAAATAAAAAAATAACTATAAAATTTACATGCTATCATTTTCCATGTTGCAGAGTAAAACTTACTTTAAGTGCTTACTTTGTATTAAGAAAAATAAAGGCAGTTTCAGCAAAGCTATACTTTGAAATCTATATCACCATATCTTCAAAGATTAGGGACCTCATCAAAACTTGTTTTAGCACCTTCGAATGAATTTCTTCTAGTCAATGTTTAATTATCAAGTTTTTAATTTTCCACTTTTTGTTCTTTGTACATAAGGCAGAATGCTATGGTAAACGTAGGTAAGCATGGCATTAAGTTCCACTGCAAATTTGTAATATTAGTCACCAAAAATCAATGACTTAAAGAGTGAGTCAATAAAAATTTATGACCAGTCTTAGAATAGCAACTTGAAGGATATATTTTACTCTCAGTTAACACCACAGTTATCATATAATTAACACAGCATATTATGTCAAAAACAGGGAAAAAGATTATGACAGCCCAGTTCAAGGTGAGCTTTTAGTACCTGATTGCAAATCCATAGTTAATAGCCTATCACCAGCTCTGTGGAGCCAAGGAATCCTATCCAACAATTCCAGAAGGGCAGAGAGTATAATAACTTACCTCTTACTTCTCTGGCATTGGAAAAGCACTTGACTTCTTTGTGCCTTCATTTCCTTATCTGTAAGAGAGAGATATTGAAATAGTTTAACTTAAGGAGTTATGAAGGTTAAATAAATTAGTATAAGTAAAGCACTTAGAACAATGCCTGACATTGAAATTAGTCAATAAACATTACTTATATTGTTTGCTTGTATATAAGACAGTATAGTCAGTAACATTCTGTATCACTCTTATTCAAGAACTGAAACAGAACAAAACATGAAGTCTTTCAACTTTAAAATATAATCCCTTTTATTTGCAAGATCAGGATTCTGTTTTAATTCCTTTTAAAAAATAACCAAGGAAAGTTTAAAGATTTCATATGTCAGCATCAAGACCTTTGGGATTACTAGCCTGGCTGTATTAAATTGTAAAAAAATTCATGTTGCAAAAGAAATATGTGTTATACACATTATATGCTAGTTATGTGTTCTACATGTATTCTTTGTATTAAAAATATTAAATAAAGAATACACTACACCTTTTCATTTTAAATTGCTTATTGGAATTTAAATAAATATAAGAACTAATTTCTAAAAGTTATACAGTATGAATACTGGGAAAAGGTATACAGTATGAATAAATGGGAAAAAGGGTGATGAAACAATAGGCTGGGAGATAGAGTTTTCACAGTATCATTCATTCCCACATATACATAGACATAGTCACATATACACTTGTATGCACACACATATTTACATACACATGTTATCTTGTGAATTGCTCTATTGATTTTACATTTTAAAAATTAATAAGCATATGAATAAGCCTGTCTAGTAAAAGCAGACAAACTTGTACATCATAGAAAAATAAATGTGTAACAATATTCAATAAAATATTGACAAAGTTAGTAAGTTAAGGGTGATTTGAGGGCTTCATATGACTATTTGTTCCTTATCTAAATCATTAGGTAAAAGATTGGTGAATTTGTATGTATGACCCCATTTTTTAAGCATTATACAAAAGCTTAAGTAATTTGATTTTTATCTTTTATAATCTATTTTTTCTTTTTCACCAATTTATAAATTATAAATTTTATTACCAATTTATAAAACAGATTGTCTTTCTGAGCAGTAGTATCCTGTTTTTACACTAAGAAAGAAAAATCTGAATACAGAAACATGAGAATTTTAATTAGATTTTCAAAATCATATTTAAGCAGGAGATTACAAACCCCTTTTAATAAATAAGTATCAATTGACACATTTGGGGAATTGTTAACCGTAATTGTCATTTGGGAAACTTCTAATAACTTAAAGTAGAACAAGCCATTTATAATTTTTTTCTTTCCAAAATGAGTATAATTTTTTCTAACAGGTTTTTTAAAATTTAACACAGACTTTGATCACATTTTGCATATTACACAATATTTATAAGTGCCATAATATACTCCCCCATTCCAAAATGGAAGACATTTTGCTAAATATCGCAATATTACAATTTTATTACATCTGGATTGATATCAATGGAACAAATACGATGTGATTCACTTACCTAGCTAAGTGAATAGTTTTAAAGTAGTTTGATATAGTTCCTCCCTTATCACAATTAAAAATTTCCCCTTAGTCATCCTCAAAAGTTGTTCATTTCTTCACCTTCAATTCTAAGGGCTCAGGAGTGTTGAGGCCTCTGGACTGCAAAATAACCATGGAAAATGGGCCATTTACACATAAGAAGAGAGAGGAAGATAAAGTCTTAGAAGCAAAGGTGTGTTGCTTACATCCAGATGCTCAAAGGAGCTGATAGCTCTGTTGGCCTGTGGTGCTTCCTGCAAATAAGACCTACTCCCCAGTATCAAACTGGCTTCCAGTCAGCTCTCTGGAGTTTTCCTCTGTATACTCTCTCTCTCTCTGCTCAGAATGTCGGCATTGTAATTGTTATGATGTCAGAAGTTTAGTCTTTTTATTTTCACTGACGAAGGCATACTGGAGAAGAGAAGATTCCATTGTAACATGATGGAAATGCTTTAGTGAGAACAGTGGATCATGTAGATATGAAAATCAGCTCCAGGAAATGTTTTCCTACTATTTTATATTCTCATGTATTAAGAAACTTCAAAGAGTTTGGGAGGTCAAGGCAGGCAAATCACCTGAGGCCAGGAGTTCGAGGACAGCCTGGCCAACATGGTGAAATGCCATCTCTATTAAAAATACAAAAATTAGACAGACGTGGTGGTGCACGCCTGTAATTCCAGCTACTTGGGAGGCTGAGGCATGCTAATTGCTTGAACACGGGAGGTGGAGGTTGCAGTGAGCCAAGATTGTGCCACTGCACTCCAGCATGGGGGACTGAGTGAGATTCTGCCTCAAAAATAAATAAATAAATAAATAAATAAATAAATAAAAAGTCAAAGAGAATCTGAAAAACAGTTGTATGGTACATGAGCCTAGAATTTAGATTTCAAATGAATATGTTTTCTCCTAATCCCCAGTAAGCAAGAGAAGAAAAAATATATGGAATGGTGTCACACACCTGTAGTTCCAGCTACTCTGGAGGCTGAGGCAGGAGAAGAGAATTGCTTGAGCACAGGAGTTTGAGGCTGCTGTGAGCTATAATCATGCAACTGTACTCCTTCCTGGGGAACACAGGGACTCCTTGTGTCTAAAAAATAAAAAAGATAAAAAAAAAAAAAAGGCGGGAGGGCTCACGCCTATAATCCCAGCACTTTGGGAGGCCAAGGCAGGCAGATCACCTGAGGTCAGGAGTTCGAGACCAGCCTGACCAACATGGTGAAACCCTGTCTCTACTACAAATACAAAAATTAGCCAGGTGTGGTGGTGGGCACCTTTAATCCCAACTACTTGGGAGGTTGAAGGAGGAGAATCACTTGAAGCTAAGAGGCGGAGGTTGCAGTGACCACTGCACTCCAGCCTGGGTGACAGAGAAAAAAATAAAAACTGGAGAGATATTGGAGAAATAAAAATAACAAGATTTTATGAAAGTTTTTAAGTGGAGAGCACAAAAAATAGGTAGGATACACAGTGCTATTCTTCAAGTTAAGGAGAAAATCAGGTTTGGGGAAGCCTTGTGGATTCTGTGATAATCATGTGGAATTTGAACTGTTCGAGACATTATTGAATTGCCCTCAGCAGAAGGGATCTACATCATCCAAAGTTATACCCCTTCCTGAAAATCAACTTGCAAAAATTGATTAGTGGATGGCATCAGGGTCCTCTTATTTTAATTCAGAACATGTCTGAAGCGACATGTCAGCTCCAGAGTTTCACATGGCACATGGGTTGATCCTATTCAGGTTTAGCCAAACCACAGAGTTTCCCTGAAAAAAGCTTTTCAACACTAAAACAGGGAGTGCCATAAGCAAACTAGACTGGTTGGCCTTCTGTAGCAATTGGATTATAGTTGCTTCTCACTCTGCTCTATCCTTTTTTCCTGCACACCCTTTCCTGTTGTTCATGAGAACATTCCCTATTAACCCAATACAACCAAATCTCCATTTCGGAATCTGTTTTCTGGGGAACCCAACCTATGATAGATGTTTGTTTAAAAAAGAACATGTTCTGCAGAGAAAAAACATTCAGTGCTGTAACCAGCCTCAAGGGGTCCAATATTTAATGGATGTAGATAAGATTGCAAGACACCCAGAGCAAATTATCACTTTTTCTTGCTTGTCTTTCTTCTCCATTTATGTATATTGTCTTTAATTTATACACCTGACACTCCAAGTACTTATATTATCCATAAATTTATGTGTGTATGCAGAATGAAGATTTTAGATTAAATCTCTGGAATCTCGCTTTCCATTGGAATATATAATCAAATATTAATAATACATGCAATAGGTTAAAATTAGAATAGGGTTTTGAACAGTTATTTTTTTTTTCTTTTTATATTTGGGTTAAACATTCATCTACTATTTATTAGAATTTGTTACTACTGCTAAATCATTATTCTTTGAGATCAATTTTCTTTTACTCTTTTTTTGGTTGTTATTGTTGCTGCATTGTATTAGTCTCTGCTTAAAACTAGAATTTTTGGCTGGGCGCAGTGGCTCACGCCTGTAATCCCAGCACTTTGGGAGGCCAAGGCAGGCGGATCATGAGGTCAAGAGATCCAGACCATCCTGGCCAACATGGTGAAACGTAGTCTCCACTAAAAATATAAAAATTATCTGGGCATAGTGGTGCTTGCCTGTAATTCCAGCTACTCAGGAGGCTGAAGCAGGAGAATCGCTTGAACCAGGGAGTCAGAAGTTGCAGTGAGCTGAGATCGTGCCACTGCACTCCAGCCTGGTGACAGAGCGAGATTCCATCTTAAAAAAAAAAAAAATAGAATTTTTCCAGTATTGTTCTCATAACCCCTGCTTTTGAAAACAGATCTTTTACTGAAGTGATGGACATTCTGTCATTGTCTTTCTCCAAAACAAAAGGTGTGGTTTAAATCTCCCTACATGGAGTTCTCTAAAACTTTCTCCTTTTGTGTTTTTCTAACATGATTTCAAGATTTAAAATATTTTACATCGGTGATGGTTAATACTGTCAACTTGATTGGACTGAAGGATGCAATATTGATCCTGGGTGTGTCTTCGAGGGTGTTGCCAAAGGAGATTAACATCTGAGTCAGTGGACTGGGGAAGGCAGACCTACCCTTAATCGGTTGGGCACCATCTAATCAGCAGTCAGTGAATATAAAGCAGACAGAAAAATGTGAAGTGAGAGAGAGGCCTAGCCCCCAGCCTGTATCTTTCTCCTCTGCTGGATGCTTCCCGCCCTCAGACATCGGACTTCAAGTTCTTCAGTTTTGGGACTCATACTGGCTCTCCTTGCTCCTCAGCAGACGGCCTATTGTGGGACCTTGTGATTGTGTAAGTTAATACTTATTAACTCCCCTTTATGTATACATATATGAAGAAAGAAGATTTTTAGATTAAATCTCTGGAATCTCACTTTCCAATTGAATATATGAGCAAGTATTAATAATGCATACAATAGGTTAAAATTAGAATAGGGTTTTTTGAACAAAGTTAATATTTTTTCTTTTTATAAATATTCATATTAGATGTATATATATTATTCATCCAATATATATAAGATGTGTATATATATATATTACTGTGTATATATATGTGTATATGTATGTGTGTATATGTATATATATGTATATCCTATTAGTTCCGTTCCTCTAAGAGAACCATGACTAATACGATGTCCATCGAAGTTTTTCAGTTAACTTAAATCTTGAAAATTTAGCCCCGGACCATGGGTTACACCATTAATCCCAGCTGCTTGGGTGGCTAAGGCAGGAGAATTACTTGAGCCTAGGAGTTCTAGGCTGCACAGGTGTATGACGTTCACACTGCATGCACTGCAGCCTGGGCGACAAAGGGAGACCTTGTGTCTAAAAAAAGAAAAACATATATATATATATATCTCGATATGTTAAAACAAATATCAAATTGAAATCATTCTTTACAAACTTGTCAATTTCATACAAAGCCCTATCATCACTGTGAATAACCATAAGAGTTATTTTAAGAAACAGATACTGATCACTTGAGTTTATCAAGTTATGCTCTTGTCTTTTCCCCATCTCTCCCACTCTGTCAAGTGAATTGATAATAAGTATGACATAGACTCTCACACACTAGTCTTTTCATAAACTGGTTTGAAAGCTGTTATATTCATGTGGCAGAACTGCATTTTCAAAAATTGGCCTCAACAGTATCACCCATTCTGCATGATCGTCTACAATGTCAATTTACCACTCCTCCCCCAAAAGCGGTACCCAATCTCCCGTTGCTGAACCTGGGTAAATTTATGAATACTTCAAATAATTAAATATGGCAAAAATGGTGCTATGTTCCTTCCAATGCTAAGTGAGAAAAGCCCAAACTCCTTTTTCCTGGACCTTTTGGACACTTGGAGTGTTTTGGACCAGCTTTGCGCACTTAGATCTTTTTGAGATTTTGGACACAAACTTCACAGGAGAAATTCAACAACTCTGAGACCATTGGGTTGTAAAGTCCATATATAGTAGCTGTTTGTTAGCCAGGATTAACTGCTTTACATCAAGATATTTTGGGGAAGAGGGCACGTGGTATAAGAGAATATTTAACATTTGTTTTATAAAGAATCACAGTGGAAATATTAATTTGTCATTCTTAATTAGCAAAATTCAAAAAATATTCAACATGTACTTATTAATGTGTGAGTTACTGGATAAAATTAAAATTAAACAGCATTAAATATATTAAATAATTTTTAACAACAGGTTTTTAATAATTGGGTATTTCCAGTGTTAAAACATTAAAACATTAGAAAGATACAATTTCTCTCAGTAGAAACACTGTGATAATGACCAGTATCTTGAAGAATAGAATAGCTTCCTTTAAAATATTCAGATATTTTTCAGAAAGAAGTTGCCTAGAATAAGAGCAGTATTTCATATGTGTTATAAGGAATAATAGCAGAAATAATAATTTTGGCAGTCTTAATTATCAATATGAGTCCTAGTATTATTTTGCAATGCTCAATTCTAATCATAAATTTAATGTTTATAAATTAGTGCCTTGTGCTCACTTCCATCTACTTTATACAGATATAGAAACTAAAATATCACTGTTAGAAAAATTATTCATAGTATGGATTTAGATTATTGTGCAAGATAAATTTTACTTAAAAGTAGGACATTTCTGCCTTACTGGGTTATAGTTAAATCTAGATCAAATATAGTAGATTTTCTCAGTACAAATTTTTCTTGGAGTGGCTACATATAACTCTTCAATTAAGAATATTGGATGGATGTCATGTCTATTAAAAACCACAATTTGTGAAATTTATGAGTCAAGTACTTAACTAATTTTGAATGTTATTGTTTATTTGTATATCTTAAAATATACCAAACCAAGGCTTATTTTAACACAATTTCTCTTTTTCAATTTTGTTACAGCATTCCTTTTTTCTCAAAGAAAAAAATTCAGAGATAATTGGTATAATTACACTTAATCTTATTTTAACTTATACCATAAATAGCCATAAACAGAAATATATCTGTGAAGGTCTTATTTTTGCCCGTGTTTACTACTTAAATTCTAACTAATGATTTCTCTGGTACATTAGTACTTACAGCAAGCAAATGTCCTAGACTACTTAAGAATGGGAAAGTAATTAGGATCATAATTAGGATTATTTATTTTAATTGACATTAAACAGGCATCTTCATAGCATCAGGGAGGTTTTAAACCTCATAGAAAAATGTGATAGCCATTTATAACTTAATGTTAGAATTGTGACAAATATTATATTTTATATTATCAAAATTTTGCTTTTTTAATTTTTAATGTTGATATCTTAAATTGAGGCAGAAAATAGAAATTTTTCTGCAATGAAGAAACCAAACATCTCTTGGCATTTTAATCCTGAGGAAACCTCAGTTGTTCAATTAAGTTTCTGCCATAATTGTAAGGGATTAACTGACTTTGTGAATTTTGGAAATATTACTGTCTCTTTTTTCTGTTTGATAAATATATGTAAACGCTGCCAAAGAGAAGTATGGTAGAAACATAGAATAATTATAAGCTGAATTTTCATATTAATATAGAACACGCACTAATAATTGCCTCATATTTGCTTTTCATTAGGAAAAACAAAAAGATTTACTAATTTCAACATACAAATTAATGTCAAGATACAGAATTTTTTGTAAATCTCAATATACATTTTACATTGAGTAACCCAGTCATATTAATTGTGGTAATAGTAATGTGATACATTACTATTAGAAATGAGTAATAGTAATGTGATGCATTACTATTAGAAAGGAGTAATGAGGAAGCTGGGTGGCAAAAAGACACGAAGTCATTTAGAGAAATCCCGGAAGCTCTCCAGCAAAGGCTGGGAAAGTTGCCCAGTGAGCCCTTCACTCACAATAGAGGAAGAATAGGTCAGAGATTGGCAGGTGCCAAGGGAAGGACAACATTGTATTTAAACCACAATATTGACATAATAATTAAGCTTTCCAAATAGGATATTTGTTTGAATACTTCGTATTCAATAATATTGCTACCAAGTACACTTTCAAAATATTTAATACATTCTCTAAAAATGATAAATTTAGAATATTTTCTCACAATGCACTATAAAATTATTCCTTGATTATTTTTGCTACCTAAACTTATATCTAGTATATTTTTTGTGGAAATAAATAAGAATTCATAGGATAATCTCCTTGATCTAATAAGTTTCTCTCTTGCCTGTTTTTTTGCAAATCATGCATGATTTTGTGCTTCCATTTTCAGAGTATATATATTTTCAGCAGCGCTGGTGTGATTAAGAGTTGTATGTATGAGTGGCTGGAGTGGGGTGAAAGTGAGGTAGGAGTGGGAATTAATTATTGTAACTTATATAATTAAGATAGTATCAGAAAATAATTTTGTTGTCCACTTAAATATCTCTTTAGAAACAAACTGTTTCTTCATCTTTATCCATCCAGATAATTGTGATCTGCAAGGTTTATGTCCAATAACACAAAAATTCAATGGCAAATGCTTCTACATTTTGTAAGATTTCTTCATATATGAACACACAGAATAAATAGGCAAATGTTATTAATGATTTGTCCACATATTCTTATAATATGTCTAAAGAAATATGATTCATCCAACATTTTCATTGAGATTAAAATAATTCTTACCCATTGTCTATGATGACTATCAAGATATCTGATTTTAAGAAAATGTGATTTGCTAAGTAAGCATATTAAGAAGGAAAGCTGACTCATATCTAGAACAACCACCACCAAAAGTAAAAAAAAAATAAACAATAGAAACCAACCATATGATAGCCCATATTTTGAAATTAGCATGCAGAGTTATTCACAGTGACACAATATTTAAAAAATAGATAAACAAAAATGTTTGAAATGGAAGATAATGTCAAGTGATATATACACATAAAACCGTATGCTATTTAAACAAAATTTGTCTAGAAACAAAATAAAATGAAACAAACAACATTTGTTTAGAAACAAAATAAAATGAGAATACAGCAACACAAATAGTTGAAGAAATAATAATCTGAACATTCCCACATTAAAAAACATATATATGTGTATTAATCCATTCTCACACTGCTATAAAGAAGTACCTGAAACTGGATAATTTAAGCAGAAAAGAGGTTTAATTGACTCACAGTTCTACAGGCTTAATAGGAAGCCTGACTGGGAGGTCTTAGGAAACTTACAATCATGGCAAAGGTGAAGGAAAAGCAAGAACCTTCTTCACATGGTGCAGGAGAGAGAGTGAAGGAGGAAGTGCCACACACTTTTAAACAACCAAATCTTGTGAGAACTCACTATCATTAGAAGAGCAAGGGGAAAACCCACTCCCCTGATCCAATCACCTCCCACAAGGCCCCTCTTCCAATCTGACATGATCATTTAGGAAGGGACACAAATCTAAACCTTGTCATTCTGCCACTGGCCCCTCCTAAATCTCATGCCCTTCTCACATTGCAAAATGCAATTATTCCTTCTCAACAGTCCCACAGTCTTAACTCATTTCAACATTAACTCAAAAGTCTACATTCCAAAATCTTATCTGAGACAAGGTAAGTCTCTTCCACCTATGAGCCTGTAAAATTAAAACTATTTACTTACTTCCAAGATACAATGGGGTTACAGGCATTGAGTAAATGCTCCCATTCTAAATGGGAGAAATTGGCCAAAACAAAGGGGCTATAGGACCCATGAAAGTCTGAAATCCAGCAGGGAAATTCTTAAATCTTATATCCAGGGCATGCTGATGCAAGAGGTGGGCTCCCAAGGTTTTGGGCAGCTCTGCTTCTGTGGCTCTGCAGGATACCACCCATACCACAGCTTTCGCAGCCTGGTGCAAACTGACTGTGGCTTTTCTAGGCACACAGTGCAAGCTGTTGGTGGATCTACCATTCTGGGGTCTGGAGGACAGTGGCCCTCTTCTCATAGCTCCACTAGGCAATTCCCCAATGGGGACTCTGTGCAGGGGCTCCAACCCCACATTTCCCCTTCACACTGCCCTAATAGGGGTTCTCCATGAGTGCTCTATCCCTGCAGAAGACTTCTGCCTGGACATCCAGCCATCCTCTGAAATCTAAGCAGAGGTTCCCAAACCTAAATTCTTGCCTTCTGGATACCCGCAGGCCCAACATCACATGGAAGCTGCTTGGGGCTTGCAACCTCTGAAGCCATGGCCCTTGCTGTACCTTGCCCCCTTTTAGCCATGGCTGGAGCTGGAGTGGCTGGGACCCACAGCACTGTGTCCCGAGGCTGCACTGAATAGCTGGGCCCTGGTCCTGGCCCACAAAACCATTTTTCCTCCTAAGCCTTTGGGCCTGTAATGGGAGGGGCTGTTGTGAAGGTCTCTGAAATGCCCTGGAAACATTTTTCTCCTTATCTTGGCTATTAACATTCTGCTCCTCTTTACTTATGCAAATTTTTGAAGCAGGCTTGAATTTCTCTTCAGAAAACGGGTTTTGATTTTCTACTACATGGTCAGGCTGCAAATTTTCCAAACTTTTATGTTCTGCTTTTCTTTTAAATATAAGTTCTAGTTTCAGATGAACTCTTTGTTCACACATATGAGCATACACTTTTAGAAACAGCTAGGTTACATCCTGATGCTTTGCTGCTTAGAAATTTCTTCTGCCAGATATCCTAAATTGTCTCTCTCCAGTTCAAAGTTCCAAAGATCTGTAGGCCAGGGGCAGAATGCCACCAGTCTCCTTGCTAAAGCACAGCGAGAGTAACCTTTACACTAGTTCCCAATAAGTTCCTCATCCCCGTCTGAGACCACATCAGTTCCCAATAAGTTCCTCATCCCCATCCGAGACCACCTCAGCCTGGACTTCTTGTCCATACTACTATCAGCATTTTGGTCAAAATTAATCAGTAAGTCCCTAGGAAGTTCCAAACTTTCTGACATCTTCCTGACTTCTTCTGAGCCCTCTAAATTGCTTGAACCTCTGCCTCTTACCCAGTTCCAAAGTCATTTCCACATTTTCAGGTTCCTTTATAGAGGTGCCCCACTTTTTTGGTACCAATTTTCTGTATTAGGCTGTTCTCACACTGCTATAAAGAACTACCTGAGACTGGGTAATTTAAGAAGAAAATAGGTTTAATTGATTCACAGTTATGCAGGCTTAACAGGAAGTATGATTGAGAGGCCTCAGGAAACTTGCCATGGAAGAAGGTGAAGGGGAAAGGAGCACCGTCTTCACATGGTGACAGAGAGAGAGAGAAGGGGGAAGTGCTACACACATTTAAACCAACAGATCTCATGAGAACTCAATCACTATAATAAAATCTGCCCCAGTGATCCAGTCACCTCCTACCAGGCCCCTCCTCCAATTTGACATGAGATTTTGGTGGGAACACAGATCCAAACCATATCAATATGTTAAATGGAAGACCCAGAAAGCCCAGTCAAGCCTAAGCAGTAAGCAGTGTAAAATCAAATAGGATCACTCCATAAAACATCAGAATTAAATGAGAAAAACAAAAAGTAAAAAGAAAATCTTGAAAACAGCTATGGAAAAGAGACATGTTATATGTAGTTTAAAAAATATATGAATGTTGACCAACTTCCCAGGAAGCCATGGAAGGTGAGAAAACAATGGAATGACAGCTATACCTGCTCCCAATGCTGGCAGCTATAAATGCTCCCAATGCTGGGAGAGAATACACACAAACACATGCACACACAAACTTGCGCACACATACACACACACAACTGTCAACTCAAATTTTATAACCAGTGAAATTACTCTGGAAAAAAATGAGGAAAATAATACATCTTCAGATAAATGAAAGCTGAGTACACAGCCACATCCACTTATTCCCTGTTATTTGGGGGAAGTTTTACAAAATATTGTACATGCATATCTGTTATTGCCCCATAAATCAACGTTATAATTGATGGTATAGTCTTTTGTCCTTACATGGTACTTTACACATTTACACCCATACTTAAATGTTATCCTTCCTTGGGTTTAAGTAAAATCTGGTGACATTAATACTTCTTGTAGTCTAGGTCTGCATGTAATGAATTATATGGAGTTTCATGTTTAATGCTTAACATTTAAAATTATGAAAAAATATATAGAGAAAGCATACAGATAAAAATAGTGCATAAAAAGTTTAAGGTTATATCAAACATTAAATATAAATCCTTCTAAAAGAATTGTAAGACAGATGCAACGTGCAATAGCAAAATCAAAGCCCACCTTGAACTGGAGTAATTTATTTCCCATTCCCTTAGGGGATCAGCCCAAAGTGTCTGACCACAGGTGTTTCTCCTATTGATATTCATTGGAAAAGCCATCATGCTCAAGATTTCTTAAACTCTCATCCTGTCCTTGCCACACAGAGATTTAGTGTCAGCAAATAAGCCAGCATTGGAAATTACATGGCATTACCAAGTGTCTTAAGACTACAGCTGCTTAAAAGTAGGCATGAGATGAACAAGTACGTAATGAAACTATTTTCTGCAAATTTACTGCACTTTTTCATTTCTACACATTTTTATTGATACTAGATTTTACTGATACAATATTTTACACGAACTACTTTTATTAACAGTTTTATTGCAACTATCAACCAATACACTTTTAAAAGCACATAAAGATCTGTTAGAGAAATTGAAACCAAGATGATCTCTTGTGAGAGTTAATTTTATGTGTCAATTTGAATGGGGCACAGGGTGCTCAGATATTTGGTCAAACATTATTCTGCGTGTTTTTGTGAGGGTATTTTTGTATGATATCAAGGTTTAAGTCAATAGACTGAGTAAAGTAAATTGCCCTTCATATTGTGGGTGCGCCTCATCCAATCTTCTGAAGGCCAAATAGAACAATGTTTGAATCTCCTCTGAATAAGAGGGAATTTTACTGCCTAAAGAATTCTCCTCATTCAACCTAGGACATTGGTTCTTCCTGGTTCTCCAGCAACCTGCCAACCTTTGGATTCAAACGGGGACTACAGATTGGTTCTATAGATTTGGACTTGCCATCCTCCATAATCATGTGAGTAAACTGGTTATAAAAAATCCATACATGTGCACACACACACACACATACACACACACACATATATATATACTGATGATATGTGTGTGTGTGTATATATATATATAAATTATGATATATATCTGTATATAATTCTTATTGGTTCTGTTTCTCTGGAGAACACAGAGTAATATACCCCTTTTCATTCTACATTTACCTAGCTATTTTGTTAAAAAGGAAACTTCAATTCTTTTTCTTTTTCTTTTTCTTTTGAGACAGATTTTCACTCTTGTTGCCCATTCTGGAGTGTAATGTTGTGACTTCGGTTCACTGCAACCTCTGCCTCCTGGATTCAAAGCGATTCTTCTGCCTTGGGCTCTGGAGTAGCTGGGATTACAGGCGTGAACCACTACACCCAGCTAATTTTTGTATTTTTAGTAGAGACGGGGTTTCACTATGTTCTCAGAATGTTCTCGAACCCCTGACCTACTTTCATTCTAAACTAATTCAGAGTAGGGATGTGATTTATCTATCATAAAAATACTATCTTTGTAGTTTCTTGTACCTGGTAAGTTATCATTAAAAATGTATCTATATTATCATATTAATGTATATAACAGTAACATTTTCACAGAAATTAGTGATGGGGAAAGTTTATTACCAATATCAGGAATTGGAGCTCACTTATATATTCCAAAATACATACTCTCTTTTGGTTCTAGGATAATACCAAAAAAAAGCGACTAATACAGACCCTGATACCTTAGGATACTTTGTTGACCCATAATGCCCATTGCAACATGGAGACAGAAATGCCAGCTTTTGCAAAAACAGTTTCAGTGTAATTGGCATTTAATAAACTGCAAACATTTAAAGTGCACAATTTAACAAATCTAAGAAGTGTTCCACACACACACACACACACACACACATCCTGAAACCATCTCCACAATCACCTCCAAAAGTGTCCTTATGCTTCTCTGTAATCCTTACCTCTACCCCTCCCTGCCTTTTTAAATCTCAAAGGTAAGTATTTGCAGATTTGTTGCCTGTTTACTCTGTATACAGTAAAGCTGTTTTTCTCACTGTGTGTTGTACCTCAACCTGTAAATGGCTGCTTTACACTCTCAGGCTTGAAGGTTTGTATTTTTAGCTCAAGAAGGTGAAAGACCACAGTTTTATCGTTTTCATATCCATGAAAACTTCTAGGTTTCAACAGACATTTAACAAATAGTGATAAAATAAATGTCATAAGTACTACTGTTAAATATGGAAAAAAATTACATATATGAATATTGATGTAGTGAGACAACTTAGACCAGGGTTCACCCAAAGCGATATCTATTCACACAATCAAAATATAATCATCTAAGTTTTGTTGCTGTGGTGTTGTTTTTATATTCTTTATTAACAAAAAGATATCTAGGTTATTTTTTTACAGGTAATTACAATCTTTCAATGCACGTTTTTTACATATGCAAAATTTAAATTCTTGTCCTTTGAACCAAAAGTTAGCTCTTAGCTCTTATTTATCATTTTTTCTGATATTTATAGAATATTAATATCATTACTAATAGAAGCAGTTAGGTATAAATGCAATAATAAATAAATGGACATACTACATTTTTCATTTTGAAGTTTGATTTGTGCAGTTCAGGATGTGGTTTTCACAACATACATAATTTTACCTCAACAGATTTCCCATTTTTAAAAAATTCCATGCATGCATTAGAACAAATATTAGTAACAACAGGATTTGTTTTATTTTAAATAATTAGCAATTATTTTCAACATATATTCTCATCCCAGAAAATATTAAATTATACAAGTATATATGGAAAAAGTAACTTGTATATTGCATCTATGATACACAAATAAATGAAACTTTCAATGTATTCACTGTAAATTTCCATAGAGCTTATTACAGTTTTAAGAATTATGCCAATTATATGTTGTATTCACGTCAAAATTTCCTAGTTTATATCTTTGTGTAATGTTTAAAATGAACATATCTTAAATTTATAATATATATATTCTTTTATTTTAGAAATGTTCAAAATGTCAAATAAATGAGCATAATAGATGAAAGTATTGGTGATTAAGATGTAATGAAGAAGAAATATTAACAAATTCATATCCTAAAATCTACATTATTGACATAGTCATAGTCGCTTTTACAAATATAAAAAAGTTTGATTTGGGCTTAGTGTAGTAAGTTAAAAATTATGAACCTAACAAAATGTTTTTGAAAAATGATAATGTAAAGAGATTATTTTAACTATTAGATATGCGTTGTGGCAGAAACATTCTTGCAGAATTGTGGAGATTTGCTCACTAGGTGATAAGGGAGTAGTATGTGGCATATCTTATAAAGAAAGACCTAAAGGAATAATTCAGGTCAAGGGTAATAAAAGGTGAATTAGAGACAGAATGCAAAGAAAACCATGGCTTAGAATGGTGTGGTATCAGAATCTGAAGAACTTGGTGAATAAGCAGGTGCAGAGGTAATTTAAAAGTTTGAGGTGGATCTCAACACTGAAAAAAAGAACCACAGAAAAACTCTCTAGGTGCTGAGAGTTGATCTGCTAATTTTTGGGAGGAGTTGATATCTATGTGGACCTGGAGCACAAATGTGTATGGGCTAAATATTTGATGTGCTAAGTTATTGCAACACATATGACAGTTGAAGACAGGAAAGTTTGGTGTGAGAACAAGAATACCTTAAGAGCAAAGTGAAAGATCTGGGAGACAGGAACAATTAGAATTTGAGGGGAGAAAGAAGATGCAGAAATTATATATTTACTGATGGAATGGGCATGAGGGCATAAAGAAAACTAGGGGACAGTGATTTCTCAGATGTTTAGTGATAGTTTCAATTGCTGTTCAGAATGGTGAGAGATTCCAAGTAAGTATGGAAAACTTCATGATTGCCACTTATAGGAATGCTTAGATTTATTATCATTGTTATAAAAATTGCGGTTTCTGGAATTTGTGTGAAATGATATGGATGTGCTCACCACAGATGCTGTGCTTCTGAAAAGAGATATTTTCACTAACAGCAATTATTTAAAAACATAGTTGGAAACTGAGAATTGCCACTGGGAACCATCAACAAAATCATGATGTAGGCTGTTGAGCAGAGACCAAACCACTCTCCTTCTCATAGGAACAAAAGCCAAAGTCTATTATTAAAATACAGAAGAGGAGAAGTAGAATGTTGCTTTTTTCATTATATTTTTAAACAGCTCTATTGAGGTATAAATGATATGCAAAAAGTGCACATATTTATTGCATACAGTTTGATGAGTTTGGACATATGCATATACCTGTGAAACCATCAACACAATCAAGGTAATGAATACACATCATCTCCAAAACTTTCCTTGTGCTTCTTTGTTTTTTTTCGTACAGTTTTATTAATTTCTTATGGTAAAAATTTAAATGCACAATACAGTTGTTGAAGTCTACATACTAAGTGGTACAGAAGATCTCCAGAAATTATTCATCATGCATAACTGAAGCTTTAAATCCATTGGAAAACATCCCATACCCCCGTCTCCAGTTTCTAGCAACTACCGCTCTATTTTCTGCTTCTATGAATTTGACTATTTTAAGTATCTTATGTAAGTGGAATCATGTAGCATTTGTCCTTCTAAAACTGTCTTTTTTCACTTAGTATAATATCCTCTAGGTTGAGGATATGGAGAAATCAGAAGCCTGTACACCGTTTGTGGGAATGGAAAATGGTGCAGCTCCTGCGAAAACGTATGGAGGGTCCTCAAAAACTTAAAAATAGAAGTACTATATGATCTAGAAATTCCACTCCTGGGTATACATTCAAAAGAAAGAAAATCAATATCTTAAAGAGATATCTGCACTCCCATGTTCATTGCATTATTATTCACAATAGCCAAGATATGAAAGCAATCTAAATGTTCTCTGACATATTAGTGGATGAAGAAAGTGTAATAAATATACAATAAAATATTATTCAGCTTTAAAACATAAACCTCTTTCATTAAAATTCTCACTAGAAAATTATTAAGCCCAGTTTCATGTGGGCTTCTTCTAGTAAAGTTATCTTTCTTTTTATATATCTGTTCAGATAGCCATGGAGGTAAATATAGGTGATACAGAGGTTATCGAGTTATTGATCTAGTCATCTAATGAAGCCATAATTAAAATAAAGTATTGCAGATAGAAACACACACACGTGCGCAGGAACACACACACACACATACACAGACGAAGAGAGACAGAAAGTTGTTTTAGGATTCAGATATTTCTATAGTCTTGAAAATGGAGCTAGAGTCTAAATTAGTGGGAAAAAAAACACTCTATTTACACATTTTAAGTTACATGATCTTTTAGCAGTCAAGGCCTGCCACCTACCTCTACGATTTCCTAGGATTAGTATTAGTCTGGTCTCACACTGCTAATAGAGACATACCCAAGACTGGGTAATTTATAAAGGAAAGAGTTTTAATGGACTCACAGTTCCCCATGGCTGGGGAGGCCTCACAATTGTGGCGGAAGATGAAGGGGAAGCAAGAGAGGTCTTACATGGCAGCAAGAAAGAGAGCTTGTGCAGGGGACCTCCCATTTATAAAACCATCAGATCTCGTGAGTCCTATTCACTACAAGGAGAACAGTATGGGGGAAACCACCTCCACGATTCAATTACCTCCAATTGGTCCTGCTCTTGACACGTGGGGATTATTACAACTCAAGGTGAGATTTGGGTGGGTACAGAGAGTCAAACCATATCAACATCTATACAGATTAATATAACTATTGTTCTCATCAACAATAAGAGAAGAACAAAAAGGGTATATTCACATGTCGGGCAATTGAAGTATTTGTAAAGAGGTTTCTTTCTCCTCTTTCTGAATGAGGGATGCTTCTATTTCCTAAAGCTAACTGGCTAGTATTCCAATAAATTTACTGTAAATCTGGGGAAAAGCTAATTCTCTGGTTGGATGTGTGTCTAGACAGTGGTCTTGATCTCCAGTGCCTGCACACAGGAAAAGATATGGAGAGACTTTGCAGCAGTTTCACACTTTACATTTCCACAATGTGAATTTTTCCTGATATGAGAGCTCACCATGGGAGGTAAGTGGGCTTGAGAAGTCTTGTTGACACTTCAAAAAGAGGCATTCACCAAGTTAGTGAATATGTGTCTTCCTTGAAAGACTATATAGCCATATTCTTCACTTCCATTGATCATCTGATTTTTGTTAAGTAGTTTAAAAAAATCTATCCATGTATGCATTCATATATGAATGTAGGTATGTATGCATGTATTGTATTGTATGTCAGATGTACCTCATTTGATGAGAGCTGGAGAGGAAAAAGAATAGCTGCAAGAAGCCAAAATAGAGTTCCATTTTCTGTATCAAGAAACATTAGTAGGGGAGGCCCCCCCACAGACTTCAGAAGAACCTCCTGAAGTATGCCATCATGAAAGCCAGCGGAGAGCTCATCGGTCAGCCTTAGTCAAAGAAGAAAACTGGCCACAGGCGTCCACTTATGGAGCTCTGACTCTTCCCTGCCCCAGCACCAGGATGGGAGCTCATGGGTCATGAAGCATAGACCACCTGAAGCCCACTGAAATATAAACAAATTGAACTACACTTTGAATTGAGTTTGAGAGTGAGTGTTAATGTAAATAAAATTGACTTTTTATCATGAACAAATCTACCATATTAAGTAAAATTGACTCCAAAAGTATAAAACCAGGCTCACTTGTTATTAAAGCATATTTTAATAAGTAGGTGAGACTAAGGAGAAATTCCATACATAGCAGAATCAAGAGACCAAAAATAAAGAAAATAAACAAGATCTACATTTATGCAGTCATATTTAGAAATTTCTTAAATTAATGGTGAACCTTGTAAACTCAGTTTCATTTTACCATTGACTGATGGTATAATATGTGTGTATGTATGTATGTATGTATGTGTGTATGTATGTATATATGTATGTATGTATGTATGTATGTATGTATGTATGTATGTATTGAAACAGGGTCTTGCTCTGTTACTCAGGCTGAAGTGCAGTGGCATAATCACAGTTCATTGCAATCTCCACCTCCTGGCCTTAAGCAATCCTCCCACCTCATCTCCCCAAGTAGCTGGGACAACAAGCATGCACCACCATGTCCAGGGTATTTTTTTTTTCTTTTTTATGTTTTGTAGAGATAAGGTCCCATTATGCTGCCCAGGATGGCCTCAAACTCCTGAGTTCAGGCAATCCAACTGCCTAGGCCTCCCAAAGTGCTGGGATTAGAAGCTTGAGCCAGCATGCCCAGCCTTGATTGTATAATTTTAGTTGTATCTATTTTCACAAGTTCCAGTAACATATAACTATTTTTCAGTATTTTTAGCTCAGTCTTTTTGTTAGTATTTATTTGTTGGTAAATAAGCAATTTAAAACAATAGGAGGACTTTAATTAAATGAATCAATTTTGTATTCAGAGGAATCATTTCACATTGAAAATAATCACTCTTTAATTAATCTGTTTCATAACTCTATAGTTTAGTACTTAGGAGTGTTTTCAATTAACACAAGTGTAATCTAGATTAATGAGATAATTATATAAATCTCTATTTATTTTCTCTGTGTAATGATGGACACCAGTAACGTTTTTCTCTTTCACACATTGTCACATCAATAGCATTTCTTTAGGGCTCATGATCAATGGATTCCTATTTGCTTCTAAAATGTAGAACATAGTCACTTGATCCTTGAATCAACTAGTAAATATTTAACCAAAATAAAGTACCAATTACGTTTGAAGGCCACACAAAATTGTTTTCAAAGGTAAAGTTGCTTGAGACGCCTTAATATTTCACAATAAATATTTCTCTCAATTTCTAAAAACTAGATAGAAAATCAATTTCAAGCATAAAGGCTTCAGTTACAGATCTTTGTTTAAAAAAGAGAGGCAATAGTGATCCTGTTTCAATAACAAAATGATTTATATTGTTGAAAATTCCTTGAGAAACTCTTCATATAACCATATTCTTCCTTCACTTTTAAGATCATCTGATTTATGTTTAGTAGTTAAAAAATCTATATATGCATGTATATATGCATGAATGTATGTATTTAACTATCTCTAATCTATTTAGTCCCTTTGTTCTTATCTGTGATGCCCTGATTCAATCAAAGAAATGTGACACCATTGCTGTGACATGGTTACTCCCCGTGCAATATAGCATATTATTTCATCAGCCTCCTCAACCATCCTCTTGTCTACTTGATTTTAGGGTTCGTTCTTTTATTTATGTATTTATTTTTTTGAGATGGAGTTTCACTCTTGTTGCCCAGGCTGGAGTGCAATGGCACAATCTCTGCTCACCGCAACCTCCGCTTCCCAGGTTGAAGCAGTTCTCCCTCCTCAGTCTCCAGAGTAGCTGGGATTACAGGCATATGCCACCACGCCTGGCTAATTTTTTGTATCTTTAGTCGAGACCGGGTTTCTCTATGTTGGTCAGGCTGGTCTCAAACTCGCAACCTCAGGTGATCCACCCACCTCGGCCTCCCAAAGTGCTGGAATTATAGGCATGAACCACCATGCCCAGCCTAGGGTTCATTCTTATTATCAGGCTACTACCAATATATTTATATTAAAACCAGACCTTATTTACTCACTTTGGAAACTTAAGCTCTCTCTTACTACCTCTCCAGAAAAATGACAATCCTGTATTTATGGTTTTGCACTGTAGGTGATTATAGAAATAACTAAATGTGTAGAATTGTTAACATGTGTCAAGCACTGTACTAGGCACATTATATACATAATTTTATTTACACAATTAAAGTATAAATTAGTTGCTATTATAATCCCCATCTTACATATAAGGAAAATGAAACCATCAGTATTTCAGAACTATACCTAAATTACACTACTAGGAAGTAACAAAACCCACATTTAAACAAACATTTTTCTCCCTGAAGAGCTTAAACTCCTGACTTTTATGTTATACTTATCTTTTTTGACACTCATTTTATCATCTAGAAAAGCAACTAATTCATTTATTCAGTCATTCAGTTAGTCATTTAACAGGTGTCTACTATGTGGTAGAATATATGTAGGTGTAGGAAGAAATATTAGCCAAGAACAAAACAGACTATGTGTCCACTCTCAAGGGCATTACTTTGTAGTGAGAAGTCACAGAGTGAACAAGGAAATAAATAACTATAACTGGTCATGTGGAGACAAAACTTCTTTGAAAAATAATGTAGGCTAAAGAGAGAGAAAGTATTGTAATGGGAGTTCTATTTTATATAAATGGGAAAGACTCGGCTAAGGAGACATTCAAATAACAGTAAAAATATTCTAGGCAAAAATCGAAACAAATTTAATTAGGAGAATATTCTAGCAACAATGTGTCCATCAGTGTGGCCAGAGCAAAGTGAGCAGGGGGAGCATGTAGTTGAAAATTTCAGAGCAATACCAGGAACTAAATAATGCAGAGCCTTGGAAAACACTATTACCAATGACTCTCCAACTAGGAGACTGAAACTACATGGTAATTTGAATAGGGGAAGTTTAATGTAACTAATTATTATAGGGAATTATCTATTAAAGGGTAAGAGAACTCTAAAAAATATAGGGATAGCAGATATAGGGAGCTGCCACTGCTCTCTCTAGCACTTTAGGAAAGTACTCAAGGAAGAAACAAATCTGAAAGAACCCTCGACCTACCAGAATTGATATCTAGACCTCGTTGGAGAAGGTATGGTTGTGGTCTTCTAGGTAGCAGAGATTACCGAGGCACTACACTGATAAAACTTACTGGGAAGCTGCTTCCTGAGGTGCCACAGGTGAGGTGCTCTGTCCCCAGCAAGGTGATGTCCACTTTTGGCTACTATGCACCGTAAGAACAAGCTAAGAGGAGCACTCAGGAACTAGGAAGTAGAGCCCTATCCTTCTCCAGTGCCCCTCTAGTACTAGATGAAGTGTAACAATGAGCCACAGACAAAGCAAAGCAAAAATGTTCCAGTGTCACAAGTAGGGTAAACAGGGGTAGGTGGAAAACTGATGGTAATTGTTCAACATTGCAAGAAAACTGTGTATTGCCCCCATTTAAATCATCTGAAGTGTGGCATTTTAAAATATATTTTTGAAAAATAAGCAAGGTCACTACATGGAAAGATAAAAGGAACAGTAGAAGGAGAAAAAAAAAATCCAGAAGGAATCTAGAAGGATAGGCTGACAATCAAGACCTGAAATGATGATGGCTTGGGTAGGGGTGGTCACATTAGAGTGATAAGAAACGGATCAATTGAGGTCAGGAGTTTGAGACCAGCCTGGCCAACATGGTAAAACCCTGGCTCTACTAAAAATACAAAAATTAGCCAGGTGTGGTGGCACATGCCTGTAGTCTCAGCTGCTCAGGAGGCTGAGGCAGGAGAACTGCTTGAACCTGTGAGACAGAGGCTGCAGTGAGCCAAGATCACACCGCTGCACTCCAGCTTGGGTGACAGAATAAGACTCCATCTCAAAAAAAAAAAAAAAAAAAAAGCTTGGATTCACAATATATTTTAAAAGCATCACTGATAGGATTTACTGATGAACTGGTTTGGAGTATGAGGGGAAGATAGTAGTCCCAGAATATACAAAATTTCTTATGTAAGAATAGTAGTGACATTTAGTAGATGCTAAAGGCGGGGAGGTGGGGGGGCAGGGAATAAAAGTAAAAAACAGCAAGCTTGTCACTTCAAGGAAAACTGACAATATCCTATGTTAATTATACAATTAAAAATTTAACTTGAAAATACAAATTTTGGAAAAAATTGTCAACTACTTTCCCCAAACTAGTCTCCCAAAACAAAGTTTTTTTCCTGATTAGATTGACAATTAAATTAACAAAATTTTGTTAATGTGACACTGTAATGAAATGTGCCAGTATTTAAAAGATCTGCATAGCTCAGTGAAACAATGTTTTCCAAATGTCTAATGGGTGGTATTATAAAATTGTGCAAGGGTAAAATGTCATTCAAAGTATAAGATGAGTCAATAGATTTTAAAGTAAAATCTATTTTTTTAAATCAAGGAAGCTTTTGAAAAGTTCATAGATAGGGTTTCAGATTTCATATTACAGCTAACTTTCAACAAACTACCACTTTTTTATTTTCAGTGTAGTGGCAGAGAAGATTGTACAAAATTATCTGGAAAGGTTACTAAAATACTCCTCATTTTCCAACTGTTAATTTCTGTAAGACCATGTTTTCTTTATATACTTTAAACTCAACAGCATATTTTAGTATATTAAATGCAAAATTGGAAATGATAATCCAGCTATACTATTAAGCCAAATATTAAAGAGCCTAATAAAAATAAGAGAATATCAAGCTTCACATTAATTTTTTTTTAATTTTAATGCAAATTTGCTTTTTATGTTTACAGGTAATGAGTTTAGCACTGTTACTTTAATTAATATATTTTTCATACTCTTAGATTCAATTTTAATATGGTAACTACCTACAGATGAAATGCAGATAATTAAAATCGCTTTCTGGTCCCTAATAATTCTTGAGATTATAAAGGGTTTCTGATACCAAAAAACTGGAAAACTTTTGTCTTTGTTCTTTAACACTATAATTTTCATTCCATTTTCACAACTATGTGCTTGTTATCTAGGAAGATTCAAGCTAAAAAATAAGATTGATAATTAGCCACAAATTCAATATAGAAACACATTACTAAATTACATAAAAGGTGTATTGCTCTCTCTCTTTTTTAATTTTTATAATAATGGACCAGAAAATGTATATCATCATTTGAATTTTTTCCCCCTAACTCTGAACCTGGAAATATCTTGTGCATATGTCCCTTTTTTCAACACCTTCAAATCTGGTTCATCATCATCATCATCATCAGGGCTACAGGGTCACATCTATCTGAAAATTTACATAAATGAATGATAGAAACATAATATTTGTCCTTTGGGAAGCATGAGTTTAAATTCCTAAAGGAAATGTCCACGTGTTTTGAAGTAAATAAGAATTTACTTTTTCTGCTAGAAAGTATATTATTTCATCTTGTACTATTTTATTTGACTTTCATGAATTTCTGTCTTGTATTTTCAAAGGAAATGTATTCCCTAACAACTTCGTATTTCCACAGTGTCCCTCCGCCTAAGCTTTCTCTAACTTGTAAAATCATATAATGCCTTGGAAGTAAGAACAAAAAGCCTAGAATCCTCCAAGTCAGCAGGATCAATCATCATTCTTAATTTCTTTAACATTTTTACTGTAACAATGTAATGAAATATGAATATAATGCTTAAAAGTAGTTATGAAATAAATATTTATGAATTAAATATCCAAATCAATAAGTAAAGTATCCTCAACAATCTAGAATCTCCTACCTAGCATTTCCTCAATCACAATTTACCCTCAATAGTAGTCACTGTGACTCTCCTACCAATTCATTTATTTGTGTTAACTGCTTTTTGTTCCCTTTTATCTGCATGTCTTGCCTTTTTTTGATGAATGTAGGTTTCTCTTAAATGGTCAACTTGTTCCTTTTGATTTGGAATTTATACAGTCTTTTACTCTCCTTTTAGTGATTTACTAGAAATTACAATATACTTTTTGACTTATCATAATTTAATACTTCTTGGTACTTTTACCATTCTTCTGGAAAATGCAAGGACCTTAATTATATTACCCCTTTCCACATGTACTTGTACTTGAATTGAGCCTCGGTTGTATATTTAATACCTCCAAGGCATTGTTAGATTAGTCAGTTTCTTTGTTTTATTGTCTTAATATTTATCATTCTTGCTGCTCTCCATTCATCCCTACATCTTTGAAAAGATTTGCTCATGACCATTTTCCTTTTTCTTCTTTCTTAATTAATAGTCTTTGGAATTTGTTTAGGGTGTATCTGCTCATTAAAAAATTCTATTAGTTTTTATTTGTCTGAAAATATTTTAATGTTATATTTATTTTTAAAATATATTTTTGTTGTACAGAAAATTCTTGGCTAGTGGTTAGTTTCTTAGACCACATTGAGGCTGTATTCACTTCTATTTGTTCTTGGTTCTCTGCAGTTTCATTACGGGGAATTTGCTGTCCTGAAATTGTAGGTTAATATATTTCATTAATTTTAGAAAATTCTTAGCAATTAGCTTTTAATATTTTCTGTGTCATTATTTTCATCACTTGTCTTCAATTTATATTAGATTTTATTACATATCCTCAGTGACTCTTAAGCTCTCATACATATATATATGTGTGTATTGATGCTTTTATGTGTGTGTGTGTGTGTGTGTATATATATATATACATATATATATATACACAAATATATGCATACTTTTTTCTGGTTAGTTTCCTATGATATCAATTCTGAATCACTTCTTTTTTACATAGCTGTGTCTCATTTGCTATTCAGTTCATTTATTGAATCATTTTTTTCTTCACATTTTTAGTCTTAGAATTTGTGTGGTTTTATTTATCCTAATCTGCCACTTTTACAGTATGTACTATCTTGTTGAAGTTTCCACTCTTGACTTCACCTCCTTGGACATAGTAATAGTTGCTTTAACATAGATTTTTTCTTTTATTCTTTTGTGTCTGTTGATTTCTTCTCACAGTGTCTTCTCTTCATCGAACCTCATTTCTTTGAGTGGATGTACAAAATGTGGTATATGAAAAACTGATTTGGACTGTCTTTAGATGCCTGAATAATGTTTTCTCTCAAATGATTGTCAATTGTTTTTGCCAAAAGGATAAGGGCAGTCAAAATTCTGAATTACGTTAATAAAAATTCAGAGTTTGAAATTTTCTGGGCCACTCAGGTGAATAACAGCCAGCCTGCATGTGGTAAATTGCTTGAATTCTGATTCCCTTTTACTAATTTAGTATACTAATAACTTTTAGTATCTTTGCCCAAACCGGGTCCTCACAACTTATTGGACCTAATTTCCAACTCTTGCTTCCTTAGGTTTTCAAGTCTTTAGCCAAAGTTTCACTAAACTGGTTAGATGTCCTATCTAAAATAACAAACGACTCCAGGGCAAAAGCAGCTCCTATCTCTGTAAATGCCTTTTCTCTCCTAGATCTGAGCCTGGCAATTCTTGACAGTGCATTAACTCTGCCACTGTTAGTGAAAAAAAATTAAATGATTACCTTCTATTTATTTTATAGTCTTAAAATGTTGTCTTACATACAAAAATAATTTAAATTATTCTAAGGTATCTTGTTTGTCATTATCAGAAGCATAAGTTTGACAGTTACTTACTACAAAACAATGATATGTGAAATTCTTTATCATTTGTGATCTGTTTTGCCATTGACCTCACAAAATCATCTTTTAAAAACGTACTTGATTATACCCAACAATATTGTTTCACTTGAACAATAAGAATGTCTTGTTTCTTTGTGCCATTCTTGAAACTTTTACATTGTAATTGGTTAAATGAAAGAAATTAACATGTATTTTAAACTGGTGTCACAAAGCAGTGCTTAATAAATACATATATGATAAAAGAAAAATTGTAATATCCATCAATATGTCTATCCAAGCATCTAATATATTCTATACTGCAAATAAAAATGCTCATATTTATAAACATGTCTTTTGTTCTCTCAAAGCAAATAGTTATGTTTAATAAAAAAGACATAAGCTCTTACAGTCAGTAATAGTCACTGATATCTCTCAGAATTAGTCAATGAAGATTGTGACTGCTATGATGCTATTTTCTTATCAGTGCAAGCCCAGGAAGAGAATAATTAGTCCAGATCTGTCAAGGGACTCTGACTCCATCAGAAGAGTACTTTAAAAAGTGATCTGGGCACAAAAATTGATGTAGGTGTTCATTTGTTCAGTGATTTATTATACACATGTTGAGTCCCTGCCATGTGTAAGGCATGGTACTGACAATACAAACAATGTTTAGTTAAGACAAAATCATAATGATTATAATGGCATCTGCAATAACAAGGTGCTTCCTTTGATATTAAGCTCTGTAGCCTTAAAAAATGAGGAAATTCTGTCATTTGAGACAATGTCAATAAATCAAGAGGATATTATGCTAAGTGAAATAAGTCAGGTGCTGAAGTATAATTTTATTTATGTTGAATTAAAACATGTCAAACTCATGGAAGTAGAGAGTAGAATAATGATTACTAAAGGCAGGGGTTAGGAGGTAAGGGGTGATGGGGAACGGAGAGATGTTTGCTAAATGGTACAAGTTTTAGTTAGAAAGGGGAAAGAAGTTTTAGTGATCTACTCTGCAGCAGTGTGACCATAGTGAATAACGTTGCATTGTATAGTTCACAGTTGCTGAAACAGTAGATTTTAAATGTTCTCACCACAAAAGATAAGTATGTGAGAGAAAGATGTTAGTTATCTTGTTTTAGTAATTCCATAATATATACTTACATTTAAAAAATTACATTTAACCCATAAAATATGCCACTAATGTTTGTCAATTTAAACATGTAAAAAAAGTAAAAAAAAAATTAAAGATCTTATTAAAATTTAGAATACAGTGCCTGAGCTACGGACAATATCACGGTCAGTTTCAATCCAGATATAAAAGATGAAGAGGCAGTGCAAGGAAAGATTTTGCAGATAGTAAAAAGGGCCAAAATAGATCAAAATTATCTTATTAACTGTTAGTACTGAGAGTTCGCAGTGAGGTAGGAGAATCAGAAAATCTCAGCAAATTTAACTTTTAAAAAGTAATGCGTATGGTGCTCCATGTTCTGAGTAGGTGGCTTGTGATTTTCCAGGAAAATCTGTTCAAGAAACAGAGCTGTTATTTGGTCATGGACACATATATTTTTTGTCTAGAAGAACATCATTATCTTTTTCATGAAGTAATTGCAGTGTTTATGTCAAACATTTATCTTATTAAGTCAACAGGATAGTTATTATATAATATTTTTCCAAATGAATAAAATGAAAAACCGAATGTTAAGTCACAGTCACATAACATTGCTGGTATATAGAATGGTTGACATGATAGGACGTTTTTGTAACTCCAAAAGAGAAATATCTATCCAAGAAGTTGCAACCCTGAGAATTTATTATATTATCTGACAAAAGTCTATCTTATGATAAGCAGTTTTTCTAGATTTGTCTAGGAATGGAGACAGAGATAAAAGTTCATGTGGTCCCAAGAGAAGGAATCAGAATTAATTGATTATTGCCAATGATTGTTTATGGGCTTGACAGTTTAAACAAAAGACTACCCCGCCAAGACACAGGTACTAATACTTACATAACTGCTGGTACCACTGAACTAATTTGATGTATTAAAACACTTTTCTCTGATCATTCAGTATTTGTTTATGACAAATCAAACTATCAAATTTATATGCAAATTACAAGTCAAATCTTAATTAAAAAAGTCTAAACTCTGAAGATTTACCTTAACAATGACAAAGCAATTTATTAAGAACTGATGTTTTTAGCTATCCAATCAACAATTTCACCTAAGAATACTGTATAGATATATATTTAATTTCTACTGAAATAAATGAATATAGTGGTTAATACTACGTAGTCACAGTTTTACTTGATTTTTAAAAAATCCAATGAAAGATGTTAATCCTGAAGTATCAAACCCCAGTGACTTTGGTAATTCTGATTCTGAATTCAGTGATTTGGAAACAAATTTAAGTAAAATATTAATAATTTCATGACACCCTCTTACTTTTTACAGAATTAGAACAGTAATACATTTATTTTATCTCTGCTTGCTCATTATTAAAGAATGTTCTTAGTATAATCTATTTTTTCTTTGCAAATGCAAGCACTGAATATTGATATTTTAAATAACATTTTCTTGTTTTTAAAAATCACATAACTTCCATGCATCTGTAACCATCTGATCTATGATTGGAAAACTTGAAAGTGAATAAATATCACTAGGATACTCTAAGAGACACATTTAATTGGCTGGGCCCAGGGTTTTTAAATTTCTATCTAGAATCCTCAGAGATTAATGAAAAAGCAATCACACTCTGCATAAAAACAGCTTTAAATGTTGGACATGGTTTAAATATTAGAGTACTTTTAAACTATACTGTGATCTACACAATTGCTTTGTTTTTCTTGAATATTTTCTTTCTTCCATTGGTTAAGAGTTTAGCATATTGTGTGCATATTTTCCTTTTCTGTTTCCCTTATGGATGAAAAAAAAAAAAATGATGGGAGCAAAGTTTTATTTAACAAAATAAGGCAATTTAACCACAAATAGGTTTTGAACTTAATTCTACAGTACATGTTTCACAACAAATTTCTTTGTATTAATGGTAGGCCATTTCACATACAGGTGGCAGAGCAAGTTTGAGGACCATTGAACACAGCTAATTTTGCTAATGTATCACAATTACAGAAACACCTGTGCTAAATAACCTTGTCCTATTTCCATGAAAATGAATAGTGTTCAATAACCCTCAAAATGTCTCATTTCATGCTGATTCATATTTTCTCTAGCCATTTTTTTCTGTGACATTGTTTCCACAATAACATTCCACATTTTTTAAAAGGCTATTGTTGTTTGTGTGTGTGTGTGTATATATATATATATATACACACACATATATATATACATACATATATACTTCTTTCATTTTTATTTTATAAGAAAACACTGTCTTGAAACTACTATCATGGATACTCTAATTTTTTTTGCCTACAAAGGGCAAAAGGATATAATTTGTTTTAAAAAGCCAATCCAAACACTGTCACTCTGCCTGTATGAGGGGGGTACATACTGTTAAATTGCACATAGAGATTATCAGTGATTAAGAATGACTTGAAATTACCCGTGTGTGGTCGTGTGCCTATAGTCCCAGCTACTCGGAAGGGTAAAGCAGGAGAATGGCTTGAACCCGGGAGGTGAAGTTTGCAGTGAGCTGAGATGGCGCCACTGCACTCCAGCCTGGCGACAGAGAGGGACTCCGTCTCAAAAAAAAAAAAAAAAAAAAAAAAGAAGACTTGAATTCCACCTTCCTGTTTTAATGTTCCAAAAGCTACTTACGCCTGATGATGTGTTAAATAGCCAAAAGTTGTAAATGGGGAGCTAACAATTTACCTTTTCACTGGGATAGTGGTATACATTTGTGCTTCTAGAATTTTTATCCACTTGACTTCATAGAAAAAAAAAAAGACCAAAAACAAAGCAAAAACCATCTGCTCTAAGAGCTTTTAATTTAAAACCAAAAACAACCATGGGATACTTAATATTAAAAGAAAATACTTAAAGCTTGTTGAACATGGGTGAAAAGTTAGTATACTATGTATTAGATATAGATATATCTACAGACAGTCATGGTGATTAAGTATAGTAAATATCCAGTTGATACTATCTAAGAGCAGCATTGACAATTATATGTGAGGAGGTCATGTTAGTATTCAAAAACAAATTCAAAAGATAAAGTATACGAAATTATCTGTACCCCTCATTATAACAGATGTGAAAAGCTTGGACAACATGCAGTAAGTACACTGTGTGCCCAACTCACAGGAGGTGCTCAAACCTGTTTAACCAACTATCTGACAGAATGAATGAATGTGTGCTGTAAGTGAACCCCTTTCTGGCATGAAGGTAATTATTTTCTATATGAGTACATCAAATCTTTATTTTGTTTTCTAAGTGTAAATAGAATTTTCTGTTTGAGTAAAATACAGTTCTTGCTTAATTTCAACATTTATCTTCTGGTACAGACATTTGCTTGGAAGCACAGTATAATTAGCTGCAGCCTTGTTATCATGATATAAGTAAGATATCAATAAGTATTCCAGGACTTTAAACCAGAATACACAAGAAAGATTTTTAAAATCTAAATTATAATATGGTAGTATGAAACATCTGTATATCCTTAAATATAACTGCTCAATATTTTTAAAGCATTTAAAGCATAAATAGATGGCAACTATTACAATTTAAGGCAAGTTCACCTGTAAGTTGATAATACAGGTAAATTTCTATACAGTTCCACAATACCAAACAAAGAAGCAACATTTAGATTTAATATGCATTTTATATAAAGTATAATGTAACACTAAAATTACAGGACTGCACTGTCTGCAAATTATTTTAACTAGCATGAAGTTATGTTAAAGACTAAATGCTAAAGGCAACTTAAGGGTGTTTTTTTATTTAAGGAAACCTAAATTTATGTTAATAAATGAATTAAATTGAAGTTAATTAAGTTGATTCAATGAAATTTTAATAGGCATATCAGTTTTTCATATCTTTGTTAAAATAACTGTACTCCTCTACAAAAGAAATTCTAAATTCACAGTAATGTTTGAGCCAAATCCTTAAAGATTTGGGGAAAAATGCAATCTAAAATCAAATACTCTGTGTTCAATGCCAAATGTACACCCCTTAATATTTTTCCCAGAAATGAGTATCTTGGAAAAGTCTTTGAACTACATAGTAAAATACACTTGAAGTAAATGTGACATTTTGTCAATAGCTTGTAAACAACATTCAATTTGACAGCACTGTGACTAACATCAGAGACTGCTCTGGACTTAAGTACTAGAAATTAGCCACCCTACAAACACAGAAAATTCTTAGAACTGGGGATTTTTTTAACAATAGTACTTGCCTAGTTTACTCCAATATGATGTTTAAATATTACTATCTCTATTCTTTGATCAAATGTTTTTCCATTAAACAAAATGTTCTCATACTTTCTGTTTTTCAACTTCCACTCTTGCAGGTGATCTATTCTTTCCTTCCTCCACCTCTGTCCCTAATTTTATTCAACACCCAGTTATAACTCTAACTGCCTGTTTCATTTTATATCCCAATTTTTTTATTTCTGCCAAGAAATACCATAATTGTGGTAAAAACCTTGCCAATGTTGCAGAGCTCTGAATCCCTTCCCTGATCATGTATTTATGCCTTCTTACTGAGATATCATGGGACTTCATCCTATTATTTTATTTACACTAGGTATATTTCAGCTTGGCTAGACCTGTTTTTTTACCTGTTTTTTTTTTTTTTTTTTTTCAATTTCAAGCTTAACAAACCCAAATGTGCTACGTTTACCAATGGACAATGGTTTCCTTTTGAACTGTGATACATATCAAGCCATGTTTCTTTTTAACTCCTTATCCTCTCTTCAGAATATTCTTGTATAGTATTGCCACAGAGTAGATGCTACATAAGTACTTTCAAATTTTTATTGCTCCTTCTTGCCATAAAGTAGCAATCACTTTTATTATTATTATTATTATTTTTACCACAATGTATATGTCCTTCTGTAATCTTGCCCTGGCATATTTGTCAAATCTTATTTCTTCTCCCATTTGTTTACACTAACAAGAAGAATAAAAGATTTTATGGCAGATGCAAAACTCATTATTCCCTTAAAAAATTATATATATATATATATACACACACACACTTGCAATTATACATATATAATGCACTATATGTATATATAATTATACTATATATTGTATGTATAATTGTATGTATAAACATATAGTGTCTGTGTGTGTATATATAATATATATTATATATATGTGTGTGTGTGTGTGTGTGTGTGTGTGTATAGATATATAATCAGTAAACAAATGTACTGGGCTGAATTGCGTCCTCCAGAAAGTCTTGTCCACCTAGATCCTAAGTTAACTTATTTGGAAACAGGGTCTCCGCAAATGCACTTAGTTAAGATGATGTCATACTATACTGGATTAATGTGGACCTTAAACCCAAAGACTGGTATCTTTGTAAGAAGGCTACATGAATACACAGTCACATAAAGCAAAGAATACCATGTTACAAGGAGGCAGAGATTGGAGTTACACTGCTTAAAGTCAAGGAATGCCAGGGATTGCTAGAAAACACCAGAAGATAAGAAAGATTTCCCCTGAAAGCCTCCTGAAGAAATCAATCATGCCATCACTTTCCTATTGAATATCTGGCCTCCTGAACTATGAAATAATACATTTCTATTGTCTTAAGCCACTGATATGATTTGGTTCTGTGTCCTCACTCAAATTTTATGTGATAATTCCCAACGTTGATAATTCCCAGTGTTGGGGGAGACACCTGGTAGAAGGGGATTGGATCATGGGGGCAGATGTTCCCCTTGCTGTTCTCATGATAGTGAGGGAGTTCTCATGATAATGAGGGAGTTCTCATGAGATCTGGTTGCTTAAAAGTGTGTAACACTTCTCCCTTCACTCTTCCTCTCCTGCCGCCATATGAAGACATGCTTGTTTCCTCTTCACCCTTCTGCCATGATTGTAAGTTTCCTGAGGTCTCCCTAGCCATGTCTTGTTATACAGCCTGTGGAACTGTGAGTCAATTAAACCTCTTTTCTTTATAACTTACTCAGTTTCAGGTAGTTCTTTATAGTAGTGTGAGAATGGACTAATACAGACACCGGGTTTGTGGTTACTTGTTATAGCAGCCTTAGGAAATTAACACAGCAGGCTAAGGGAAAAGATGAAAATTACACATAAAATGTAATTTTTCCTTTAAAATTTTTCTTTCTAAAAATTATTGCTAATAAAGGATTATCCTTCCAAGATTAATATACAAAACATATATGTAGGCCAGGACATTTTTGGAAACCTATGGCATAAACAACATAATGTGATCATTAAAATTCTAATATTGACCTGCCAAAAGAGGTATTCTTTTGTAGTCACTTAAAACTGTTAAACAGAAATAATGCATCCTATAAAAATTAATATATTTATTTATTGTTACTTGATATTTATGACATTGAAGTATTTATGTTTTAATTCTTTATTGTACAGAGTATGGTTTGTCTTACACTTTTTAAATTTTACTGCAAATTTTACATTTCTATATTATATATATAAAATATATATTATATAATATATTATTAATATATATTATATATTTCTATATTATATATAGAAATATAAATTATATATTCTATATCTAATTTATTTCTTAAGTGTAAACAACTTTGTCCTAGAAAATACTCAAAGACTTATCCATGTTGTCATAACAGCTTCTTCTATTTAATAAATATCTATTTTCATGTTTTTTTCTACAGATTATAAATAAAATCAGCATTTTAAAATTAAAATCTGTTTCAAAATATTTATTTTTTATTGTACATACGTGAAATTTCTCTTATTTTACCCTAACTTGTTGACAACTTACTTAAAAAATACATACAAGTTCCAAAAAAAAAAAAAAAAAAACTCCTTTCATGTACCAGGCACACTGATTGGAACTGACTATTCAGTATTGAACACGGCAAACAAGTCTCTTGTTATCATTAAGTTACATTCTATGCTATTATTTTTTTTCCAGTAAAGTTACTGAAATGCTTTCCAGCAATATTGAAATGTGTTCATATGATCATCTATCTAAATTTATTGTTGAAAGTGAAGAATATCAAAAGAGGGAAGTATATAATTAAATGAAAAGATTTTGTAGGTGTAAGGTGATATCTCATTGTGGCTTTCATTTACATTTCTGATGACTAGTGATGTTCGGAACGTTTTCATATACCCCCTGGTCATTTGTATATATTCTTTTGAGAAGTGTCTATTCAAGTCTATGGTGGTTTTAAAATTTCTTGAGTGAAATATAATGCTTACAGCATTTCTTCATGTAACTGACTTATTTTCAAAGATCATATCCAGTAAGTCGGATATCAAGTAAAGTGATTTTTGTAATCATCCATAGAATGGTCGTCTTGTTGCTAGTTATTGTCAGACTTTCAGCCTTAGATAATTTTACATAAATGTGATAGAGACATGGGAAAATACTCCACTAAATCCCTATGTATCAAAACACACAGTTCCCCAGACACACACAAAGGGACAGGGAAAGAGTAAATGAAGTTTTCCTCTGTTAGGAGGCTAACAGACACAAAATCATTGATTTATATGCTGGACATATATAACCATGGACCTCTGCAAATAATTATTGTAGGAGAGATTATGCTATTTTTCAGGCTTTAAAAGAAAAATAATTATGACTGACATTTTATTCCAGAAACACGTTTGCTAAAATCAAATAAAACTCATACAGATTAGATCAAGCTTAGCCTTTCTTAAGTGCAAAATTTTCAAATGATGTTCTTCTGCTAAAATTCTGAAATATTTAAGAAATGGATCACAGATATCTGTGTCTTCTCTGACTGGTTTGGTAACATTATTTGTTTATTTTGTTTTTGTTTGTTTTTCTTTTTGATTCATTTGTTTTTAGTTGACAAATAAAACATGTATATGTTTATTGTGTACCAACATGTTATTTTGAAAGGTGCATACATTGTGGAATGGCCAAATGGAATGAATTAACATATGCATTACTTCACATACTCATCTTTTTGTGGTGAGAACACTTACAATCTACATTCTTAGCAATTTTCAAGAATATGATGTATTGTTATTAATTAGTTCACTTTGTTATGAATGGATCTCTTCAACTTATTACTCCTATATAACTCAAATTTTGTATCCTTTAACCAATATCACTCTAACTACCCTTCCCCAACCCCCTGGTAACAACCAGCCTTACTCTCTACTTGTATGACTTCAGCATTTTTAGATTCCACATTTGAGTTAGATGATGTAGAGTTTGCCTTTCTGTGTCTGGCTTATTCTACTTTACCTAATGTCCTCTAGGTTCACAAATAAGATTTCTCTTTCTTTAAAGGCTGAATAGTATTTCATTGTATATTATACACCATATTTTGTCTTTTCATTCATCCGTTAATAGGCACAGGTTCATTCAATGTCTTGGCTATTGTAAATTACATTGCAATTAACATTGAAAGGCAGGTATCTCTTTGACAACCTGTTTTTATTTCCTTTTGATATATAACCACGAGTGAAATTGCTAAATCACAATGTAGTTCTATTGTTAATTTTTAGAGGAATTCTCATACTGTTTTTCATAATGGTTTACATTCCTACCGATAGTTGGTCAGGTTCCCTTTTCTCCACATCTTCACCTACACTTGTTATCCATTGTCTTTTTGACAACAGCCATCCTAACAGGTGTAAGGTGATATCTCATTGTGGCTTTCTTTTACATTTCTGATGAGTAGTGATGTTTGGAAGTTTTTCATATACCCCCTGGTCATTTGTATATCTTCTTTTGAGAAGTGTCTATTCAAGTCTATGGCCCAGTTTTTAATCATTTTGTTGTTGTTGTTGTTTGTTTGTTTGTTTTATTGATCGAATTGTTTGAGTTTTTATATATTTTGGATATTAGCCACTTTTCAGATATGTGGATTGCAAGTATTTTCTCCCATTTTGTAGACTATCTCTTCATTCTTGATTTTTTCTTTGGCTGCACAGGAGCTTTTTGATGTAATTGCATATGTCCATTTTTGCTTTTGCTGCCTGTGGTTTAGAGGTTTTATTCAAAAAAGCATTGCCCAAACCAATGTTATGAAAATTTCCCCTATGTTTTCTTCTAGTAATTTTACAGTTTCGTGTCTTACATTTAATGCTTTGAGTTGATTTTTGTATATAGCGTGAAATAAGTGTCTGACTTCATTCCTCCGTATATGGATATACAGTTGTCCCAACACCATTAGGTTTGGTAACATTTGACTGTACATTTTGAATGTGTGCGAAAAATTCTCCCCCGCCCCACTTTTTTTTAAAAGACATGTTTTTATAAAGGGAGTAAGACATTGATTCAAGGGCACAGTCTACACTGTCTATCAAGTATGCCCTTCCTCTGCTAGTTTTCCTCTTAAGAATTCTAACATTTGGGAACACATACCTGTCTACATCTGCTCACAGCAGTGAAGGAAATGGCTATTTGAAGTTGTTTTGGGTCTACAGGTGATCTGAAAGACAACAATAAAACAATAAATTACATTTGAAATAAAATAATACAATAAAACAAACAAATCAAACAGTAAACTACTTTCAAACTGTTATTTTCTCTCCCTTTTTGCAGTCTGCAAGAATCATAACAGAGGTAGCCTGTTCACTCCCTAAGCACAGTGTCAAACTATTCTATCTCAGTTATTCAGTACAAGAAACTCATTCTAACATGCTGTTGGCAAGATGTCAAAAAATAAGCAAATGTTGACTGAATATTTTATTTACACTGCTGATAAAAATAGTATTATTTTGGCAGACAGTTGTGCTAAGCACCTGCCACTCTTTCTTTCCTCTGTCGTTATTTTTGAAAAGTCATACTTCAAAATGCATTGTTACAATAATAATTCCCCTTGTATATGCTAGTAGCTATATTTTTATAAACTAAACTCAAATTTTAGGACTTTTCATATCAAGCCTGGTAAAAAGAGTAAGGCTCATTGCTCATTAATCTTTTTAAACACAATAATTCAAAACTGCTTGATTTTAATACACTTATCCTTTTTGAACATACACTTCATCAATTTCCATGAAAAGAGACCATTAACATGTCATGCATATGGAATATTATTGCTAAAAGAAATGATCCTGAAGGAAAAAGAGAAGTATCTGAATAGTATTAGGCATATTTATTTCAGTGAATGTACATAATCATAATATGTCACTTAAGAAATCATCTGTTTGAATATTACCAGTTAGGGTTAATTAGGATAACAACCCATGTAAAGCATCCGTTTACCATTACTATTACAAAATTATAAACAGTTCAATTTAAAGTGACTTTCTTAAGCATATCTTTTTTATATAAAGGTAATATAATTTTGTAAAGGAAGTAAATTTGAAAACTATGTATAATTTTCTTTTCACAGAATTGTAACAAAAAAGTGAAGACATTATTTTAAAACTTTTCCGAACATGTTTATCTCCTTAAGATTTGTGCAAGTGTATGTATATTTAACGTTATTTTCAACCATTGCTCCACACAAGGTAAATTTGTTTTTTTACAAGTGTAGACATTGCTTTTAATGGTTTCAAAGAGGAATATAAATGCTTTTAAATTTCTATTTTACCAAAAATCTCACTTTCTAAACTTGACACAGCATAGTTTTTCACAAAAACTGGGAAAAGATAAGTAAAGTGTCTCTAGGTAGTTCACTTCTAATGTTTTATCACAGAAAAATAACATGCTAAAAGCAGTACAATTATAAGTTTATCAGCATTAGGTTTTCAAAGTCCTCTTTCTGAATATTTGGACAATTTACTATGATGTGATCAAGTTCCTTTTGCTTTACTTTCTAAAGTATAACAAGTCTACCTTTCTAGACATGAAACTTATCAGATATACCATTAATTGAACATATTGGACTGAAGTTATTTTTGTACTAGAACCTCAGTTATAATTATAAAAAAAATCTGTAATTCACAAATTTTTACACGTCAAAGATTTTCTGCGTAGCTTTGTGTTTCAGTGATTGGAGTTCCAGATAAGAAAAGTATTTTTAGTATTGCTCAGAGACAGGTGGAACACTGAGGTATCAAAGTAGAGAAAAGTAAGAGACAATTTGGCCTTCTAAGAGAAGCTCCATTAGCAACATATTACACATTGGTATAGGAACATGCAGTTATACTTAATGACCCAAAAGACTGATTACATGCAGCATTACTGAAAATGATGTATATAAAATACATAATATGCAATTGAGATTAAGGCTTGGCCAAGGCTAGATTTGGACGAATGTGACATTATCAAAAAAAAAATTGACAACGCCGTTTCCAGAATTAACTTCAAATCAGATGCCTTTCAAATGGAAGATGTAGTCTCTTTGTTTAGATGGCTATGTGAACTTATCAGAGTCTAACATGCTTAATAGCCGCACAGATGCCAAATTGACTTTATATAATAAGACGTATGTTTAATTCATACTTTTATTTAACAACAAATTGAGTATTTTCTTATATAATTGGTACAGACATTGTAAGTAAATAAATATAAATGCTAGAAAGTTTTTATTTATTTATTTATTTATTTATTAAGATGGAATCTCACCCTGTCACCCAGGCTGGAGTGCAGTGGCATGATCTTGGCTCACTGCAACCTCCGCCTCCCAAGTTCAAATGATTCTCCCACCTCAGCCTCCCTAGTAGCTGGGATTACAGGTGTGCACCACCACCACACCTGGCTAGTTTTGGCTAAGTTTGTTTTTTTTTTTTTTTTTTGTAGAGATGGGTTTTCGCCATGTTGGCCATGCTGGTCTTGAACTCCTGAGTTCAGGTGATCTGCCTGCCTCGGCCTCCCAAAATGCTGGGATTACAGGCGTGAGCCACAGCGCCCGGCCAGAAAGTTGTTTCTAAATTCAATGAGAAGCTCATAATTTAGATAATGGTAGGATTAAGCCCTAAACAGAATATGATAATAGTAAAGACTATAACATAATATAGCATATAACATAACACAGTAGAATACAACATAATGTAACACAAATAATGTAATTTAATGTACGTAACATCTGTAGTATATACAAAGTACTATAGGGAAGATTTTTATTCAGGTCAATATGCTGATGTAAATAATAACTAGTTGAGATACAGGTACTAACATCAACAGAATTTGATGAATTTCTTCATAAATAATGTGATTTCTCCATATATATATCCTGCTTTAGAACTTCTTGGATATTGCAGGAAACTTTCTAAATGGACATTCTCTATACTTTTTATACAGGACATCAGTTAACTTGAGTTATTTTACCCTAATTGTCTGTTATTGAGTGGCTGTAGGGATGAGTCAGGGAGTGACATCATTTGGATGGTTGTCCTCTCCAAATGTTATGTTAAAATGTGACCTCCAGTGTTGGAGATGGGGCCTCGTAAGAGGTATTGGTTTATGGGGGCAGATCCCTCGTGAATGGCTTAACGCCGTCCTCTTGGTGATGAGTGAATTCTCCCTCAGTTAGTTCACCTGGTTGTTTAAAAGAGTCTAGGACCTCCCTCTTTTCTTTCCTGCTCCCTTTCTAGGTATGTGATGTGTCTGATCTTGCTTTGCCTTCTTCCAGTACTGTAGCTTCTCAAGGCCCCTACCAGAAAGAGATGCTGGTGCCATGCTTCCTTTACAGCTTGCAGAACCAGGAGCCAATCAAACCTCTTTTCTTTGTAAATTACTCAGCCTCAGGTATTTCCTTATAGAAATGCAAGACCAGACTAACATGGGAAGTTTTTCACAACGTTCAGTGGTGATGGCACAATATAAGATGTTGTCTCAGCTGAGCATCTTTATTAAAAATGCCCAGGGCATCTTTATTTCTGTTACTTTTCCAGGATCTTGACAAGTGTTGAATTCAAAATCACTGATTAAAGAATTCTAGTTATCCATATTTTTTTAAAAAAGCTGTATCTTTTTTTTTCTTAGAGAAAGGCTACAATAAGCCTGTTCAAATATATTAAGTAAATACATTCTGTGGTAATTTTGTTACTTTTTAATAATTAAAATTAATTGTTATTTTACAATTTGTGCATGATTGCATTCAGTAGATGAAAACTGTCTTTTCTTGAAAAATAGTAAATAATTTACTGCTACCTTTTTTTTACATTTTCTGATTAAAATTCTATGTTTAAAAGTTAGGTTATCAGATAAAAGAAATAGTGATGTGATCATTTCAGTGTACTCTGTTAACAATAAGCAATGAAATAGCAAAATTATAGTTTGTTTAGGGTGAGTAGAAAATTGTGGAAAATTAGTACTCACCAAAAGCTTTGAAACTCTGACTTTTAAACTAATTATGCTATAGATTTCCCATGTATTGTTTCAGATGTCATAATTCAAATGTATTATTATAGTATCACAAGAGTACTACCATGGAAAATTTTATTTCCTATCTCCACCTGGAAGTCTGACAGGGATCTCAAACCCTATGTATCAGAATTTAACATACTCACCACCACTCCGCCAAATCTGTTTCTCCTAGACTTCTCTAACTCAGTAAGTGACACATCCATCCTTCCAGTATCTCAAGCCTAAGGTCTCTCAGCCATTCTTAACGGTTGTAATTTCCTAATATTCACATGCACTCCTTCAGTACATTCTTTTGCCGAAATTATATACAATGAATATTTGACTACATCTCACCACCGCTAATGTTCAATGTTACAACCTTCACCCAGACTCATTACCTTTTCTCTGAATTACTAAATCTTCTAACAGATATTCCTACTTCTACTTCTATTCTTGCCTTCATCTGTTTATTCTACAGATGGCAGCCACAGTAATACATATAAAATTTAAGTCATATTGCGACACTACTCTGCCCCAAATATTTCAACAAGGTAATCTTTCACAATAAAGACTGAGTTCCTTATAACTCTTACCCTAAAGTAGTCAGCTCCGTTATGTTTCTTTTTGTTTTTGTTTGTGCATTTTGGGTTGAATTTTCTGTGTTGCTCCCTTTGATTTACTCTTCTCTATTAGCACTGTCATCCTTGTTCCATAAACACGGTGGACATGATTCCACCTCAGGTTCCTTGTATTTGAAGTTGTTCTGCCTATGTTACCTCTGATATTCCCAAACTTCTTAAGAGAGATGCTTTTTAAAAAAATCTTTATTCTCTCATTTCAAAATAACAAATCAAGTGCCCACTCTGTGTTAGATGTTATATTAATTCTTAGGAATTCAGAGTGGTACCATCCACATCCTAAAAAATTCCAGGCTCTTATAGAAAAAAAGTCATTCTCATGAAACAACACAAAGGGATTCTGTGTTATTTTCTATGCTACTAATTATATGTGAACTTCAAATATTTGTCAGGATACAGGAATTCCTCAGCACCTTCTCGTTGCTCATAGGCTATTTACTCTTTGAGGTCATTTGTGTCTAATTCCATTTTAAATTGCAACAACATACCTTCATTTCAACCAATACTAACAACCTTTATTTATCTTTCCTGCTTTATTTTCCTCATTTAGTACCCTACAACCTACTATGCATTTTATTAATTATGCTTCAAATTTTAATGTATTTGTTTACTTTCTCTTTTCCCATTGGAGCATGGATTTACAAGGGCAGATATTTTTGTTTAGTTTTTGTTGTCATAATGTTGTTTTTCACCGTCAAGAACAGTACCTAACAAACGTAGCTGCTCAAAACGTAACCCACACACCCACACACACCTTTGTTGAATAAGTGACTAGCTATTTTAGACTTTGTTTATTAAGTCATCTCCAACACTCTCACTCTTCTCAGTAGCATTTTGTTAAACCAGTAGGCACCCTCAGAAGTTAAGGCGGACCCATTCTTTCAAGGGCAAATGTAAATTTTAGGGCTGGTCATTAGCCTGAAAGGACTAATTGTTATTTCACCAAATATATATATATATATATATATTTCACCAATGTTATTTCATTATATATATTATATATGTTATTTCACCAAATATGTATTATATAATATATATTATATAAAATACATACTATATATAATATAAATTATACATAATTTATATCTTATAATATAAATTATATATAATTTATATCTTATGATGTAAATTATATATAATTTATAATAATTTATATCTTATAATATAAATTATATATAATTTATAATAATTTATATCTTATGATATAAATTATATATAATTTATATCTTATGATATAAATTATATATAATTTATATCTTATGATATAAATTATATATTTTATATCTTATGATATAAATTATATATTTTATATCTTATGATATAAATTATATATTTTATATCTTATATATTATATATTTTATATCTTATGATATATATTATATATAATTTATATCTTATGATATATATTATATATAATTTATATTTTATGATATATATTATATATAATTTATATTATAATATATAAATTATATATAATTTATATTTTATATATAAATTTTATACACAATTTATATTTTATATATAATTTTATACACAATTTATATTTTATATATAAATTTTATACATAATTTATATTTTATATATAAATTATTTATATAATTTATATTTTATATATAAATTATTTATATAATTTATATTTTATATATAAATTATATTGTATATAATTTATATTGTATATAATTTATGTAATATATATATATAATTTATGTAAGATATATAATATAAATTATATAATATAAATTATATATATAATATAAATTATATATAATATATATATATAGCCCTAAAACACCCACAATTCCTGCTGTCCCATGCTAACAGTTGATTCTGTCCCAGCTATGTATGTCCTCCAATTTGAAGTTCCTCACTTTAAAAACTGTATTGCCTGACAAATATTTGAAGTTCACATATAATTAGCAGCATAGAAAATAACACAGAATCCCTTTGTGTTGTTTCATGAGAGTGAGACTTTTTTCTATAAGAGTTAGGAATTTTGAGGATGTGGATGGTACCACCCTGAATTCCTAAGACTTAATATAATATCTAACGCGGAGAGGGCACTTGATTTGTTATTTTGAATTGAGACAATAAAGATTTTTTAAAAAGCATCTCTCTTAAGAAGTTTGGGAATTATGAAATCATGCTGACTAACTTAAAATTGTATAGCCTATGTAAAAATAATACCTTTATAAAAGATTAAATATTTAGGTGTGATAATAGTAATATATCAGTGCAAATTAATTATTTAAAGAATTTTATTTAGGAACTATTTATCTCTATATTTCATGGGATTTATTCATTTTACTAGTAATCCAGATAAAGTCAGTTTAATCACTTTGTTTTAATTTAGATGTCAAATTACTGACTTTAATCAAAATGATCTTACCTATTAGTAAAATAGCAATAACGGTAGACCATAAGAGGCATAAAAAAATCTGACAAAACCCTCACTATTGGGTGAAAATAAATGTAGGCATTCTACAGTAATTTTTAACCCTAAGTCAGATCTTTAATTGCATGTACTATAAAGTATTAATTATTTCTAGCAAAAATGAAAATAAAACAATCCACAACATAAAATTGTAAGAAAGATTTACTTGAACAGATTGCAAATTTTTTTCTGCTCCTCTCCTTCCTCTCACCTTCCACCCTCAAGTTTTACGCCCCAGTGTCTGTTGTTTCCCTCTTTGCGTGCATGAGTTCTCATCATTTAACTCCCATTTATAAGTGAGAACATTCTGTATTTGATATTCTGTTCCTGCATTATTTTGCTAAAGATAATGGCCTACAGCTGCATTCATATTCCCACAAAAGACATGACCTAATTCTTTGTTATGGCTGCAAAATATTTCATAGTGCACAATGTACCACATTTTCTTTACTCAATCTAATATTGATGGGCATTTATGTTGATTCTGAGAAGTGAAGCCAGCTGGACTTCCTGGGTCCAGTGGGGACTTGGAGAACTTTTCTGTCTAGCTAAAGGATTGTAAACGCACCAATCAGCACTCTGTAAAAACACACGAATCAGCGCTCTGTGTCTAGCTAAAGGATTGTAAATGCACCAATCAGCACTCTGTAAAAATGCACCATTTAGCACTCTGTGTCTAGCTAAAGGATTGTAAATGCACTAATCAGCGCTCTGTAAAAAAGCACCAATCAGTGCTCTGTGTCTAGCTAAAGGATTGTAAACACACCAATCAACACTCTGTAAAATGGATCAATCATCACTCTGTAAAATGGACCAGTCAGCTCTCTGTAAAATGGACCAATTAGCAGGATGTGGGTGGGGCCAAATAAGGGAATAAAAGCTGGCCACGTGTGCCAGCAGTGGCAACCTGCTTGGGTACCCTTCCGCGCTGTGGAAGCTTTGTTCTTTCGCTCTTCACAGTAAATCTTGCTACTCTTTGGGTCCGCATTACCTTCATGAGCTGTAATACTCACCACGAGAGTCTGCAGCTTCATTCCTGAAGTCAGCGAGACCACGAACCCACCTGGAGGAACAAACAACTCTGGATGCGCCGCCTTTAAGAGCTGTAACACTCACTGCAAAGGTCTGCAGCTTCAGTCTTGAAGTTAGTGAGACGAACAACCCACTAGAAGGAATAAATTCCGGACGCAATTCCATGTCTTTGCTCTGAAATGGAATGTGTGTTCATGGGATGAACACATTCCATGTACAATGAACACACACATGCATGTCTTTATAGTAGGATGATTTATATTCCTCTGAGTATATACTCAGAAATGGGATAGCTGGGTTGAATGGTAGTTCTATTTTTGCTCTTTGAGGAATTGCCATATTGCTTTTCAAAATGGTTGAACTAATTTATACTCACACCAACAGTATTTAAGAGTTCACTTTTCTCTACAACTTTGCCAGCATCTGTTACTCTTTTACTTTTTAATAATAGCAATTATGACTGTTGTGAGATGGTATCTCACTGTGGTTCTGGCTTGCACTTCTCTAATGATCAGTGATATTAGCTTTTATTCACATGTTTTTTGGCCACATGTGTGCCTTCTTTTGAAAAATATCTGTTCATGTCCTTTGCCTACTTTTTAAAGTGGTTGGTTGTTTTTCTCTTGTACATTTGGTTACATTCCTTATAGATGCTGGATGTTAGACCTTTGTCAGATGCATAGTGTACAAATATTTTTTCTCATTTTGTAGGTTGTCTATTTACTCTATTTTAGTTTCTTTTGCTGTGCAGAAGCTGTAAAGACTAATTAGACCCCATCTGTCAATTTTTGCTTTTGTCGTGATTTCTTTTGGTGTCTGTCATGAAATCTTTGCCAGTTCCTATGACCAGAATGGTAATGTCTAGGCTATCTTCCAAGGTTTTTATACTTTTGGGTTTTACATTTGAATTTTTAATACATCTTGAGTTGACTTTTGTATATGGTATAAGGAAAGGGTCCAGTTTCAATCTTCTGCTTATAACTAGACAGTTATCCTAGCACCATTTATTGAATAGGGTTTCTTTTCCCAATTGATTGTTTTTGTATTGAAGGAACAAAACAAATAAGGCAATAGAAAGAAACAAACAGCATCCAAATAAAAAGGGCAGAAAGTCAAACCATCCCTATTTGCAGATGACGTGATTCTATGTCTAGAAAACTCTAGTCTCATAGTTCTCTCATTCTGTAGGTTGTCTGTTTACTCTTTGATAGTTTCTTCCACTGTGCAGAAGCTTTTAGTTTAATTAGATCTGATTTGTCAATTTTTGCTTTTGTTGTGATTGTTTTTGGTGTCATTGTCATGAAATCTTTGCCTGTTCCTTGTCCAGAATAATATTGCCTAGGTTATTTTCCAGGGTTTTTACAATTTTAGGATTTACATTCAAGTCTTTAATCCATTTTGAGTTGATTACAGCTAACAGGAACGTGAAAATTTTCTACAATGAGAATTAAAACAGTGCTCAAAGAAATCAGAGATGATACAAACAAATGGAAAAATATTTTATGCTCATGGATGGGAAGAATCAGTATTGTTAAAATGGCTATACTGCCCAAAGCAATGTAAGAGTCATTCTTTACATTGCTTTGGGAAGTTCTTATTAAACTACCAATAACATTATTTATCTAACTAGAAAAAAACTATTTTAAAATTCAATTCTCAAATAAATCAGAGATGACATATAGGAAGAGAGAAAGTCAAATATCAGATGGTTGTAGGTGTGTGGCTTTATTTCTGGGCTTTCTATTCTGTTCTATTGGCCTATGTGTCTGTTTTTGTACCAGCATCATGCTGTTTTGGTTACTGCAGCCCTGTAGTATAGTTGGAAATTGGGTAGTGTGATGCCTCCAGACTTGTTCTTTTTGCTTAGGATTGTTGTGGCACAATCTCAGCTCACTGCCACCTCTGCTGCTGGGTTCAAGCGATTCTCCTGCCTCAGCCTCCTGAGTAGCTAGGATTACAGGCATGTGCCACCATGCCCAGCTAATTTTTGCATTTTTAGTAGAGACAGGGTTTCACCATATTGGCCAGGCTGGTCTCGAACTCCTGACCTCAAGTAATCCACCCATCTCGGCCTCCCAAAGTGCTGGGATTTAAAAAACAGGCCATTCCTTAGCTACACCAGCTGGAGTTTTTACTTGTTTAAATGATTATTTACTTGGAAAGCTTTGTATATTTAGGGTTTTTTTTTTAATTTCTAAATTTATGCAGAAAGAAGTATAGCTTCCCTTTACTATTCTCATACACATTTGAGGGTGGATTTCAATTGGCTTTATATTTACTGTATTAGCCCGTTTTTACACTACTGATAAAGACATTCACAAGACTGGGAAGAAAAAGAAGTTTAATTGGACATACAGTTCCACATGGCTGGGGAGGCCTCAGAATCATGGCAGGAGGAAAAAGGCACTTCTTACATGGCACTGACAGGATAAGAATGAGGAAGAAGCAACAGCAGAAACCTCTGATAAACCTATCAGATCGCATGAGACTTATTCACTCTCACGAGAATAACACGAGACAGGAAAGACAGACTCCCATGATTGAATTACCTCCTCCTGGGTCCCTCCCACAACATGGGGGAATTCAGGGAGATACAATTTGAGTTGAGATTTGGGTAGAGACACACCCAAACCATATCAATTACCAAGTGTGGTAATAATAGCATTGACCAATGTTCTCCTCCTGAAGTCTTAAAATGAAAATTCTTAGTATTGGTTGGTAAAACTATTAGTGTAAACAGCTTTCCCCAGTCATTTTTTTTTTCTCCTGACTGCAGATCTCATCTGACAAACCCATTTCACTCTTGATTCAAATTATTTTCATAGAATATTCTATGCTTCCTCTGGTATCACCAAAATACTTTAAAATAATAACTGGACATAAATATTCAATCATTATTTTGAAGTGTGTTAATAGCTTAGTTATAAATTGCACATGAAGTTATTTGGTAACGTACCTCACATCCACGTTTTTATAAAATAATCTCCAATGTGTAATTAGTAAACTGTACAGATAAAAACATGCTAAACAAATTGAGAAATCTAATTACAAATTATTCTTCACTTAAAAAGTTAATTCCAGATTTGGAGAGACCTGAAGATTATAAAATCTGTAGATATATTTAATAAGAAAAATAATATCAAATTCACTCAATAAATAAATACTGATCTATATCAATAAAATAAATCACAACAAATTTTAAAATTAAATAAAAGCTGAGAGCTAAACCTCACAACATTCAGAAAAATGTTATTATCATTATGATTATAATTAGGATTATATATTTGTTTACAATGGTAAGAACCACATCATACCTACTCAGTTATCAAATTTTTAAGGATCTAGTACCATATAGTTAACTAAATACACAACATAGATCAAAATTGAGGATATCGTGCTGAGTGAAATACGCCACTCATAGAAGGGCAACAACCACATGATGCCACTTATTTGAGGTATATAAAGTAGTGAAATTTAAAGAAGCAGAGTATAATAGTGGTTGCCAGGGGCTGGGATAAGAAGAAAAGGTTTTCAGTCATGTAAAAATGTTTTTTAAAATTTTAGGGCCTGGCTAATTCAGTTCATAGAGCATGAGACTCTTCAAAAAAGTTTTAGGATTACCATTTTGAATTAACTGCTTGATATTTTGTTTTCTACATTTTTTAGCTGATATTCTTGTTTCTTCATGTGACACAAACTTTGTAAATTGCTTTCTGTAGTGAGAATGGAAATGTAATTGTATTTTTTTCTAGCATGATTGCTTGGTTTTGTAAAAAAATTAATCAATGTGGACAATATGGTTTAGAAGAGTCTCTTTCAACTTTATAAGCCCTTATAACAAAACTACATGGTAGGTTCCTCAATAACTTCTTGCTCAGACTTTTCTCCATGTCCTGGGGATTGCTTTCTGGAAACTCCAGCCTTTGTACATACCTAGGCATAGTCCCTGAGACCACTGTGAAGCAGTTTGTTCAGCTGCAGCAGGTCCTTGAGGTATCTGCTGAGTCCTGAGGTGTCCCTCAGTAGGCAGCGCCAGGTGGCCATGATCATGTACTAATTACTTCCAGGCATGATTTTTTTTTTCCACTTATTTTCCGTAGAAGCAAAGGTAGAGTTGGGATGCTGAATGAGATCCACTAGGGGCAGGACTTTTCTGGGGATCTGCTGAGTAACAAGCTACTTACTTAACCCACACACCAGGAACATCCACAGGTCACAGAGGATGACTTCCAGGCAGAATACCATGCTTCCACTCTATGATTCTACATATAATGCTAGGTCTACTACTTTTCTCTTAACACGTCTAAATGTTTAAATCTGTCCAAGAGCTATATGGACCAATGCAAAATAATTAGCTGTTACAAAGGAGCCTATATTGTTAAGTCTCATTGTATGAAGAGAGACACTCACACATGGAGGAGACATGAAAATCTTAATTTTCCATAGAAATTGCTTCAAGTCTTTTAACCTGGCATATGTCTCTGTTTCTAGGATTTTGATTTCTGACTCCTATTCATATTTATTTTAAAACCCTTTTCCACTCTTGCTGTTTATTGTAAAAGAAGCCAATGGATGTACAGATTAATAAAAATAGTTTCAACTTAATTAATTACCTCAGATAATACTTTAGATTGATCCACACTGAAGATGTTACTAAAAGGATAAATAGGTAGTGTAATGAAGAGATGGAAATAAGTACAAAGAAAGCTGGTTCCAGTAGGGCAGTTTTGGTTAATTCATTTTCTAAAACATCAGAAGAGTTTATTTTATGTCTAAATAAGTTCATATTGATGGAACAATTGGATTATCTACCTGTAACTGTCACATCTTCTCATATATAAATCAACAAAAACATATTGACACTTTGTGACTTCATATTCTCAGAAAATATAAACTTAAAAACTAAACTTTTCTTTATGAACATTTTGGCTTTTTTCCTAAAATCTTTTTATATTAAAATGATTACCCCAATAGCATATCCCCTAGTACATTTCACTTAGATGCATGAAATACAGGATGCCTTAAAGTACTTCAACAGTCTTGGCTTGCATTTGTAAAATATTATTGTAATGTTTAAAGTTACCGTATTGATGAGACACAAATCAATATGGTCTTGGAGACTAATTATCTTTTTTTTTTCTGTGTGTGTGTGTGTGTATATTCATGGCTCACAGAGCTTGCCCAACTGGACCGAGACAGTCTATGTGGGAAACCTAATATAACCATTGCTGGAGCAGCCAGATCTTTCCAAAGGTACTTAGTGTGCAGACCTTAACCCTCTTGAATATAATCCTTGGGCTTGAAGATCAATTGATAAATTTCTTATTACTTTGGAAAACTAAATGTTCCCTAGCCCTTATTAAGCTAACCCATAAATAAATATGTAAGACAAAAGGAAGTTTGGATTCACTCTCTCCACACATTTTTAGTGCCATGCAAAGCCAAGCCAGTATATCCAGAAAGGCTCATTCCTGATAGAATCTTGGCTGGTGAGAATACAGACAGCTCTGTACAGCTTATACCATTTAAATATGAAAACGCAAGAAACAGTAGTTATGCTATATCTTCCCCTTTAAGTTTTTTCTCCCAAAATCCTACATTTACTTTAATTATCCAAGGCTTGCTATATGTGTTTATGACACCTTTGCATGATGAATATAGAATCTATGTAATGTTTGCCTTAGAAATATTTTCCTCCTAATGCATATATAAACTCTTGAATATTTGTGAATAAAAGCAAACGTGAAAAGTTCAAAACTACTTAAAATATTCACTGAAAAGGGAAAATTGTTTGCCTTGGTGAATTAATAGCACAGCTAGATTTGCTGTCAACTTTCATGACTATAAACACAGAAAACTTCTCTTTTTTTCCTTAGTTTTCTTCTATTTACCAATGCTGACACTGCTGGCAGATGAATTCTAAAAATTTGATTAACTGTGTTCATAATAAATTTATACTTAGTGTGTGTTTGTTCATTTATTAAATATTTATGTAACAGTTGGTATTTTTTAGGTATTTTTAAAGATGATCAATCAAAAAGAAATCCCCTGACAAAAGGGAAAAATTAAATATGACACACATGCATATTATGGTGCATTTCCTAAATTGATCAAGTATATTAGATAAATATTGTGGCATGCTGGCAGCGGAATTCCTATTCATAAATGATTTTATATGCATTGCTTGTTTATATATATTTCTGCCATTGTTTATATATATTTCTGCCATGGTGTATATTCTACAACTGAGTGAAATTTGATTTTTACTTCTTTCTTCATTTTAAGTCAAATTTACTAAGGTACAACTTATATTGAAAAAATACTGCTGATGTTCAGTTTCAGCTCCAACATGTAAAGAGCCTGGAAGCTGACACATGGGTTCTTACAAAACATTTCATTTGGGACAACAAAACGCTTAATGAAATCAATGGCTTTTCTTATATTCATCAGGTAACACATTGCACGGCAAATTGCCACCATGGACTCTGACAAGACACGTGAATCTAGAGAATCACAGCCAAATTCTGATTTTCTGGAGTAGAAGCTGTGGGAGCCATAAACTGATATAAACACTTAAATGGTAATTTTGATGAATTCCTAGGAGCTGAGTGTAAACTACCTTGGAGTTACACATTTCTTAGCTGCAGTGTTAGGGGAATGACCATGCTTTCAAGAGGTTTACCGCTAGGCATTTCACCATATTCTCATATTTAAGATCCAAGAAAGATCCCCTCATGTGGCTCAGTTTTTGTATACAACAGCAGTACAAGATTTGTGAAATAAGTAATAGATAAGTTGGATTTCATTAAAATTACAAACTTTTGCTCTGCAAAATGCAGTGCTAAAAGAATTAAAAGACAAGCCTTAGCATGAGAGGTAATACTTGCAAAACACATATCTGAAAGCACAGTTGGATCCAAAATGAACAAAGAACTTTAAAATCTAACATTAAGAAAAGAAACAACACAATTAAAAATAGTCAAATTTCTGAACAGATATTTCACCAAAGGAGATGTACACCTGGCAAATAAGCATATGAAAGACGTTCAACATCATCTTGTTACGCGAATATAAATGAACACCACAATGATATACCACTACACACCTATTAAAAGGACCAAAAAAAAAAAAAAATACTGGCAATATCAATTGCTGGTGAGAATACAGAGCTAAGGGAACTCTCATTCATTACTGGTCATACTGCAAAATGGTATAACTACCTTTTTTTTTTTTTTTTGAAATGGAGTCTTACTCTTTCGCCAGGCTGGAGTGCAGCGGCGTGATCTTGGCTCACTGAAACCTCGAACTTCCTGGTTCGAGCTATTCTCCTGCCTCAGCCTCACGAGTAGCTGGGATTACAGACACGTGCCACCATGCCCTGCTAATTTTTGTATTTTTTTAGTAGAGATGGGGTTTCACCATGTTGGCCAGGATGGTCTCGATCTCCTTGGCAGTTTCTTAGAAAGCTAAACATAAATTTTCCATTCAGCAATCACAGTTCTAGTTAACTTATCTAATGGCTTCATATAAATATAGATAGTTACACACACATGTATTCATATATATTTTTGTATACACAATTTAGTATACAAGCATGTATTCCTTTGTTCTGTCAGCTTAGAGGGACTAGAAACAACTATATCCTGATAGCAAAAATCTTACCTAGTGTTCAAATCTTGATTTCTCATTCTCCAACCAAAGGAACTAGGACGTTTAGGAAAAAATAGTTAATTATAGGACTGAGGCAGAAAATAGACAAGATGAGCCTGGAATCTCTTATAGTTCTAGAGAAAAAGAAATGGGTCAAAAATATGATGGGGGCACGTTAGAGGGACAAGTGTGATCTGAAAGGACTCCCAAGGAGCTGAGCCAAAGCTGGAACAATTTTAGCAGCAAAATAAATAAAATGATATTGGGTCATGGTCCCAAATCTAAAATAAATATCCATGAGTCTATGTTGTTATAAATAAATTATCGAACAAATAAATAAATAGATGAAAAGACAAATCTCATGTCAGAAAATTGTCAAGTAGTTTTTGTAGCTACTCTAAGAAGGTGGAGGATAATTCCCCTTGCTTGAATGTGAATTTACTTAGGGGTTTGCTGCCAAGGGGGTTACAGGAGTAAATTTACAGTGGAGTAATCTAACAAATACTACCTCAGCTAGTTTCTCAATGATAGCAGAAACAGTAAAGCCACATTGCTAGTGTGTACACTTGATGTGATGTGATTAAAATGGAATTTTACTTCTTTAGTCTTTTTACCAAATACATATAATTCCAGATTAATCATATGAAAAACAGCAGGCATATATTGTAAATGTAGATATATTTACAAAATGGCTGATCAGTCCTCCTCAAAACTACCAAGGTTACCAAAAACAAAGAAACTATGAGAAACTGTCATAGCCAAGACTGTCTTAAAGAAACCTCATTACTAAATGTAATATGGCACCCCATGTAGGTTCCTGCAACAGAAAAAGGGCAGTAGGTAAAAACTAAGGAAACTTGGACCAAGTATGAATTTTAGTTGATACTAATATATACTTACAGGTTTATCAATTAGAACAAATTTACCTTATTCATAGAAGATGTTAATAACAGGAACTGGGTATATAGAAATTCTCTGGGCTACCTTAACAATTTTCCTGTTAATCTAAAACTATTCTAAATAAATAGTTTATTTTTTTACATGCAACCATCAGAGTGTACAGATAATAATTTTGAGAAATAAATACTTCATGTGCAAGTGGTTGAGTTAGTTACATAATATATCCATAAACCTACAAAATTATCTTGGGGTTTTTTATAGAGCTACAGAAAACCGCATTCATTGCTGGTGGTAAGGCAAAATGTTATAATTACTTTGAAGACTGTGTGGCAGTTCCTTACAAAGCTAAAAATGTGTTTACTGTTCAGCAATCATAGTTCTATTTATCTAATTGCTTTGTATAAATACAGATGAATGTATATATATATAGATGTATTTATAGACATGTGTATATACACAGGGTAGTATATAAATATGTATTCCTTATCTCTGTCAGCTTAAAGGGACCAGAAGCAACTATATCCTGATTGCAAAAATCTTACCTACTATTCGAACCTTGGTTTCTCATTCTCCAACAAAAGGAAATTAAATGCAACAATCTAAGTGTACAGGCAATAATTTCGAAAAATTCATACCCTGTGTACAAGTGCTCAAGTTAGTTATATAAAATTTCTATTAACCTAGAAAGTTCTCTTCTGGTCTTTTAAGGAGGTATAGAAGCTAAGATCACTACTGATCTTATTTCCACTAGTGGGGATCAATTTTTGACAGATTTTAAATATCCTATTAAAGGAGTAATATATATGTAGTTTTATCGTTTCTCCCCTTTCACACACACATACACACAAATAAAAATAAAGAAAAATTTTCAAAATGTATTAATTTTGCTGCACATATGCATTTTACCCCCAACCCCCGAGTTGGATTCCCTTTAATGGATATGTGACCATAAGTTTATCTATTTATCTCTTGATAGGAATTTGGATTCTGCCCAGTTTTTAACTATTCTCAATAAAGTCACTAAAATATTTAGTCAGAAGTTTTCATGTGGACATATGTTTACATATATCTGGTGTAAATACCTAGGAGTGGAATAGCTAGGCCATATGGTATGTGTATATACACTGCCAAACTGTTTTCCAAAATAGTTCCTTCCAGACATATGAGAGTTCCAATTGCTCCAGTACTTACCAACATTTGGCCTGTGTCTTTATTTTTGTTATTTTAGCCATTCCAATATGTGTAAAGCATTTTATTTTCAAAGTGGTTTTTCACTGTGACATGTGTCTGGTGAGAAAAGATATTGAACATATTTTTACATGTTCACTGGTCATTCCTACATCTTCTTTAGTAAAGTGTCTTTTTCTGCATTTTGTGCATTACTTATTGGGTTCTTTCTCTTCTCAGATACTGAGCTATAAAACTTCTTTATTTGTTCTGAATACAAATTTTATGCCAGGTATGTATTTTGATATTTCCCTTCAGTCAGTGCTTTGGCTTTAAAATGTGTTAAACTTAGAAAAGCCCAGGACCTGATGACTTCACTGCTAAATTCTACCACATATTGAAAAAAGAAATAATGCTAAGTCTTTTCAAACACTCCCACAAAATATTAAAAGGAGAGAATGCTTCCAAACTCATTTCATGAGGACATTATCCAAAACCAAAGAAAGACACACAAATAAAGAAAACTACAGTCCAAATCTTTACTGAACATAGAGGTAATAATCTTCAACAAAATGCTACCACACTACATTCAACAGCAGATTAAAAAGATTATTCATATTTGAACCGGGAGGCGGAGGTTGCAGTGAGCCAAGATTGCGCCATTGCACTCCAGCCTGGATGACAAGAGCAAAGCTCTGTCTTAAAAAAAAAAAAAAAAAGGAAACGAATATCATTCATTCACCATGATCAAGTGGGATGGTGAAACACATGCAAAACAATAAACGTGATACATCACATTAACAACATAAAGAAACAGAGACTATATAATCCTTTCTTTTCCTTCCTTCTCCCCTCCCCTCCTACCCCTCCTTTTCCTTTTTCCTTTCCTTTCCTTTTTCCTTTTCTTTTTCTTTTCTCTTTTTCTTTTTCTTTCTCTCTTCTTGACAGAATCTCCCTCTTTCACCCAAGCTGGAATGCAGTAGTGGTATCCTGGCTCACTACAACCCTGGCCTCCTGGGTTCAAGTGATTCTCCTGCCTCAGCCTCCCCAGTAGCTTGGATCACAGGTGGGCAATACCACACCTGGTTCATTTTTTGTGTATATATATATATATAAATTTTTTTTTTTTTTTTTTTTTTTTTTAGTAGAGAATGGGCTTTGCCATGTTGCCCAGGCTGGTCTCGAACTCCTGAGCTCAGGAAATCCCCCCACCTCGGTCTCCCAAAGTGTTAGGACTACAGGTGTGAGCCACTGCGCTCGGTCTAATCCTTTCTTTAGATGCACAGAAAGCATTTGACAAAATTCAACACCTGGCAGGGCACAGTGGCTCATATCTGTAATCCCAGCACTTTAGAGGCCAAGGAGGGCAGATCACCTCAGGACAGGAGCTCGAGACCAGCCTGGCTAACATGGCGAAACCCCATCCCTACTAAAAATACAAAAATTAGCCGGGCGTGTTGGCACGTGCCTGTAATCCCAACTACTCTGGAGGCTGAGGTGGGAGAATTGCTTGAACCCGGGAGGTGAAGGTTGCAGTAAACCGAGATCGCGCCACTGCACTTCCATGATTAAAACTCTCAACATTAGGTATAAAAAAGTACCTTACCATAATAACAGCTCTATATGACAAAATCAGTTAACATTACACTTAATATGGAAAAAATAGAAAACTTTTATTTATTTATTTATTTCTCAGCAAGACAAGGAAGCCCACTCTTGCCAATTCTATTTAACATGATAGTGAAAGTCCCAGCCAGAGGAATTAGTCAAGATAAATATTGTAAATGAGGAGTATAAATTGCTCATGTTTGTTGCGGATTACACGGTCATGTTATGTGTGCATACACACACACACTCATATATATATTTAAAACCCACAACTTCTGCCAAAAAGTCTTAGAACTAATAAACAATTTCAATAAAGTGGCAGGGAGCAAATAGAAATTCAGAAATTAGTAGTGTTTCTATACACTGACACCAAACTCTTTGAAGAAGAAATTAAGAAAGCAATACCATTTATAATAGCTACAAAAAATAAAATGAAATACCTAAGAATAGATTTAATGAAGGAGGTGAAAGATTTCTATACTGACAACTATAAAAAAATTGATGAATAAATTGCAGAAGACACAAATAGATGGAAATACATCTCATATTCATGAATCAGAATAATTAATATTCTTAAAATGTTAAAATTCTTAAAGTGTCTACAGACTCAATGCACTCCGTATTCAAAGACTCATAACAATCTTCACAGAAATAGAAAATATATTCATAAAATTTATATGAAATCACAGAATACCCCAGATAGCCAACATAATCTTGAATAGAAAGAACAAAGCTGGAGTGATCACATCATCTGACCTCAAAATATACTGCAAAGCTATAGTAGCCAAAACAGAATGGGACTGGCCTAAAAACAGACACAGGATAATGGAACAGAATGGAAATCTTATATATAAATTCACACATTTAGAGCCAACTAATTTTTGACAAAGATGCCAAGAACACAAGTAAAAGAGAAGTCTCCAATAAATTGTACAGGGAAAACTAGATATCCAAATGCAGATGAATGAAATTATACCCATATCTCACACTATATACTAAAATTAACTAAAAAAATTAAAGACTTAAATGTAAGACCTGAAACTATGAAACTAATAGAAGAAAACAGTGGAAAACCTTCAGGATATTACCTGGGCAGTCATTTTTTTGGATATACCCCAAAAAACACCAGCAATGAAAGCAAAAATATCCAAATGGGATTACATCAAATAAAATGTTTCTGCACAGCAAAAGAAGCAATGAACAAAGTAAAGAGACAGCCCACAGAACCGGAGAAAATATTTGCAAACTATATATCGAATGAGAGGTTAATATTCAAATTATATAAGAAACTCACATAACTCAGGAAGAAAACAAATAACCTGAATAAAATGTAGACATTTCTCCATTTAACAACTGAGTGGAAGTTTCTCAAAAGACAACATACAAGTGGCCAACGAATATATGAAAAATTACTCAACATCACTAGTCATCAGGTAAATGCAAATCAAAACCACAAAGAGCTATCACCTCACACCTGTTAGAATGGCTACCAGGTGTGTTATCAAAAACGACCAAAGGTAACAATGGTTGGCAAGGATGTGGAGAAAAGGGAATCCTTGCACATTGTTGGTAGGAATGTATATTAGTATAGCCACATGGAAAAATTATGGGAAACAGTATGGAGGTTCTTCATAAATGTAAAAGCAGAACTGAGCATATATTTCAGGAAATCAACTAAGCATATATTTCTATCAGCATTTTGTTATATTTTCTCTATATCTATTTTCATGCCAACAGCATGCTTTCTTGATTACTGTAATTGCATCTTAGTTCTTAAAACCAGGTGGTGTAAGTCAACCAGATTGTTCTTATTTTTTTCAAAATAGATTTTATCCAGTATAGGTGAACTGGCATTTTCAAACAGATTTTAGTTCAATACATGTATTTCCATGAAAACATCCTGCAAGCATTTTGATTAGGATTGTGTTTAAAATATAGGAGAATTTGTCTAACAATGTTATTTAAATATCTTGAGTCAATTAATCCTTGAATAGGATGTATCTTTCCACATACTTATTCCTTCTTAATTTTACTCAGTGATATCTCTTATGGTTTGTTAAATTTATGTTTATTTCATAATATTTAAATGACATATTTTAAAATTTGATTTCCCACATATTTGTCACTACTCTATTGAGAGAAAAAGTCATGTACCATACTGTTTTTGTATTCTGGGCTTTGCTAAATCAACATATTGATGGTAAATTTTTTTGTGTGGAATTACTGGAATTTTCAGTTATAGTTTAATGATATCTGTGAATTAAGACAATTTTACTTTCTTCTTTTATACCATTATTCATTTTCTATCTTTTTTTTTTTAACGTTATTCCAGTGGCCAAGACCCCTAATAGCATGTTGAGTGAAAGTTGTGCAGTGCTGAAAGTGTATATTTTTTCTTTGTTCCTTTTTTGTGTAGAAAAACGTTCCATTTTTAAGCATGAAATGGCCTGTCAAATGCAAGTGCGTATGTGAATGTGTGTGTGCAGTCAACACATTCATGGTATTATTGTTCTTATTATTAGGCTGAAAATGATCCCGGTTAGCTATGTTCCATTTTGTCACTTAAATTTTCTGCTTCTATTGAAATTACCAAACTTATATTTTTACATCATTATTCTGTTATTATGCTGGCTTGCATTGATTTTTTTCTTTTACTCATTTTTATTGAAGTATAATTTGCATTCAGCAAATTTATCCTAAAATGTGTACAGTTCTTTTATTTTTGATGAATTATTATAGTTATCTAACGACCAATGCAGTCAAAGATAAAACAATTATATTACTCAAAATACTCTCTCATGCTTTTCAATGTTATTTCTCTTGCTTTCTCCCCATTCTCCCCATCTCCCTATCTCAAAGTCCTGGCAAATACTACTGTATTTCTGTTGCTATAACCTTTTTTTTAGGGATATCAATTAAAGGTAAGCATATAGTATTTAGCCATTGAGTCTGGCAGCTTTTACTCAGCATAATGCATTTATGATTCACCTATGTTGCTGAGTTTCACAAGAAGGTTTTAAAAATACATATTTTTTTATTGCTAAACAGTAGTCTCCGTAAATGAATGTGCCAGAGTTTATTTATCCATTTACTAGTAAGATAATTGACGATTATGGCTAGTTCTTTGCACTTATGAATAAATTTTCTATAAACATTGGCATAGAGTTTTCTTTGTATGTACTTAGATTCTTCTCTGTTTTGGGCATATACCTAGGGTTCTAACTGCTGGGTTGTATAAAATGTGTTTTCCTAATTTTCTAGGAAACTACAAAACTATTTTCCAAAGACTCTGTATCTTTTTGAATTTCAATCAGCATTGTTTAAAATTTCCAGATGCTAGGCATGCTTGCCAGCACATGGTACCATCAGGTTTTAAAATGTTGTTTGTTTTTTAATTTCTCCTAATAAGTGCATAGTAGTATTTCACTGTGATTTCATTTGTTATTTCCGTAATTACTTATGATATTGGGGACTTTGTGTGCTTCTTTGCTATTCATGTTTATACATTAAAGGAAATGTTTGAAACTTTTTTTAGATACAACTCATCATATATTTATTTTGCAAATATTTTTATCCTGTATGTTCATTGACTTTCCATTATCTTAAATTATCTCTTGAATTGCAGAAGTTTTAATATTGATGAAGTTCAATTTTTAACACTTTTCTTGTGTGGGTCGTCATTTTTATGTCATATCTAAATTTGTGTCTAATTCAAGCTTATAAGAATTTTTTGCTATAATGTCTGCTAGAATTTTCAGGGATTTAGGTTTTATCTTAAGGTCTGTGATTCATTATTGAGTTAATTTTTGCATGTGGTGAAACTATAGGTTAAGATGGGGTTTTGTGGTTGTTTTTGGCATGTGAATATCAAATGTTTTAGCACAGTGGCTGAAGAGACTATCCATTCTCAATAAGGCATTTATTTGGAATACATTTTAGTCTGCCCAAATGAAGTATTTGTGCTTACTTTGGTTATTATTAATGATGTTTTTCTACTTTGTATTATTGCATTTTTATTTTGAAAAGTCCCCTTTTGACAAACAACCTTTATATGTAAAATATAAAAAGTTTACCAGATGCTGAAGAAATACAAGGATACCTGAATTTTTAAGCAACAAAATCCTGTATTTATCCCAATTAACACACTGTAACCCTTATTTTCTCTTTCTATTGTTATCTTGATATTGCTTTATTAACCAGAATTATCAAAGAGCTTTTTATTTACAGCTTCTTTGAAAGCCGTTTTAAAGCTTCTGCTGTTTAGAATAGTCCACAAATGAATTAGCTGTGCAATTTGGAAAATAATAATGAAAATTAGCAGTAGTTTAGCTTTTTTAACCAAAACATGTACAACAAATAGCATTTCTAAGCACATAAAGAAATTATACTATATGGATATTGAGAGTATGCATTTGTCAGTGAGGATTCTGTGTTCTTAAATATATCTGACCAGATATTCTGTGTTCTTAAATATATCTGACCAGATAATTATGTAGTATAATGATTTTGACTGTGATTTATATTTAAGTATAAGTTCCTAAATAGCTATGTGATTATAATCAGTTATAAATGGCTATAGTTATAAGTTCTTGATATAAAATAACTATTAAAACAAACACAATTACATGTAAATACATTCTGAAGAGTGTGGGGTTATGTAAGAAAAATTCAGTCACACAAAACAAAGAAAATACTCAGAAACTTTTAATAATACAATCTGGTTTCCAATATATTTAGGAACCATTATAAAAAGGGAATTGTACTTCCTGTGCTGTTTTCAGTTCTAAATCATAAATCATTCTCCTAAAATGGTTTAAAAAATCACCTGTTACAGTAGATATAAGTAAAAGAAGATATAGAGTGAGGTTTTGTCAATAGTCCAGAAATTAAATCTAAGCTCCCAATCTGAACAGAAAAAGAAGGCTGAATGCTTCATATCCTAAATTCAGAAATCAGTGGAAAGTAATGGCTAGCACCTTTCTCCAGAGATTATTCTGAGTAGTCAATTCAGAGAATTCTCTATCAACAACGTATTCATTTCCAGGACACCTAGCATATATAAAGTGAAGACTGGGAGAGAATAAGCTAATTTGGGGGAGTTCAGTGATTATGGACAACATTTTATTGGGTATTTTGTTGGTCTTCTTTTTAAAAAGCAGACTTGCAGACCTGTACAACGTTAAAACCAGGGCAGAGGGAAAGAGAAATGCAGGCGATGGCATAGTTGGGCTGTCATATGGAGGATATTAAAGACGGAACTACCACAATTTCCCACTTTAGGAAAAATATAGAATTTGGCTCTTATACATGCCTGTAGATGTGATAGTACAGAAGGTTGATGAAGTGGTGCTATAGATTTGGGTAGAGAGCAAATTTATGAGACAAAAAGGTGCATTTGTAAGAAGAATGTGGTATGGTACCAATGATTGGTGGGCAGGCAGATGATGTGTTCATACCTTATCAGGGACAAGGGAAGCCTCTTATTGCTTCACAGGAGACAATTCATTATTAGTGAGTCATGTTAGACTGACCATATGATATGTCATGAATTTAAAAAATCAATAAAAAGTAGAAGTTTTGATACAAAAAAGAGCAATGCCTCTGCAGTTGTGGACCTTGCAATTTGCAAAGGCATTTTGCATGTTGTAAGCATATAATCCTTTGAAGTTCTAAGGATGGTCTCTGGCAGGCATGATTCTGTGGTGGCCCCTAAACTTCCTGCTCCTTTGTGGGCACACATTGCATAGTCCCCTCCTACCCCTTGAGTGTGAGTAGAACCTATGAATATAATGGGATATCACTTGTGTGATTAGGTTATTAATTCGTTGACTTTGAATTAGTCAAAAGGAAAACTATCCTGGGTGGTCCTGGCCTAATAAGAGGAGGCATTATAATATCTCAGAAAGATTTGAATCAGGAAAAAGATTCTCATTTAGTTCTTTAGGTAGAAAACTATCAAACGGCAGAAGAAGGTGGTTAAATAACATGTAATGGTTGTAGGCCCAAAGGGAATCTGGGAGCTGAGATTGGGTTCCACTTAAAAAGTGGCAAGAAAGCAAAAACTTCAATCCTACATACAACTTATAGGAACCAAATTCTGATAATTTTCAGTAAGTTTGTACAAAGACTTCAAGCCTCAGAAAAGATGACAATCTTGGCTGATACCTTGATTTCAGCCTGGTGTGACCCTGTGCAGAGAACCACCATGTTGTGCCAGGACTTAAGGCATACAGAAATGTTGAATAAATTGGTATGTTTTAAAACTGCTTAGTGTGTGGTACTTTTCTATGCAGCAACACAGTAGTAAGAATTAATGTAGTGGCAAGGCAAGGTGGCTCACACCTGTAATCCCAGCACTTTGGGAGGCAGAGGAGGACGGATGACTTCAGGTCAGGAGTTTGAGACCACTCACGGCCAAAACAGTGAAACCCCATCTCTACTAAAAAAAAAAAAAAAAAAAGCTGGGTGTGGTAGTGTGTGCTTGTAACTCCAGCTACTCGGGAGATTGAGGCAGGAAAATCGCTTGAACCCAGGAGGTGGAAGTTGCAGTGAGCCAAGATCACGCCACTGCACTCCAGCCTGGGTGACAGAGTGAGACTCTGTCTCAAAATTAAAAAAAAAAAATCAATGAATTAATTCATGTAGTAACTACAAAGTAGCTTTGATTAAAGTGTCAAATGATTTAGTAGAAAAAGTAGATAACAAGCATGAATCAATGAGGAATTTCAGTAAAGCTGGACCTTATGGAAAGAATAATTTGGAAAAAAATGGAAAATATAAATTAAGAAGGTATTTAATAGAATCACTAGATTTGATAGATGAGGGGAAAATCAGCCAACTTGAAGATAAAGCACTAGTACTTATCCAAATGGAACATAAAGAGTAAATAGAGTAAAAAATAAAAACAAAATAGAGCATCCACTAGATGGTAGGGAAAGGTTTATAGAGCAGTACTAAATGGTGCCAATATACATGTGATATGAGTTCCAATAGGAAAAGAAACAGGATATAGGGTTCAAGTTATATTTGAAGACACTATTGCTAAGAATATTTGAAATAAACAAAAACACAAAAGAACACTCTCAGAAAATCAGGAGGTTAAGTAAAAATAAAACACAACTAGGCACACCATAGTGAAAATATGGAAAAACAATACTAAGGCCTATTTGGGCTGCTGTAACAGCAAATCATAGACTGGGTGGTTTACAAACAACAGAAATTTATTTCTCATGATTCCAGAGGCTTGGAAGATCAAGGCACTGAAAGAGTCAGTGTCAAGTTAGAACCTGCTTCCTGGTCTGTAGAGGGTTGTCTTTTCACTGTAACTTCATATGGCAGAAGGTGATAGGGAAATTCTCTGTGGACTCTTTTATAAAAACACTGATTTCATTAGGGCTCCACCATCATGATTTAAGCAACTTTTCAAAGGTGCCAACTTCAAATACCATCACATTTAAATTATGTTTTTAACCTACTAATTTTGGAGAGACACAAACATTGTCTATAGAAATCTTAAAATCACCTAGTGTAGTCTGCCCTCTTGAATTTCTAAGGTTCATTTTCTTCCTAATGGCAAAATACACTTACTTCCTTCAGTACATTTTGTTTCATTACCAGGTCAAATCTAACTAAAGTACTATCATCTAAATCTAATTATATCATCTCATTAGCTCAAAGTCCAAAATAGTCCCTAAATCTCATAAGCTTACAGTTTCAAATTTTACAGTTTAAATCTTCTAAATCAGGTGCACATAGATATAAATCACTTAGTGCAGGTCCTGGGGTCATATTTTCTCTCAATCACTTTTCTGGACATGTGCATGTAAAGAGACAACTTATTTTCCCTAACACCAATAGACATTCGTGGACAAGCACAGGATAACAGTTATGTGCATCTGGTTAAAAATGAATGAATAAGAACGGCAGATAAAGATGACATCCTTAGCTGGTACCTTGATTTCAGCACTGCACAGAGAACTATTATGTCATGCCAGGACTTGTACATACCCTGGGACACTGACCCAAAACAGTTTTGAAATACTATTAGAAAAATGTTTGATTCTTCTTAAGTTTCTTGATTAAGTTTCTTCTTTATTAAAGCCTGAAAATGATCTCCCATGATTCTTGGCTCTACTCTCTAGGGTCTTGTATCTGCTCTCTAAGCTACATTTTCTTTTCAGTGAAAAGTTGCAAATATTTGCAGGTGAGCCATTTTATCAGTCGTTTTATACCAACCTGACTCCTGACAGTATATTATTGGATGTTCAAAGGCCCCTTCTCATTTTGTACTTTATTGATCCCTTTCAGCGAAAGCTAGTAGTCCTTTGCTTACAAAATCTTCTAACAATCTTACAGACTTCACTTGAGTTTTATTGGTTTTGTCTCCAATTAGACAAAAGGCACATTCATAAATCTTTTATGATAACCTCTTCTCTATATTTTGCTCCCACTTTAAAGCTTTCTAAAGTTTCTTCATTTTGCTTAAGAATATTTCTGAAGGCCGGGCGCGGTGGCTCACGGCTGTAATCCCAGGACTTTGGTAGGCCAAGGTGGGTGGATCACGAGGTCAGGAGATCGAGACCATCCTGGCTAACATGGTGAAACCCAGTCTCTACTTAAAAAAAAAAAAAAAAAAAATTAGCCGGGCGTGGTGGCGGGCGCCTGCAGTCCCAGCTACTTGGGAGGCTGAAGCAGGAGAATGGCGGCGTGAACCCGGGAGGCGGAGCTTGCAGTGAGCGGAGATCACACCACTGCACTCCAACCTGGACGACAGAGCGAGGTTCCATCTCAAAAAAAAAAAAAAAAAAAAAAAAAATTTCTGAAGCACACCTGTAAGTCCTGTAAGTCTTAAAAATACTCTTTGTGTGAATTTATACTCTGGACTTTGGCTCACAGATTTTCTATACTGTAACATAAAGAATAAGATGGATCACATTAGATTCCTTGAGAGGAGGAGATAGAGCTGAGAATCTGGCTAGAATAAGGCAACTAGAGTTCACAGGACTAAGTACTAGAGTTAGGAACGTTAAATATAGAAATTTTTAAAGATCTGCAGAGCATCTCCACTGTGTATTTGTATTGCTAGTCAGTAGGAGTTTAATGGCGGGAAACTACCTGAGATTGAGGAAAGGATCACCTGAAAGACCTGAAAGGAAGAGAGGTAACTTTCTCTCTCTCTCTGTTTTTTGTTTGTTTGTTTGTTTGTTTGTTTGTTTTGAGACAGAGTCTTGCTCTGTCGCCCAAGTTGGAGTGCAATGGCGTGATCTCGGCTCACTGCAACCTCCGCCTCCCAGGTTCAAGTGGTTCTCCTTCCTCAGCCTTCTGAGTAGCTGGAATTACATGCGCTCGCTACCACACCCGACTAATTTTTGTATTTTTAGTAGAGACGGGGTTTTTCCATGTTGGTCAGGCTGGTCTCGAACTCCTGACCTCATGACCCACCTACCTCAGCCTCTTAAAGTGCTGGGATTACAGGTGTGAGCCACCACACTTGGCCTAGAGGTGCCTTTTCTAAAAGTCATAATGAAAAAATCTCAAAATTCATTGAGCATTGCCTAGATTTTACAGAAGTGTTCTGTTCCGATACAGGGGAATAATTGTCTTTAGATATACCATTGATCTGGTGCTTCTTAAAATATCTTAAAAGCAAGGTCTATGTGGATTAAAATATTTCAAAATAACTTAAATGTATTCCAAAACTAGGAGAAAATTCAGTCAATCTAAACTTACAAAGACCTATCACACATCTTAGAATTGGTCAAAACAACAAATAAACAATTTCATGTATTTCATGTATTTAAAAGTGAAGTAGAGACATAGAAGGTATAAAAAATACTAAAGTTGAACTTTTAGACTTTAAAGCTACCACATCTGAAATAAAAAGATACACTAGACAGGATTAATGGCATATTAGATGTTACAGAAGAAAAAAATAGTGAACCTGAAGATTTAGCAATAGAAAATATTCAAAATAAAACACAGAGAAAAATAAAATAAAGACAGGAAGAGTGCCTTAGCCAGCTGTGGGATGATTCCAAACCACATAATGTTTACGTAATTTGAGTCTCTGATAAAGAGGAGAAAGATGTAGGTACAGAAAACAATTGTTCTTAATGGCTTAAAGTTTCCAAATTTGATAAAAATGCAAGTCCAGATGTTACATGAAAGGGGTATGAATCCAGACCTCAAGAGAAGGTTCTTGGATCTCGCACAAGAAAGAATTCAGGGCGAGTCCGCAGTGCAAAGCAAAGCAAGTTTATTAAGAAAGTAAAGTGGTGAAAGGGCAGCTACTCCATAGACAGAGTAGGACATTCCCAAAAGTAAGAGGAGGGATGCATCCACCCTAGGTACAATGCGTATATATGTGGAGAGATGTGCTCTGCTACAAGGGTTTGTGATAGAGGATTAATTTTCTCAATTACTATATTTTGTAAGAATTGATATTATTACCTTTAAAGCAAAATTAGGAATGACTTTTTTCTCCAGATATTGGGATATCTAGACACTCTCAAGTCTGGGTCGGTTAAGTAAACATTATTAATGTGTTCCATTAACTGTAAACATCTAGAGGCTAGGAATGCCTAACATTCTGGGAATGCAGCCCAGCAAGTCCCAGCCTCATTTTCCTAGCCCTCACTCAAAATGGAGTCACTGTGGTTCCAATGCCTCTGACACAGAGATCTAAATATATAAAAAATTAAAGCACAAGAAACGTGAAAAAAACTACAGCAAAGTATATCACAATCAATCTTTTCAAAACTTGTAATAAAACTTAAATCTTAAAATTAGCCAGAGAGAAAAAAGAGAAGCACAAATAAAGGGAATGGCAGATATTTCAGTGAAAATATCTAGGTTTTCATAATAAAATCTTTACTTAAAAAAAAACAACTATAGAATACAATTCTATTACCATAAATACATATATTTTAAACACAAAACTCTTCATAGCTAAAGTAGGTTCCATTTAGACAAAATTTAGTTAGGTCTTCACCCATTATTTTTATCCAGTATGATAATTTCTGTCTTTAGTGAACTGTGAAAATAATTTAAATTAATGTAGTTATTCATATGGCTAATTTTAATTTATCATTCTATTTGTTTTCTATTGATATCATCTATTTTTTGTCCTTTCCTCCCCATTTTAGGTTCTATTTTCTTCTTTTAAGTAAAAAAAAAAAGTTAAATAATTACATTTTTATCTACTTTGACTTATTGATTACAGAACTATTTTGTTTTAGAGGTTGCTCTAGGGCTTAAAGAAATTAAAGGAGACAAAAATAAGTGTAATATATCCCATGTACATAGATTGGAATAATTAATATTGTTAAAATATTCATGATATTCAAAGTGATCCACATATTCAAGCCATTCTCAATCAAAATCCCAATAACATTTTTCATAGATATAATACAAACAATCATAAAATTAGTATGTAACCACAAAAGACCCCAAATAGTCAAAGCGATTTTGAGACAGAAGAAGAAAGCTGGAGACATCTTATCCCCTGATTTCAAACTATTACAAAGCTATAGTAATCATAACAGTATGGTTCTAGCATAAAAACTGACACGTAGACCAATGAAGCACAACAGAGAGCCCAGAAATTAACACACAGGTATATGGTCAACTAATCTTTAACAAGGGCACCTACAGTAACCAATGGGGAAAGGAAAGCCTCCTCAATAAGTGGTGCTGAAAAAACTGGATATCTATATGCAAAAAAAAAAAAAAAATGAAATTATATCCTTGTTTTATACCAAATGTAAAAATTAACTGGAAGCCCTCTTTAGTTTGATTGACAAGGAGCGAATTAGCCTTTCCTAGAAGTTTGTAGAAATTATGAGGGAATCTTCTAAAGTTTCCTAATTTGTGCATATTTAATATTAAATGGCATTTGGCATGGAACTTCATATATTTGTATATTTTAAAAATTATAATTGTATTACAGATGTTAATTTTAATTTGCAGTCAAATGTATATTTTTCACCTGTCATTAATTACTCTTGTAAATAATTTTAATAGTAGAATAGGAGCCTCTCATGAAGCGATTTATATCATGTAAATATTTTTGCTGTTGTTATAGCCTCCCAAAAAAGAAAACTGTATTTTTTCCTAAAATATTACAGAAATAAAAATAAATGCTGAAAAATATACAATATATACACACTTTTATACTAAAACCTAATGAAAATATATAAATTAAGAGATGAGCCATAAATATAAAGAGACTAAGAATTAAAGAAGCTAATTCATTGAATATTATATATCTGCTTTTACAAGACAATATTGATGTTTGCCAAAATTTTAAGATTTCAAAGATAGTTGAAAGCCTTATGATAAATTATATTTTAGAATATATATATAATAAATATAGCTTTAAAATTTATCTTTTTTACAATAGCAATACTACTCAACTATCAAAGAGGTCAGTGAGATCATGAATATACTTAGAATAGAAAATGTTTATAATCTAATCTTCTTAGGAAAGAATGGTCAAAAATCTAAAGAGATGTAAGCAATATCAATACAAATTTCTATAGTTTGTCAAGATATTTTTAAATAACAATGTCTATTTAATTAGCCTGTTATTAATTTTATGTGCTATTCTTATTTTTTAAGTGAAATATTCCAAATAATAAACACATGTGTTATACTTCTCACACAATAATCTATTCTCTGTAAATGCCTGTATGTCATGCGTTCTTCTCCACATTCTCAGGAATTTTCTGTGTATGTTCATGGTTAACAAGCATTACACCAAAAATACTTTTCTACAATTTAGTTTTCATTTTTATATTTTAAACTTTAGACTACTTTTAAGCTACTTCACTTAAAAGACAATATATTTTATATGTCAATTAAGCTATTTTTATTTAATTGGGCTCTATTTATGAATAGTTGTTGCCAGTTTGAGGCCTAATAATATAATGCAATCCATGTTGTTGATCATTGATATTTGCAGTCAGCTGCTTGCAAAATATTCTAGAAATAATTTTGCTATTATGAAATTAAGACTCATAAAATTATGACTTACCAAATTTTATTCCCCTCAAATACAAGTACTGATACCAGTAGTTATGACAGTCTGTTTCACCAAAACATGCAATCCACATGAGACTTTTAAAACTTTATAAACACTCTTACATGTTCTTAGTGACGTTTTATATTTCTTCATGTAGAGGTTTCTACTTATATGATCTCTTGTTCTATTATATATTTATATGTTAATTGGTTTATAATGTTTATTCATTTATTGGCGTTTGTAAGAGTACCTTGATTGTAGGAAATAAACTGTATTATATAACTGCAACAAATAACTCTAATCTTGAATTTTATATTTTGACCTCTTTTTGACATTTCCTGCTATAAATTAATTTCTTTGTAGCCAATTTGTAAAATATTTTCTTTATGTCTTTCATATTATTTATTACATTTCATAGGCCTTCTCTCTAGCACCATTTTTGAAATTTTTCAATTTAATTTATGTAATACTATAACTTCATTTTTATTATTACGCATTAAAATTATTGATCCACTTAGGAAACTTTTTGTCCAGAAAAATTAAAATCAGAATCTAGCCTTTAAGAAAAAAAAAAAGATTTCCTGTCGGCAATTTACTGAATTACCTCTCTTTCCCCATATAAAATGTCAAATGCTTTGTTTGTATTTACTAAATTTCCATGTGTATTTTTGGTCAGGAGTAGAATTTGTTTTCATTTATTAGACTTCTGACTATACCTGATTTGTCCTAAACACTTTTATTATAGCAGTTTTATAGTAGTTTGATATCCTACCATGATATAATTTGAACATTTTGCCAATATGAATCAAAACTTCTTTTTCTTTACTAGATATTAATTATTTAATTTATCTTTTTAAAATAGAGGAACTTTTCAGGTAATCAAAAAGTCTTACAGTAAACTAATTCCTTGTATTTTCTCTGTGTAATTGTTTCCTGAAACAATTTAAGTAACAATGATTTCACATACTAGATTTGGAAGGCTGCTTTTGTTACTTCAAACCACTGAAGATAATAAACTTTTTTCTTCCTGTCTTAATTTTCTCCATGTCTTCAGTTCTGTGCTTCCCACTTTGAGTAGGGAAAGACATGAAAGATTTTACTGGTTACAAAGTGGCTTATTTATCTCAGCTGGAGGAAGGATGATTGGCAGTGTTGAGACTCCATTTTATCTCACTTTATTTGAAATGGTTCAATAGACAAGTTCATCTCTATTCTTTATTGGCAACAGTAAATGTCGATAAGCAAAATAGTTGACACTTAGATATTTTATTTTAGCTGAAGTCTTTCAGGCACAGGTGAAGCAAATATAAACTCCTCCAAAAAGTTCTGCACATCCCACTTCTGGTAGAGAGCGACATGGAAGATTTACAGATCATGTTGAAATTTTATAGAAGTGTAGAAATTGCTGCCATTTTATTCCCATGAGAAAGAAAATCTTACAACCTGTGATATCAAAAGGCTTTTACCACCTTTCCTCCACACTGCAAAAATATGGGACTGGCAGAAGAGTCCCATTTCTCAAGATTTCTCAGAAATTGCCTAAATTTTTATATAGGCAATAAAAAATGCCTAAATTTCAGAATTTTTTATTTCTAAAATATTTACATTTCACTAGAGTTTTTTGATTAATTTTAAACACGTATTTTTCACACATACAGAAAATTGTCTCCACTATTTTTAAATTTGTACTTGATTCTTTTCTTTTCATAATTGCGGTTTTCACAACTTCTAGAAGAATGTTAAATAAGAATGATATTAGGTATGTCAAGTTAGATTATTTTGCTGTGGTGACAAATGACAAATCTTCTTACATTCTTGTCTATCTCAGTTTAGCTGAAGAGCCTCTCTATTTCTGTTGTAGCCCGGGACCAAGGACACAGGTGTAGCCTTTGTTTGAGTAAAATTGGTCTCCTAGCAGATGGAAAATTAGAGTATCTGAGACATAGGATAATTATCAAACTAGATTCTACTTGGAAATGACACAGTCATTTCCACTCACACTTCATTGAACAAACATGTTATGTGGCCAAGTGGGTAGGAAGGGACCTGGTAAAAAGGGGATGCAAATATTTTGAACAACAAAACAAGGGACATATCATTCTTGCTTTTATATTTAATGAAAGTATTGTGCATATTTTAACATTAAGGATCCTTCAGTCTCAATCTCTCTCTCTCTCTCTTTCACACACAAACACACAAACACACACACACATACACACCCCCCACACAAGTATAATCTAATTACATACATAGAGTAAAATAAAAATAAGGCTATACATACAAATACACACATGCATTTATACATATATATCATGTGAAAGGTATATATATCATGTGAAACATATATATCATATATATCACGTGAGAGATATATCCATCCATTCATTCATTATTAAGAGTTTTGATTTTTTAATGTAAGAATTGAAGTAAATTTTTCTCTAATGTCTTTTCAAAATCCAATATTATAATAATGCTTTTGATTTTCACACTAAGTAATATTATTATAATATATAATATATTACATTGCTTTCCTTCCCAATCTTAAACCATTTGTATTCTTGAAATAAATGTCATTGTCTCATGCTCAGTGTTCTTTTTTACTATTTTTCTGTTATGGGATTATATTTGTAAATATTTTATTTAGTATTTTATTGATATGGGGTGAAATATATTTTGAAGCAGTTTATTTTATTATGCTTTTTTTGACAGATTTTGGTATTAGTTTTATGCTGACTTGATTAAATATTTTGGAAACTTTCCTAGAACAGATAAAATTGCTTTTAAATGAGGTTTTCCTTGAGTTAAAAATAAAATATCACTTTGACTCTCTCTGGTAAACAACTTTTCTGTGGAAGTGGGAAGACGCCTTTACATTTTTGGTATAAATTCTGTGGTAATGTATCTGTTTATTTTGGTTTTTGGTTTTGCACAATCAGTTATTCATGATTTTCAATTTAGTATTCAAAATAAATCACAATGTGATTTTTAAAATTTCTTCCGTATCTCTTTTTATATCTCTATTCTTATTTCTGATATTTTGAGTTGTCTTAATTTTTTTTTACTTCATTAGTTTAGCTAAATATTTATTCAATATTTTAAAAGGACCACATTTTTAATTCATTTATCAGGCATTCTTTTATTACTTTTTTATGTTATGCACTAATTTCCCCATGTTTATTAGGATTGGAAATAACTTTATATGAGTTAGTTTAGTTATTGCTGAGTTATAAGCTTACTTAGCAATGTTCTTTTTCTTTTTTTTAGTTTTTTAATGTATTTTTTTCACTAAATATACTATGGTAGTTCATCTTACATTTAAGTTAAGAGTCTATTTTCCTGATTCTAGGCCAACTAATTACTAACTGGAATACTGGGAATTTTTCCTAAGCTCCAGTTGTGAATTATGTACTCATTTGTTTATTACAGAGAGAATGAAACTATTTTGTTATGAAGATTAAATGATATATTGGGTAGGCATTATTTTACACTATGTGCTTGAGAAAAAATAAACTCACTTAAATAATTGCTTTTATATTTTTCTACCAGCCTTTGGACTAATGAAAATTTGCATCTTTTAAAAATTTTTGTGGCAAACTTTAGGACATAACAGCCCCAAATTCCTTAGTTATCTGTTAGTTAACCACATTGTTTATTTTGTTGATTGGCATTATATAATATTTACATGCTATATTAGTCTGCTCAGGCAGCTATAAGAAAATACTATAAACTGGGTGCTTTTAACAACAGACATTCATTTCTCGCAGTACTAGAGACTGGGAAGTCCATGATCAAGGTGCTGGCTGGTTTGGTTCCTGGTAAGGGCTCTCTTCTTGTCTTGCAGACCACTGTTTTCTTTCTGTGTCCTCACATGGAGGAGAGAGAGAGAGAGCAAGCTCTCTGGTGTCTCCTTAGCAGGGCACTAATCCTATAACAAGAACCCTACCATCATGACCTCATCTAAATCTAATTACCTCTAAAGGCCTTACCTCCAAATACCACCACATTAAAAGTTAGGGCTTCAAATTTTGTTTTGGGGAAAACAAAATTTCATTTCATAACATATACTGCTTACTTTCTATTTCCATCTTCAGAGTTGTTTCTTGAAACTTCCTAGCTAATTGTAATATTTTGGAGGAACACTTCAATTATAATTTCCCCCTTATTAATTTTTTAAAACAAAACACTTAATAAGCAGTGAAAAATGCTAATAGTCATTTCACAGTTGCTCCTTATACTATACATATCTTGTGATACATAAAAAGCTATTTTAAAACACTTCAGAAATATAGATTTTGTATAATGCATGTAATGCTATAACTCAAGCATCTTTAATAAGCAGATTAGAAATAGAAGAGTGTTTTCCATGTTCAACCAAACTAGGCTACATTTCAGGGCCAAATCACCAAATACAAGAATTTAGATTTATATGTTTGTATTCAGTGATTCAACTGTTCATTTACTGTACATCAAGAGCATACATTTGATTCTCCATTTTCATATCAGCAGGGCATTGATAATGTGTATTTGTCTAACAGCAAGTAGGAAGATTAACTTTTGATAGAACCTTAACCAAATTTGGCATTTCTGTGTGTTAGTGTCTAGACTAGCACTCTCCAATACAGTTTTTTTCTGAGGCTGGAAATGTTTTCTATCTATGCTATGAAATATGCTAACCACTACCCACACATGGCTTTTAAGAACTTGAAATGTGTCTAATGTGACTAACTGAATTTTAAATTTTATATCATTGTAACTAAATTAAATTTAAGTAGCCATATGTGGCTAGTGGCTACTGTACTGGACAACATGCATCCAGGCCAATATCACTGGTAACTAGATTGATCAAACAATTCACAGAAGCTTCACAATTACCCCTATTCTCCTTTAGACCTCTATTTCTCTTGTATCTCTATTTATTTTTTGGGCTAGTCAATTTCCAAGCATGGGGTCTGCCACTCCATCTCTCAAAACTTTAATCACTCATTTTTTACCTTTAAATAAGTCAAAGTAGACAATATGCAAAACATTATAGAAAACTAATGGCAATGCCACAGTAAACGTTTTCCTTAAACTCTTTGATATGGTTCAATAAACAATCTTGTTTTTAGTGTAATCTCTAAATGTTGATTTTATTATCTGTAAGATGATGACAACATTAGGAAGGTCTACTTCACATAATATTGAATTAGCCAACTGAAGTAATGCATACATCTTACCATATCATGCTTTACAAAGCATGAAGTCAGGATAATGAGGTGGTTAAGAGCATGAGCTTAGAGGTCAAACCAGTCTAGGTTCACTGATAGCCCTGCCATTTAATAATTGTGTTACATTGAACACATTATTTAGCTAAGTTTCAGATTCATCAGCGGTAAAATATCAGTAATAATGCTTAACTTCAAAGATGTTTGTGCAGATTGTATCAGACAATGTTGATAAAGCCCTTGCCACAGAGTACAAAGAGGTTAGCAAAAAGCAATAGCTCAAAGGAGAAGCTGTGTTCATGTTGTTATTGTTGTTGTAAAAGCATTATAAATACAAGCTGTTTCTCCAGGCTTTTTCCAAAGCTCCTATTTCCAAGTTAAAAGACACATCTCCCAACCCATGAATTAAAAACAAGTTAATTTGAATATGTTTTGCTTGAATTACAAAACAATCATAAAACACGAAAGCGGTGGGGTGTCAGCACTGGACGACTTCTGGTTACATTTAGGCAGTCATGCAGTATATTGTGAGGCAATCTCATGGTCACAGACCTCCTTAGACAGTAAGAGTAAGAGCCTAGTCCGCTGATCTTGGAAATTATGATTAATTTAATGGCCTGGCATCACAGCCATTTCTGTAGCCTGCATTTTGTCTAAATTTGACACGACAAGGGTCCTAAATAGCAAAACTTTCATGATCTTTCTAATGACAATTAACAAAGTGGCTGGCTAAATCACTTGGAAAATTTAAGAGATTGAAATGAACAGACACATCCCCCGGTGATTCTAATTTTTAAAGTTTCTGTAAGGATATACAAGAAATAAAAGAACGGAAATTTTTCTCACTTGAAACTGTTTGAGTCACTACATTGACAGGCATAAAACACACTGGTGTTTTTCAGGTACTTGAAAGTTATTGAAAAAAAATTGTCTAGCAAATCTTCAGATCAGAAATTGAAGTTCAGTAGTTGCCTCCCTTATATTCCACAAATAAGTTGACTCAGCCCCCAGTCTCTTCTAAGTTCTCTTTGTACCTCTATTTATTTCTTGGATGATGATAAGTCATGGCTTTAGGTAATTTTTTTCTCTCCACCTACATCATTGTATTACCTACTTCATTCTCTGTCTGAGATTTAAATCCCTTTTTGCTGTGGTTCTGTTTTTGATTATCACTCTCTATTATAGAGTGCTTTTATAATCACATGTTTATGAGAAAACAATTAGGCTACCTCCTAGCTGTAGATTAGCTGCTCTGTAATGCCATTGCCACTTTGTGTGCTTAGCTATGGGTAGAGTGGAAGAATTTCACACTACAGAGAACAACAATTTAAGAATAAAAAATAATCGCAATACAGTTAGCAAGCATTACTCTTGACCTTTAAGATATAAATATCTATTTTTAATAGGACAAAACATTACAGTTTATTTATAGTTTGCTTAAAGTCTTGTCTAAACATCTGCCCATTAAAGAGCTAAAAACTTAAACACAATTTTTTTTTTTTTTTGAGACGGAGTCTGGCTCTGTCACCAGGCTGGAATGCAGTGGTGCCATCTCGGCTCACTGCAACCTCCGCCTCCTGGGTTCAAGCGATTCTCCTGCCTCAGCCTCCAGAGTACCTGGGACGACAGGCACACGCCACCACACCCAACAAATTTCTGTACTTTTAGTAGAGACGGGGTTTCACCATGTTGGCCAGGATGGTCTCGATCTATCTCTTGACCTCGTAATCCACCCACCTCGGCCTCCCAAAGTGCTGGGATTACAGGCATAAGCCACCGTGCCTGGCCCTTAAACACAATTTTAGTCATATAAACTTTTATATATGACATATCAAATACTACCTATAATTACATAAAATCAACTTTTTAATTTTTAATATACTATTTTGAGGAAAGCACATGTAATGATAAAGTATTGTTTCTATAAATAATTATAAATGATTAATTAGTACATTTGGAAATATATTATTTTCTAAACATAACTATTAGTTCCACTTAATAATTTTTAAATATCAGTATCAACTATTTTAAAACCTTATTTAATAAATCAGATTCATGAACTGTATCTGATTGTGAGAAACATGGCATTACTTGTCTGTTACAAAATTAATCAAGAAAGAAAATGTTACATGTTGATATTTAAACATAAAATAAACGACCTTATTTAATTTATACTAAAATTCACTTCTAATTATATATATCACATTATCTATAGATTAGATTCCTGGTGTTAGATCCTACCAAAGAAAAATTTTCCTTGAATATTTCTAAATATTTTCTATAAAAAATTATGACATTATTCACAAATCGTCAAACCATTTCCTAGTCAAAACCAAAAACTAAATATTTTTGTACCTATAGAACTTTATTTGCAATGAATATTTTTGCCTAAATTTAAATAAAATATATGATGACAGAAAGTTATATCATTTACTACAGTCCTCTATTTTATTCAAACAAAAGCAATGGCAACAGCAAATATTTTACTTTTAATGCACAGATACACTTAAAATCTGTTTAGCTAGATTTGGATTCAGTAAGTATACAAAGAATTCTAAAAATTAGTGTCTTGAAATTGCATCCTAAATATTTATGGCATGTACTGTTGGTCAAGAATCAGTCAGTCTAGTGCCAAAAACATAATTTATAAAATAAAAAGTGGACAAACTAGACTTCATCATAGTTAAAATTTTTTTTGAAAGACACTGTTAATATAATGATCAGACAGGCCATGAAGAAAATATTTGCAAAAGATATCTCTGACTATGGGCTTTTATCCAGAATATATAAAGCACTGTCAAAGCACACAGGAACGAAAACAACCCAATCAAAAAGTGGACAAAAGATGTGAAGAGATATTTCACCAAAGAGGATGTAGGAATAGCATATTAATTATCTGTTGCTGCACAGCAATGTTAAAACACACTTGGCAGCTTAAACAACACATCTTTACTATCTCATGGTCTCTGTTGGTCAGGAATCTAGGCGTGTCTAAGCTGGACCAGAGTCTGCTCCAGAGCCTCTCACTAAGCTGAAATCATGGTGTTGTGCAGAGCTGGGATCTCTTCTAAGGCTGAAATGAGGAAAAACATACACTCGGCAAAACAATGAAATAAACTATTGATTTGACCAAATGGATGAATGATAAAATAATTATACTGAGTGAAATATATCAGACAAAAGAGTATATAGGATATAACTTTGTATAAAATTACAGGAAATACAAATTTGTTTTGACAGAAAGCAGAGGAGTGATTGCCTGGGGATGTGGGAAAAAGTAAGAGGAAGGGATTACAAAAGAGCATGAGGATAGGTTTAAGGCAAGAAATATGTTCATTTTCTTGACTGTGGTGGTACCTTAATGGAGTACACACTTACATGGAAACTTATTACACTTTAAATGTGTGCAGTTTAATCTCTCCCATTCTGCAGAAAAACGAATTTATCTTGGCTCCAATTTCTTTTCTTGTTTGTGCCCAGTGTCACCTTTAGACAAAATGTCATCTGAAAGTTTATGGAGACTGTTCCAACATCCTCTTTTCCCACTGCCCCTGTTAGTCAAATACAACATTTTTGTACACCTCTCTACCAAAAGATTCTTCAAAATCACTAATGACACCCATAGACTAAATATAAGAATGCATTCTCAGTCTCATCTTAGTTAACGGTAGGACTTAATGCAATTAATTATACACTTTTCCAAAGACACATTTTTTCCTTGGATTTTAGCATACCATGTTCAACTGATTTTCCTTACAACCCTCTTCCTACTTATTCAAAGCCTTATGTTTTAATTAGTTCTTATTCCCAGACTTTTAAATACTGTAGAGTCCCATAGCTCAGTCATGGTCTCTTCACATACATCTTTGCTCACTTTCTTGGTATCATGCCTTTAAATGCCATCTATAAACTGATAATTTCTCCAATCTAGATCTTTTTTCCTGTACTTCAGGCTTCCATGTGCAACTCCTCATTGGGTATCTCAAACTTCACATCTACAGGTTGATTTTCTGGTTTCCTCCATAGCCTGAAACGTACTCATTCACAGTCTTTCCCATCTCAGTAAATGAAAATGTAAACTTTTCATTTATTTAAACTAACAATTCCTGATGTCATTTCTAACTCCCCTCCTTTTCTCATGTCTTTAGTCTCTCAGCCATCGGTATCAGCTCTAGTTCCAAGGTATATATAGAGTCTCATCAGGGTTCTTTACATTCACTGTATTCACCTCGGAGAAAATCAAAACCTTTTTTTTTTTTTTTTTTGAATATTGCAAAACTCCCTAACATTTTTTGGAAACTTTTCTCTTACCCTCCTATAGTTTATTTTCTACTGAGAAATATTTTAAACATATAACTCAGATTTTTAAAAATCATATTTCAAATCCTCTAATGGCTTTTGTTTGTTTCAGAGTATAGATGCCAATTCACCTTTTAATACTCTCAAATTCCTATGCATCCTAGACCATTTTTACCTTCTTACTTCCGCTTACTCATTCCAGCCTTCTAGCCTTCTGGTAGTTCGTGATAACACCTTGCCTAATTCTGCCTCACAACCTTTGCATATGCAATTCTCTCTCCTTGTGGCTTTCTCATCCATGGGAATTGTTTTACCTTGATGTCTTATGACATTGTTTTCCTTAAATGTCCCTTTCCAAACGAAACAGTCTCTGATCTTCCTACTTAAAATGATATCGCTCCCTGGGAATTACATAGGAACTCCTAACCTTTATTTTTCTTCGTAGAATGTTTCCACATTTGACATAGTACACAACTTCTCATTTATTTTGTTCATCTGTAGTTTACCTCCTATCACTGAGAATTCAACTTAATTTCATTGCTTAGAGTAATGCCTTGCATTAAAAAGACAATAAATGCTTATTATAAAGAAATGAAATGTTACTTTAGCAACTTGAAGGGTCAGACATTGGCCTGTGATTAAAAGATAATTTTTTTTTTTTTTTTTTTTTTTTTTTTTTTTAGGCAGAGTCTTGCTCTGTCGCCCAGGCTGGAGTGCAGTGGCACAATTTTGGCTCACTGCAACCTCCACCTCCGGGGTTCAAGAGATTCTCCTGTCTCAGCCTCCCAAGTAGCTGGGACTACAGGCGCCCACCACCACACCTGGCTAATTTTTTTTGTATTTTCAGTAGAGACCTGGTTTCACCATGTTGGCCAGGCTGATCTTGAACTCCGGATCTCAAATGATCCACCCACCTCAGCCTTCTAAAGTGCTGGGATTACAGGCATGAGCCACCGCGCCTGGCCAAAAGATAAATTTTATGAGGTAAGTCACACTAGATTTCTGATACTCTGAATGAGCTACGTTGATAATTTAAAATCCTGAGCTTATGTGCTGTCTTTTTAAGCTTTCCAGAAACAGTTGCTGCTCCCAATAGTTACTGTATTCTTGAAATATCTTTAATAGTTATAGTGTAGCGGCCACTGGAATTGCCAAGTCTTCCTTAGCACACATATTATAGCTCATGAGCAGAAGTGATATACTTAAGTAACTATATTTCACTGAATACTATAGATTACCCGTGACACATTCTCCAATAAAAATTTTAAACGTATTATTTTCTATTACAACTAGTTTGTGTACGCAACTCTTAAAATTCTGATTTGAGTGTTGATTGGCTGAAACTACATCTAGTTACCAATTTATATTTAAATTAAATTTGGAAAAAAAAAATTGCCCAATAGTTCTTCATGTAATAATAATAATTATTATTATTATATACACACACATTACACACATAATAGTATGCACATTACATACATGGACAAAAAATATTGGGCATGTGTTGGTATTTTATTTTATTCTTTAAACTTCTGGGAGTTATATCCATTAATATCATCCTATGTTTTCCACTTTTACCTTTCTACTTTTTTTCTTCAGATTTTATCACTTCTTTTGATCTATTTTCAAGTTCACATATTCAGTTTTCTAACTCCATTCTGTGGTTTAGCCTATCAAAAAATTTAGTGTTTGATATATTTTTCAATTCTATATGTTTCCTTCTTATAATTTGTATTTCTCTGCTGATATTTCATATATTTTCATTTGCTATAAGCATATTTTACTCTACGTCATTGAGACTAATCATAGCATCTGTTTCAAAATACTTCTCTTACATATTTCTACATAATTTCCCAGATAACCCAGATGAGTCAGACAGAGAAAACTACTGAGATGAAGCTGGAGAGACACATGTAAAAGGAAGGACATTTCAGAAGGAAATAAGAAGAACCACAAAAACAGTCAAGAATTCTTTTCAGGCAGTAGAATTAAACCAATGTATACCTACCTGGATTTTGCAATTGCTATGGACCATTGACTCATGTGGGCCCCTTGTTTTCTCTTTTTAATTGAAGGGACTATAGTGGTTATCCTATGCCTGTCTCACTATCATGTATTGGGTGTGTGTCAAGTCTATTGTACATAGGTTTTTCAGATTGATAGGAATTATACTCAAGGATCTATAATTAAGGAAGTATACTCAAGGAGCATCATATAAACTCATACCTAATTGGATTGGTCCTCAGAGCTGTTAGGTGACTGGTCCACCTTCCAGCCACAATAAGATAAACATTTAAGAGGCTTTGAGAAGGGGATGGTTGTATTTTGCATGTGAAAAAATGCAAATTGCTGTGGAAAGGGGATGAGCTGTGTCAGAATGTATTCTCCAGACATGATTACAGCAACATGTATGGTTTCAAATGAACTTCCAGAATTGTGCCTCCTCTGTTAGGAGGTAGAATCTATATGTCCTCCCTTTGAAACTAGGAGTGATTTTGTGATTGAAGAGAAGAATGCGGCACAAGTAATTCTGTGTAATTTCCAAGGCCATATTACAAAAGGAGATAGTTTCTTATTTCCTTTTTTTTTTTTTTTTTTTTCAGAACACTTAGCTTTGTAAATTAGCCACCATCTTGTGAGGATGTCCAGTCCATATGCAGAAACAAAGTTCAGCTGTTGCAGCTGACACTTTCATCTAATAACTCAGCCAATTACCATAATCAAATGCAATTGAACCAGCTTTAAGATTGTTCTAGCCACTAGCCTTCAGTATCTCCTCTGAGCCCGGAAAAAATCACAGACTTGTGAACAAAATAAATATAATAAACCTCTAAATTATGACTTTGTATGTTATTCAGCCATAGTAACTGAAAAACGTTACTTTTGGTGAGGAGAACAACACAGGGAATAGAGAGTAAAACTGAATTTTGAAATATCCATAATGCTTTCATTTTTACCAAACAATGTATTTATGTACTGTGTTTTCAATTAATGTGAAGTAAAAATGGGAAAATTTGAAATGAATTATTTTAGAAGATATAAAATATATCATTGCCTTTTAAATTATTAAAGATCATATTAAAAGTATAGAATTTAAAAATATTATTTAAATTACTCAAATTGTCATTCAAAATTTGAGAATGAGACACTTAGTTGGAAATGGGCATCATGCTATACAGTCTATATCCTGCCCTGAGTGTACATAGTCTGATATTAGGAAAGTCAATTGATGTCCTAAGTGCTATTTTCCTTCTCTATAAATACCATATCCTTTAATTCCATTATTCATTTCATGTGGGAAATCAATGACCCACACATAGTCAATTAACCAGATGCATCCCTTCAGTCTGGCATAATACATATGATTAATAAAATATGTGTTGAGACATATTAGTCTCTACTTTTTAAACCAACATTCAAGTACATATGGATAGATTTCCTTTTCCTTTCAAGGGTCTCAATTATATAGACAAAGACAAAATGTTATATTCTAGCTTTTAAAGAGATATTCATTGTAAGTTTAAATATGAGAATATTGATATCGTTCACTGGTCTATTTCATTACTCAGAGATAGCCTGAAACAAAAAGAAAAAAGAAAGCATATTTATTAAAATATATCACCTTACATAAAATTATTTTGACTCCATGCCTACCCTTCGTTAGGATATATACTAACTAAATATTATTTTAAAGGATCTATAAATGAAGATCAAATAATCTTTAAGTACAGTTTGAAAAAAAAGCTACATCCTGCTCTTGCTGTTCCTTTCATGCCCTAATTTATAGCTAATTTTCACGAGTTATAAAGTTCTGTATTACACATCCCCCCACCCACGACACCTCCCAGCTTTTAAAAGAGCTTAACGATTTATTATAGCAATTTAGCAAAAGTACTGCTGCTTCCTGTCAGAATTTACTGGCATCTTTGCTCACAAACTGGACGTAAAATATGTCAGTGTGACCCTATCGGTATCCTTGTTGCATGATATTGATCACACATTTCCTTTCCTCTGCTTTTATGTCTGTTTGATAGATCAGAGCAACCTGGAACATGTCTACATTTCTGCACTAAAATTTTTATATGCAGAAAACGAATTTCTATTAGAACAATAAAGGTGAAAAAACAGTGAAATTTTAGATGGAGACAATTTCTACAACCCGGTAAAAGACAAAAAAAAAAACGATATCTAATAAACTCAAACCAATCATTTATCATTATAGTAAAAAATTCAGCAGAAATTATGAGATAGCTTCCTCAATGAAATATGTGGACAATCATCCTCTAGTCTGCTTCATATTCTTCTAGTTTAGTTCTCTAGGAATAATGATAGTGCTTTCTCTTCACTCTTCCTCTCTGATTTTTCTAATGCAAAGATGTGGGCCTTTGTGGGAAATAATGTCTAAGACCACCAATACCTTAATAGCTTGTTAATACTATAAATGCAAACCATTTTCCAAATAATTTTAATATCTGTGTCTATCACCATTGTGTCAACGTTTGTGTGCTCCTGTAAAATTTACAAGACACAGAAGAATGCTTTTGCATTTGCTTCTCTGCTGAATTGTCTCATGTGATATTAACATCAATAATCTTTTACTATTTACATGTCAATGAATCCCATATATCAGAAAATGTATGCTCTCAATAAAATATTGTGGCAGATAAAATGTATTTGACATAATGAAAAGCAAAGTTTTTAAAGTAATGAGGACATTATCCTAACCTTTCATTATTTAGTTGGAAAGCAAATACTTTTGCAATTGATTCAATTTTTTAATCTGAAAAATTTAAAATAAATTTTTATAAAATGAAAGGTTTACTTATTTCATGTTTCAAAATCCTATATACTTGTGCCATCTAATGTCAGAGGTAAAAAGCTCAAACTAACACAGAGCAAATTTAATTACAAGTAGAAGAATGCTTGTTTGTCTGAGGGAAGCATTTACATAACAGAATCACACACATATTCACAAACACACATGTAAGCATAGGTATAGATATAAATGATACAAATATATAGGGGTTTGTATATTAAAATTTACTTCTCTAAGTAATCTATTTCAAATTTGAAATTATTCTGGTTTTAAAAGATACAAATTATAAGCCTTATAGAATGGTAACACAGTTGAACAAGTTATATAGTCAGAGTACCTCAAATGATGAGCCATACATGCTGTTTTGAGGTTAGTAGTAGTTATTTTTCTCACTGAGACTTCAATTCTCTTTAAATAAGCACAACTTTTTTTTTTTTTTCTTTTCTTTTTGAGACAGAGTCTCACTCTGCCGCCCAGGCTGGAGTGCAGTGGCGCGATCTCGGCTCACTGCAAGCTCCGCCTCCTGGGTTCACCCCATTCTCCTGCCTCAGCCTCCAGAGTAGGTGGGACCACAAGCGCTCGCCACCATGCCCGGCTAATCTTTTTTTTTTTTTTTTTTTTTGGTATTTTTAGTAGAGACGGGGTTTCACGTGTTAGCCAGGATGTGTTAACCTCCTGACCTCGTGATCCGCCCGCCTCGGCCTCCCAAAGCGCTGGGATCACAGACATGAGCCACCACGCCCGGCCATAAGCATAGTTTTTATACAGAGGGACTGTGGCCTAACAAAACCACACATGCTGAGGTTGTCCTCAGGCTGTTGGGTTCTGCCCACACCAAGCCAGGATGAAAATTTTATTTCTCACAGTTTTCTGTGCTTGTGTCCCATAACACCCCCCAAAAGTGAGCATGAAAACTTCACTTTTTTTTGTTCTTTGTTGTCAAACATTTAATACATGTATAAAAAAGTGACTTTGTTTTTAAAATAAAATGTTATGCTATATTTTTATGTCTATCCCTATAATATTGGCCTGTATTCTTTTGTTACTACAAGCAGAAAAGGATAAACCTCCCTTCTCTGGATTAAATTCCATGACCACTGATCTTCAAGCATTATTTTTCTTAAATTAGTTTTTAAATTAGAAATTTATCTAATTTATATTAACCATTTCCTTTTCAATGAAACCACATTTCGTTTAATTAAACACTAAATATTTGTTCTGTTATTAAAAATGTTCTGAATACAGAATGTTTATTTTTAAAAAACTTTAGAAAAAATTGAAAACATTCTCCTGTTACTACTATAAAATACAGACTCTGGGTTTACTTGGTGTTAACATGTCCTCCAAATATTAAGGAACACGTATTTAAATACCACGCTCTTTGCTTTAAAATTTACAAAGTGTCTCAAGCTTTTCACGTCACAATTTGCACTAGCAGAGCTAACCTGTAATGAATAAACAATATAATAAAAACAAAGATTCAACAGACCAAGCCAACCAGCAATACAATTAAAAATTTCTGATTGAAATATCAAAAAACCAATTGCAATAATAAATATATGGTATGAAAACCCCATAAAGGACAAGTAGTGTTGTCAAATAACTGGATCAGTAAATAATAGTTTTCTTTAAGTGCATATTTAGACTTTTAAAAATAGTCTTTTAATCAAGAAAATACATCAGTCTAGAAAAATCTATTGAATTTCATATTGTTATTGCTTGATTATATTATCACTGTTCCTGTAAATTTTAGTGTGGGAAACTGTGAGCATTTCCTAAATTTTAAAATAAAATGCATGGCATTTAAAATATGTGCCCCCTTTATTCAAGGGCAAAAAAGGACAAAACATCTTTTTAAATATATTTTATGTAATTTAAATTTATTTTTCTCTATTTCTGAATACTTTTAAAGTCATTTTATGCCCTTATTATTATATTTAAAAATATCTGTTCTGGAATTCTATCAAGGATGTTGTTCAAAAAGGAGAGAGAGATCAACTGTGCCAAATGCTGCTGATACATAAATTAAGATGAGAACTGAAAAATTGTGCTTCAATTCATAATTTAACAATATGGATACTGTTTGTGCTTTGATAAGAGTAATTTTGTTGTCATGAGTAGGTGAAAACCATATTAGAATGGTTCCTCAAATGAATATCTGATCTCTGTATTCTTAAGGAATTATTTTATTGGACAGCAGAGGCACAAATTGGATTAATTTTAATTCTGGGGATAGGACACACTCTAAACATATGTCCATAGATGTTCTGCTTTTATTTACCTAGTTATTCTATTTATTCTATTTTAATAATCTAATAATAAACTATAAAACCTACACCTATTTAATTGACAAACTACAAAGATTGGTACTAGAGCTTGTTGGATAGGATGTGGCTCCCCATACTAACTTAAGAGTCACTGATGGGCAAGTAAGCTGGTAAAATATTTTTGGAAAACTGATAATACCTGTTAAACATCGAGATACCAAACGTCCCCAGATGTTATATTTTAGTGTATTTCCACAGAAAAAAACAAAAGACATATTAAAATGTCCATTATTATTAAAAATAATCACACTGGGTTGCATGAATTGTTTTTATTAGCAATTAAGTCTCTGATTTCAGCAGTACCTTTATGTAATTATATTTTCTATTTTTTAAAAATTTACCACTCTTTGAGGACAGAGACTTTAAAAAATATTTTATTTTATTTTAAAATCCAGGATACATGTACAAGACCTGCAGGTTTGTTACATAGGTAAACGTGTGTCATGGTGGATTGCTGCACCTATCAACCCCTCACGTAGGTGAGCCCCACATGCATTAGCTATTTATCCCGATGCTATCTCTCTTCCCTCCTCCCAACAGGCCCCACTGTGTGTTGTTTCCCTCCCTTTGTCCATCTGTTCTCATTGTTCAGCTCCCACTTTTAAGTGAGAAAACACAGTGTTTGATTTTCTGTTGGTAGTTTGTTGAAGCCTCCAGCTCCATCCATTTCCCTGCAAAGGACATGATCTTGTTTTTTTATGGCTGCATAATATTCCATGTTGTGTATGTATCACATTTTCTTTATCCAGTCTATCATTGATGGACATTTGGGTTGATTCCATGTTTTTGCTATTATGAATAGTGCTGCAATGAACATATGTGCATACATGTATCTTTATAATAGAATGATTTATATTTCTTTGGTTATACTCAGTAATGGGATTGCTGGATCAAATGGTATTTCTGGTTCTAGATCTTTGAGGAATCACCACAGTGTCTTCCGTAATGGTTGAACTAATTTACATTCCCTCCAACAGTGTAAAAGCGTAGTTATTCTCCAAAGCTTCACCAGCATCTGTTGTTTCTTGACTTTTTAAATAATTGCCATTCTTACTGGCATGAGATGGTATCTCATTGTGGTTTTGATTTGCATTTCTCTAATGATCAATGATGAGCTTTTTTTTCATATGTTTTTTGGCTGCATAAATGTTTTCTTTTGAGAAGTTGTCTGTTCATGTCATTTGCCCACTTTTTGATGTTTCTTTTTTTCTTGTAAATGTGTTTAAGTTTCTTATAGATCCTAGATATTAGACCTTTGTCAGACGGATAGGGGGCAAAATTTTTTGTTCATTCTGTAGGTTGTCTGTTCACTTCTTTTGTTGTGCAGAAGCTCTTTAGTTTAATTAGATCCCATTTGTCTATTTTTGCTTCTGTTGCCATTGCTTGTGTTTTCATCATGAAATCTTTGCAGTGCCTATGTCCTGGATGGTATTTCCTAGATTTTCTTCTAGGGTTTTTATAGTTTGGAGTTTTGCATTTAAGTCTTTAATCCATCTTCAGTTAATTTCTGTATAAGGTGTAAGGAAAGGCTCCAGTTTCAACTTTCTACATATGGCTAGCCAGTTTTCCCAACACCATTTATTAAATAGGGGATCCTTTCCCCATTGCTCGTTCTTTTTTTTTTTTTTCAGGTTTGTGGAGAATCAGAGGATTGCAGATGTGCAGTGTTATTTTTGAGATCTCTATTCTTTTCCATTGGTCCAGGTGTCTGTTTTAGTGCCAGTACCATGCTATTTTGGTTACTGTAGCCTTGTAGTATAGTTTGAGGTCAGTTAGCATGATGCTTCCAGCTTTGTTCTTTTTGCTTAGTATTGTCTTGGCAATATGGGCCAATTTTATATGTATTTTATATATACATAAAATATATTATATATATTTTATATAATATATAAAATATATAAATATATATTATATATAATGTATTTTTTATATATATAAAATATATATTTTAAGTAGTTTTTCTAATTCTGTGAAGATGTCAATGGTAGCTTAATGGGAATAGGATTGAATCTATAAATTACTTTGGGCACTATGGCCATTTTCACTATATTGATTCTTCCTATTCATAAGCATTGAATGTTTTTCCATTTGTTTGTGTCCTCTTTTGTTTCTTTGAACAGTGATTTGTAGTTCTTTTTGAAGAGGTCCTTCACTTTCTTTGTTAGCTGTGTTCCTAGATATTTTATTCTCTGTGTAGCAGTTGTGAATTGTGAATACACCGTTTGCTATTGTTGGTGTATAAGAATGCTTGTGAATTTTGCAAATTGATTTTGTATCCTGAAACTTTGCTGAAGCTGCTTATCAGCTTAAGAAACTTTTGTACTGAGATGATGGAGTTTTCTAGATATAGGATCATGTAATCTGCAAACAGTTTGACTCCCTCTTTTGCTATTTGAAAACCGTTTCTTCCTTTCTCTTGCCTGATTGCCCCAGACAGAACTTCCAATACTATGTTAAGTAGGAGTGGTGAGAGAGGGCACCCTTGTCTTGTCAGTTTCCACAGGGAATGCTTCCAGCTTTTGCCCATTTAGTACGTTATTGGGTGTGGGTTTTTCATAAATGGCTCTTATCATTTTGAAGTATGTTTCTTCAAAACCTTGAGAAGTTTTTAACTTGAGAAGGGATGCTGAATTCTATCAAAGGCCTTTTCTGCATCTATTGAGAAAATCATGTGAATTTTGTCTTTAGCTCTGTTTATCTGATGAATTGTATTTATTGATTTGCATATGTTGAACCAGACTTGCATCGCAGGGATGAAGCTGACTTGATTGTGGTGGATTAGCTTTTTGATGTGCTGCTGAATTCAGTTTGCCAGTATTTTATTGAGGATTTTCACATTGGTGTTCATCAGTGATACTGACTTGAAGTTTCCTTTTATTATTGTACCTCTGCCAGGTTTTGGTATCAGTATAATGCTGGCCTCCTAAAATGAATTAGGGAGAAATTCCACCTTTTCAGTTGTTTGTAATAGTTTCAGAAGAAATGGTACCAGCTCCTCTTTGTATCTTTAATAGAATTCAGCTGTAAATCCACCTGGTCCTGTGCTTTTTTTTGTTGATACACTATTTATTACTGTCTCAATTTCAGAACTTGTTATTGGTCTATTCAGGGTTTCAAATTCTTCCTAATTCAGTTTTGGGAGGGTGTATGTGTCCAGGAATTTATTCATTTCTTCTAGATATTCTAGTTTATTTGCATAGAGATGTTTATAGTATTCTCTGATGTTTGTTTGTATTTTTGTGGGGCAATGGCCATATTGCCTTTATCATTTTTTATTGTGTGTATTTGATTATTCTCTCTTCTTTGTTAGTCTTTCTAGTGGTCTATTTTAGTTTTTTTTTTTTTTTTAAAGTGCTCCTGGGTTCATTAATTTTTTTGAATAATATTTTCTTTTCTCTATCTCAGTTCCACTCTGACCTTGGTTATTACTTGTCTTCTGCTAGATTTGGGGTTTGTTTGCTTTTGGTTATCTGGTTGTTTTAGTTGTGATGTTAGGGTGTCGATTTGAGATCTTTCTAGCTTTTTGGTGTGTGTATGTAGTGCTATAAATTTCCCTGTTAACACGGCCTTAGCTGTGTCCCAGATATTCTGGTATGTTGTCTCTTTGTTCTCTTTGGTTTCAAAGAACTTCTTCATTTCTGCCTTAATGGCATTATTTAGCCAGGAGTCATTCAGGAGCAAGTTGTTCAATTTCCATGTAGTTGTGTGGTTTTGGGTGAGTTTCCTTATCTTGAGATCTAATTTGATTACACTGTGGTCTGAGAGACTGTTATGAATTCAGTTATTTTGCATTTGCTGAGGAGTGTTTTACTTCCAATTATGTGATTGATTTTAGAGTAAGTGCCATGTGGCACCGAGAAGAATGTACATTCTGTTGCTTTGGGGTGGAAGTTCTGTAGATATCAATCACATCTACTTGATGCAGGGCTGGGTGCAAGTCCTGAATATCCATGTTAATTTTCTGTCTCAATGATCTGTCTAATATTGACAGAGGGGTGTTAAAGTCCCCCATTATTATTGCATGGGAGTCTAAGTCTCTTTGTAGGTCTCTAAGAATTTGTTTTATGAATTTGGGTGCTCCTGTATTGGGTGCATGTATATTTTGAATGGTTAGCTCTTCCTTTTGAGTTGATCCCTTTACCATTAGGTAATGCCTTTAGTCTTTTTTGATCTTTGTTGATTTAAAGTCTGTTTTATCAGAAACTAGTATTGCAACCCCTGCTTTTTTCTGCTTTCCATTTGCTTGGTAAATTTTCCTCCATCCCTTTATTTGGAGCCTATGTGTTTCTTTGCATGTGAGATAGGCCACTTGAACATAGCACACCAATGGATCTCAACTCTTTATCCAGCTTGCCATTCTGTGTCTTTTAATTGGGGCATTTAGTCCATTTACGTTTAAGGTTAATATTGTTATGTGTGAATTTGACACTGTCATCATGATGCTAGCTGGTTATTTTGTAGGCTTCTTCATGTAGTTGCTTCATAATGTTACTGCTCTGTGTACTTCAGTATTTTTTTAGTGGCTGGTAACAGTTTTTTCTTTCCATTTTTAGTGCTTCCTTGAGGAGCTGTTCCAAGGCAGGTCTAGTGGTGGCAAATTCCCTTAGCATTTGCTTGTCTGAAAAGAAACTTATTTCTCTCTTCTTAACTTATGACGCTTAGTTTGGCCAGATATGAAATTCTTGGTTGGGAATTCTTTTCTTTAAGAATGTTGAATATTGGCCCCCAATCTCTTCTGGCTTGTAGGGTTTCTGCTGAGAGGTCTGCTGTTAGGCTGATGGGCTTCCCTTTATAGGTGACTTGGCCTTTCTTTCTGGATGCCTTAACATTTTTTTCTTCATTTCAACCTTGGAAAATCTGATAATTATGTGTCTTAGGGTTGATGTTCTCATGAAGTGTCTTACTGGGGTTCTCTGGATTTCCTAAATTTGAATGTTGGCCAGTATTGCTAGGTTGGAGGAGTTCTCCTGGATGATATCGTGAAGTATGTTTTCCAATTTGGTTCCATTCTCCCTGTCTCAGGTACCCCAGTCAGTTATAGGTTCAGTCTTTTTACATAATCTCATAGTTCTCGGAGGTTTTGTTCATTTCTTTTCATTCTTTTTTTCTCTAATCTTGTCTGCCTGTCTTATTTCAGTAAAACGGGCTTCAAGCTCTGAAATTCTGCTTTGTCTATTCAGTTATTGATACTTGTGGTTGCATTGTGAAATTCCTGGGTTGCGTTTTTCAGCTCAATCAGGTCACTTATGTTCCTCTCTAAACTGTTTATTCTTGTTAACAGCTCCTGTAATGTTTTGTCATGCCTGTTAGCTTCTTCACATTAGAATAGAATATGGTCCTTTAGCTCAATGAAGTTCGTTATTATTACCCACATTTTGAAGCCTATTTCTGTCAATTCATCCATCTCATCCTTCACCCAGTTCTGTGCCCTTGCTAGAGAGGTGTTGTGATCATTTGGAGGAGAAGAGGCATTGTGGCTTTTTGAGTTTTTAGCTTTTTGTTGTTGATTCGTTTTCATCTTCATGCGTTTATCTAGCTTCGATCTTTGAGGCTGCTAACATTTGGATGCAGTTTTTGTGGGGACATTTTTGTTGCTGTTGTTGCTTTCTGTTTGCTTGCTTTTCTTTTAATAGTCAGGCCCTTCTTCCATAGGGCTGCTATGGTTTGCTCTGGGCCCACTCCAGAACCTATTAACCTGGGTCCCTCCCACACCTGAAAGTGTCACCAGTGGAGGCTGCAGAACAGCAAAGATGGCTGTCTGCTTCTTCCTCTGGGATTTCTGTCCCAGATGGGCACTGACCTGATTCCAGCAGGAATACTCCTCTATAAGATGTCTGGCAACCCCTGTTAGGGGGTCTCACCCAGTCAGGAGGCATGGGATCTGTGACCCACTTAGCAACACACTCTGGCTGCCCCTTGGTGAAGGGGGTGTGCTGTCCTGGGGAAATCCCACTTGTCTGGACTGCCAGGATTCCTCAGAGCCATCCAGGGGAACGACTGAATCTGCTGATCTGTGGAGACCACAGGCGCTCCTCCCCGCAGTGGCTCAATTCCAGGGAGCTAAGAGTTCTGTCCCTATACCCTTGGCCGGAGTTGCTGAAATTCCTGCAGTGAGGTCCCGCCCAGTGAGGAGGGATGGGTCAGGGTCCAGCCTAAAGAGGCAGTCTTGTCATGATCTGCCACAGCGGCTGTGCTGCACTGTGGGGAATTTCCCCAGGGTTCAAAGTGTCCAGTCTCTCTGACATCTGCAGGGGAATAATGGCAGACTGGAGCTGCAGTGATGGCTGCTGCCCCTCCCCCAGGGAGCTCACTTGTTTTAGGCAGCCAGCAGCTTCAGTGATGATGGCTTCCCCTTCTCCTGGGAACTTGGTAGTCTCAGGCAGTCTGCAGCCAAGTGGCCACTGAGAATCTGCATAGCTCTGTGATGGGGACCCAAGGCACTGGTGGCATGGGCTCAAAAAAGGAATCTCCTGATCTGCGGGTTGCACGAATCTGTGGCAAAAACGTGTTTTCCCAGCAGGGTAGCATGATCACTCCCTGCCTCCCTTGTCTGAAAGTGGGAGCTCGCTTTGCCCTGTGTGTCTCCCAGGTTGGCCGTCACACCACCCTGTCTTTTCTTACTCTCTGTGGTCCTGCCAACTGACTACTCAGTCCCAATGAGAGAATTTGTATACCTCAGTTGGAAGTTCAGAATTCACTTGCCATTTTTGTTCTTGGTGGGAGCCTCTGACCACAGCTATTTCTAGTCTGCTATCTTGGCCCCTCCCCCACAAGAATACATTTTATATCAATTCTATATTCAGTGCCTATAACAGAAAGCAGCATTTTGTAGGTTTCAAAGAATTATTTGTTGACTTAATAATTAATAACAAAATAAATTATTTATAGTATATATATGCAAATAATATATATTATTTTAGAATACAGTGGTAACATTAAGTATAAAGTTATTTCAATCTTTTAAAAAAATATTTTTGGGCATATGAGTTATTGATATAAATAGATACATTGTTTTGTTTATATGAAAATGTTTGCAGTTAATATACATTTTTGGTACTTAAACATTTTTTATCTTGTTGCCATAGCAAATGTTGTGCCTTTTAAGAACATGAATCTGAGTTTTACTTAATTTTTAACAGATTTCTTAATAATATATATTCAATATTATTTTGTATAATACATAAACAGGCACCCTGTCAGAAGCAAATAGTCATCCACTCTACCACTGCCACCCCATCCCTTCACTTAATAAAGTTCCTGAAGATGTTACCTATAGCAGAGGACTTTGGGTTCAACCTGAGTACTTTTTAGACCTTTTATTTTCAATTAAGTATGAAATAAAACAAGTTAGCAGTAATAAAAGTCACACTTCTTGGAGAATGACTCTTTTTTTTCTGCTTTTTTTTTTTTTTTTTTTTTTTTTTTGCCTGCTTAACATTATGCAGCAAAATTGAGTACACTTCTTTCCCATAAATCAGTGTCGGCACTACAATCTCAATGCTTGTATTATTGGCTTTCTTATTATTACCATTTGCTTATAATTTAGATACAATGAAATAATGTACAAAAAACATGCCACTTTCTTTCCCTTCTCTTTTTTCCACACTAGACAATTGTCAGTTTTCCTTTCTCTCCAACTCTTTTCTTCCATGCTTTTGGCTGCCTGTTTTTTGTTTGTTTGTTTGTTTTTTTATTAATTTCTGCACATTTCTAATCTTATTATTGTAGAGACAAAATATGTGGTCAAATTATATATATATTCAAAATATATTCAAATATATTCAAAATATAATCAAAATACATTCAAATATATATAATATTCAAACATTAAACATAATTCCCTCTCACCTTGTTTTGTAATTATTTTATATAATCAAATGTCCACCAGAAATGCATGAAACACCAAATGGTTTTCAAGCTCTGCTTTGTTAACTGATTGCATCAGAATTATTAAAAAGTCCAACAATAAATACAGATAAATTAACACAAACCCAGACTGATGAAATCAAAATTTCCAGAGAAAAATGATTAATATGCATTGGAAATGTCTCCGTCAGGTGATTTTGATGTGATATGTGATCCAAGTTTAGGATGCACAGGAAAATTACTTCATGTTCCTCAAAGCAATCATTGGTAACATTGCACTAAAAGTGATTTTAAGATTATCTGAGTGGTTGGCTGAAAAAAAGTGGTAGAATATGGTGAGATTTTGCCTAATACAGGAAAATGAATCAATTTTAATTGGGCAGGAAGTTGCTGAAAATACCTCACTGTAAATGCTAAGCTTCAATTTCATAGAGTTAGAAGAAATAAAAATGTCATCCCTTCAATGATTGGCATTGAGTAACCAATCCTCATCTGTCACCTTGCCTAAACTTAAATTTTTATAGCTCAGTTTTGCTGAGCTGTCTTTATTTATTCTATTCATTATGTACTTCAAGTTCTTTAAAAAAATTACTCTTTCTGCCTATAATGCCAATTTTAACTTTCATAGCTTGCTAAAGCTTTCTTATTCCTAAAGACCCATCTTAGATTACTTCTTTTATAATAACTTCTCATAAGAAGTATCTTATAAGAAGATACTTCTCTTCTTTTGACTATTCAAGCTTACCAATTACTCCTTAACTCTCTATCTGCTTCAATCATCATATTTATTACATTACATTGAAACTACTGTTTGCATGTTTGCCACTCTCAATACACAGTGGACTCCTTAAGGTACAGATGGTGATTTTTTCATCTTTGTAGCCTTTACTTAGGTTGTGCATATTGTCTCATGTATGAAAAGCTTCAAAAAATGTTTATCTAACCACTAAATGACACAAGATAACTGGGGAAGTTCACTTTCATAGAACAATCCTTACTGACAGACAAACTCACTAAAAAGACCAGAGACCTAGGTGAAAGTAGCATGGGATCCAAGAAACCTTTATTATTATAGTGAAGATTATTGCCAAGTATTAATAGATTATTCATCAACCTTTATTATTGTAATTGTTTGGTTATAGTTACATAATTCATTACTAAACATAAAATCATTTCCTGGTCAATGCTACAGACACACACACAGAAAAAAATCATTGTTCAGCTCTATATTCCTTATCATTTTTTTGTGTGTGTGTGTGACAGAGTTTTGCTCTGTCACCCAGGCTGGAATGCAATGGCACGATCTCTGCAACCTCTGCCTCCTGGGTTCAACCTCTCCTCCTCTGTAGTGGCTCACTGCAACCTCTGTCTCCTGGGTTCAAGCGATTCTCCCACCTCAGCCTCTCGAGTAGCTGGGATTACAGGAGTGCACCACCACATCTGGCTAATTATTTGTATTTTTAGTAGAGACAGGATTTCACCATGTTGGTCAAGCTGGTCTTGAACTCCTGATCTGAAATGATCCACCTGCCTGAGTCTCCCAAAGTTCTGGGTTTACAGGCATGAGCCACTACGCCTGGCTTATATTCTTATCTTTATGCTCACTTGTCTTTTGCCATAGATTTTATGTTGCACATGTAAGACAAATCTTATCTTGCATTACTTCTTTAGTCTTCTCAATGTGATTTGAAATTAGTTTCATGAGGGAAATTTAGAAATTGCTTAGGTTACATCAGTAACACATTTACACATGACTTTTAGTGGCAGAAAGCTTCTACACATGACTAATCACATATGCCATGCTGATTTTATTAACTTCAATTTCAGATTGTGTTTCTAGTTTGGGAATATAAACCATGACATAAATTTTATTAGTAGGATACATCATGATAAGATTGTGTGGTTGCAACCTTTGTTTACTAGGTTTAAATGTCAAAAATATCAGAATAAAATTTATTTTAAATTTCACGAACCAGAATAATCCCCAAAACTACCATTTATCATATCATTAACTTTTCTGAAACCGTTAATGACTCCCCATTAACTGCATGTCCATGTTTGACATTCGAGGCTGTTGCAGCTAACCTGTCTTCAGTTAAACACAATTGTGTTTCTTGCTTACAAGAATGTTTTGATTCACTGAGATTAGTCTTTCTGCCTCTTCCTATACCCACTACACTAATACTATATTTATTCTGCTTTCAAACCTTGGCTCCCTTTACTTTTCTGGCATTTTCTACCCCATGTTCTTCAATGATCCAATTCCAAAAATTCTTTTTCATCTTCAGTTTTAATTTTCACCCTCTCTGATGTGGCTGTGCTTGTAAAATTTCAAGATTAAAAAAAAAGAATGGAAAATTATCACAAAACATGATAAATTTTTAAGTAGAATTTTAATGTTCCTAAACTCTATGCAAAATCACAAGAAATGCTTTCAGAATTAGAATGTATACGGAATATTTCAAAACTTATCTTAAATGTTAAAAGGTTTAGAATTAAATGTTATAAAAGCAATCTGCATTGTTTCTAGAAAATTGAGAAATCCAAGAGTCAGAGGGAAAAAATATTGTCATACTTTTTTGCTATGAGATAATCACTACTATGGCACTTTCTTTCTAGCCTTATTGCCATGGATTTTTTATACCTAATATTGATTTTATGCACACAATACACTGCATATGCAAGGAAGTATTATGTTGTTCATTACTAAATTATGAAGAGTTTGATTATGTTATGTAAATTTGAAAAGGTAAAGGAGAGATAATTTTACATAATTCAGATTTTTCCACTTCTCATTTTATCAATAAACATATGTGCCTAGTGAATATAGATAAGCAATTTTGTTCTGCATTATTTTTCAGATGGTTTCAAGTTCTATGTGCTTATCACTATATATGATTTCGTTGTATATGCATTTATTTAAAATATGGCTTTATAGGAACAAAAACATCTACATTTGATGTTCAAACAAACAACAATCTGTTTAAATGCCGGAAGAACAGCAAACTGCTTAAGAATTATAATGGAATTATATGCATGAATACAGCATTTTATAGGCCACTTAAATTTTTTCAAGAGAATGTTTGACTATATGTAATCTGCATTTTATGTAATGATATTATAATTTACCATTGTAAAGTATATTTCTTCACTGTATTAAATTTTTAGAAATATTTTATATATTTTGTATATTTTGTAAAAACATTACAAAGTCCTTGTACTTGAAAACTGTATTATTTTTTAAGACAATAAATATTCTCCAATAAAATGACAGACAAAATAAAATTGTTGGTAAATTTTTTCCAGTACATGTTGTACAAATTACATGCAATTTTTTTTTAATTCCAGAAGATACATTTTGATAATCTATTAAGTGTTAGGTCATGTGTAAAGAACTAAATACAAAAAGTGAAAAAATAAATGTGGTCTCAGACATAAATTTAACATTACACTATATATATTTCAAATGATTATTATAAGAATGTTTTGAGATTTTTACATAGATGATAGTACATGGACAAACTTGAGCCTGTTAATATTTGCCAAAAAGCCAAAATGAAAATGAAAACATTGCTGAATTCATTCAATATACAGTTTAAAGTTACAGAAAATGACACATTTCTCTGCAATTGAATGTCTACATATTTTTCTCTGCAACTTGGGTTTTATGGAATGAGAGAGAAAATTCTTCTTTGAGAGAAAATTCTTCTTCCAGTACAATGAAGGTACAAGAGTAACAATAAATCGAATATTTTAAATGCTTATCGATATAAAGACAAGGTGTTATTTAAGAATACTGGACTCAATTATGTGACCTACAAAAAAAGTCAAAGCTGAACACTATTACTGGATAAGGCAAGGCCCAACAGAAGGAATTTGCTTTTTATTCTGTTACCTCAGTGTAATACAGATTATACTGGCTATAAAGGCCGTAACTTTTCAAGAGGGTGGCTTATAAGATGAATAAACAATAATCCTTTTTCTTTTAGTTTTTTTGAATTGTCTCAGAATAAAAAGTGTGTAAAGGGTTTATAAAGAAGTTTTTAGTATAAGTTTATTCTAAAATGATAGCACTTTTTGAGAAAATACTTTTTTTTTTTACTCTCTCACTAATGCCGTGTTAGCAGTATTTATTTCCTCTAGAAATAATGCATCAATAAAAACTTAAGTATATGGGTAATTAGTGTGATTTCTTAAAGAAATTAGTTAGGCCACAGGTGAATTATGTATAGTTCACTAACTTTTGAGTGCCAACAATAATATTCTTTACAAGGAACAGAGAAGATTTAGTTAAAAAAAAAGAAAAGTATATGTACAAGAAAAGTAATTACTACTTGGAAGTGGCAATATGAATAGGTTGAAGGGCATCATCAATAAGCAGTGAAATTTGCTTAGGATAATGGACTCTAACTGCATTCATGTTGCTGCAAATGGCATAATTTTGTTCTTTCATATGGCTGTGTAGTAATCCATGGTGTATATCTATTACATTTTCTTTATTCAATCCATCGTTAATGGGCACCTAGGTTGATTCCATGAATTTTCTATTGTGAATAGTGCTGCAATAAACATATGACTGCATGATTTTTTTGGTAAAATGATTTATGTATTTCTTTGGATATACACCTACTAATGAGATTGCTGGGTTGAATGGTATCTCTGTTTTTACTTCTCTGAGAAATCTCCAGATGGCTTTCCACAGTGGCTTAACTAATTTACATTCCCACCAACAGGGTATAAGCATTTTCTTTTCTTCACAGCCTCCCCTGCATCTATGTTGATTTGGACTTTTTAATGATAGTCATTCTTACTGATGTAAGTTATAATTTTGGTTTTAATTCTCATTTCTCTGATGATTAGTGAGGTTGAGCACATTTTCATATGTTTGTTGGTTACTTGTATGTTTTGAGAAGTGTCTGCATATTAACACTAACAGAAAACCAAATATCACATTTTCACTTATAAATGGAAGATAAACATTGGGTACTCATGGACATAAAAATGGCAACAATAGACACTGGGGACTAACAGAGTGGGGAGGAAGGATGTGGGACAATTATTGAAAAACTAGCTGTTGGGTACTATGGTTATTCTCAGGATGATAGAATCATTGGTATCCCAAACCTCAGCATCATGCAACATAAGCATGTAACTAACCTGCACATATACACCCTGAATCTAAAATAAAAGTTGAAATTATTTAAAAAATTTAGAAATAAAAGTATGAAATAACTAGAAAAAAATAGGTGGCAAGAAGCCAATCTTTCAATAAAGATTTCTACATAGAGAAAAAAGAAGCAGCAATGAACATGATATATTTGTAATTAGTTTTGAAAAATAATGTTTACTGGCATAAAAACAGACATCTAAACCAGTGGAACAGAATAGAGAACCCAAAAACAAATCCACACACCTAAAATGAACTTATTTTTGACAAAGGTACTAAGAATAAATGCTGAGGAAAAGACGATCTCTTTAATAAATGGTGTTGGAAAAACTGGATATCCATATGCAGAAGAGTAAAACTATGCCCCTATCTCTCACCATATACAAATATTCAAATCAAAATGGATCAAAGGCTTAAACCTAACATCTCAAACTATGAAACTACTACAAGAAAACATTGGTGAAAATCTCAAATACATTGGTCTGGGGAAATATTTATTGAGCAATACTCCACAACCACAGGCAACCAAAGCACAAATGTACACATGGGATCACACCAAATTAAAAAGCTCTGCACAGCAAAGAAAACAATCAACAAAAAGAAGAGATAACCCATAGAATGGGAGAAAATGTTTCCAAACTACCAACCTTACAAGGGATTAATGACCAGAAATATAAGGAGGTCAAACAACTATAGGAAAATAAAATAAAATAAAATAAAATAAAGATACTAACTCAGAATTAGATCAAAAAATGGGCAAAATACTTGAATAGGCATTTCTCAAAAGAAGAAATATGAATGGACACTGGCTATATTAGTCCATTTTCATAGTACCATAAAGAACTGCCAGAGACTGGGTAATTCACAAAGGAAAGGGGTTTAATTGACCCACAGTTCAGCATGGCTGGGGAGGCCTCAGGAAACTCACAGTCATGGGGGAAGGTGAAGGAGAATCAAGTACCTTCTTCACAAGGCAGCAGGAAAGAGAAGTGCTTGCAAAGGGGGAAGAGTTCCTTATAAAACCATCAGATCTCGTGAGAACTCACTCACTATCATGAGAACAGCATGGGGGAAACCACCCCTATGATTAAATTACCTCCACCTGGTCTCTCCCTTGACACATGGGGATTATGGAGATTATAGGCATTACAGTTCAAGATGAGATGTGGGTAGGGACACAAAGCCTAACCATTTCACTGGTATATGAAAAGGTGCTCAACATCATTTATCTTCAGAGACATACAAGTCAAAACTATAAGGAGATATCTCACTCACTTAAAATGGCTTATATCCAAATGGCAGGCAATAAAAATGCCGGTGAAGATATGGAGAAAAGGGAATACTTACCCACTATTGGTGGGAATGCAAATCAGTATAACAATTATGAAGAACATTTTGGAGGTTCCTCAGAAAACTGAAAATTGAGCTACAATATGATCCAGCAATCCCACTGCTGGGTATACACGCAAAAGAAAATAATCAGTATATTGAGGGGATATCAGCATTCTCATATTTGGTGCATCACTGTTCACAATAACCAAGATTTGGAAGCAACCTAAGTGTCCATTAGTAGATAAATGGATAAAGAAAATGGGATATGTATACACAATGGAGTACTATTCTGCCATAAACAAGAATGAGATCTTGTCACGTGCAACAACATGGAAGGAACCGGAGATCATTATATTTATTGATAAAAGCCGGGCTCAGAAAAACAAACATCGCATGTTCTCCCTTATTTTTGGGATCTGAAAATAAACAAATGAACTTATGGTCATAAAGAGTAGAAGAATAGTTACTAGAAACTAGGAAGGGCAGTGGGCGAATGGGGGCGCAGGGAGGAGGTGGGGATAGTTAAGAGGTACAATAAAAGTAGAATGAATGAATAAGACCTAGTATTTGATAGCACAACAGGGTGAATATATTCAAATAATAACTTAATTGTATGTTTTAAAATAACTAAAAGAATATAATTAGATTGTTAGTAACACAAAGGATAAACACTTGAGGGAATGGATGCCCCATTCTCCATGGTGTGATTATTGGACATTGCATGCTTGTATCAAAACATCTCATGTAGCCCATAAATATATACACCTACTATGTACCCATAAAAATAAAAAATAAAAAGTAATATATAATGTTTAATATATATCAGAATAAATAATACATTCTTAGTTACAAAGTTATTTTAAAATTTAAAATAGAAGCTAAAATGTCCAGTGATAATGATGTACTTGATGATCAAAATTAAAGTTCATTTTGGGTGATATAAGTTAAGAACAAGAACTTATTACTCAAATGAAAGGGAAGAACTTACTGGGAAGAACTTACTGCTCTCTACATCCATTGAATGCCCTAGGAAAGACAAAACCATAATCTGGGTAATTAGAAAGTTTAATCTTACTTAAAATTATTTTCTCCTTTAAGCTCAATGGTTAGTTCTTAGAAATATTCTGAGATTGGGTCGGGCGCGGTGGCTCACAGCTGTAATCCCAGCACTTTGGGAGGCCGAGGCGGGTGGATCACGAGGTCAGGAGATCTAGACCATCCTGGCTAACACGGTGAAATCCCGTCTCTACTAAAAATACAAAAAAATTAGCCGGGTGTGGTGGCGGGTGCCTGCAGTCCCAGCTACTTGGGAGGCTGAGGCAGGAGAATGGCGTGAACCCGAGAGTTGGAGCTTGCAGTGAGCCGAGATCGTGCCACTGCACTCCAGCCTGGGCGATAGAGCGAGACTCCGTCTCAAAAAAAAAAAAAAAAAAAAAGAAAAAAGAAAAAAGAAAAGAAAAAGAAATATTCTGAGATCGCATATCCCCACTTCTGTAACAAGGATAGAAATAATGAGATAAGAGGACTGCTGCGGGCATCTAAACATTATTATTTTAAAAATTTAGAACCATTTCATTTGTCTTTGCATACTTAGAAAACATCCATTTTCAAAACCCAAATAATCAGACTACATCACAAGAGACGAACTGTTTTCTTTTGTAGAAAAGAAATGCTGGATGCTAAGTCCAAAAGATATAAAAGTTATTTTATACTAATACCTACTAACATTTTACTTATTAAGATTTTAAAGTCAGAGATTTTACAATAATCTTTAAATGATTAATATTTCTTTTTTAATTTTCTTTGTAAACAATATTTGAATCTTGAAATACTAAACTTTACAAGCAATATTAAATAGTATATACATCTGAATTAAGATCTTCAAATGTACTAGAATTGCAGACATTGGGAAAACAGGAAAAAACACTCAGCTGCATAAAGCAGTACATTCAAAATTAAGGAGCAACTGAGAGTGTTTAAAGTACATATTCAACTCTAGTCTAATGTCTGCTATAAATAATGTCTCTTTTCATTAAAACACAAATTGTTCATGAAAAAAATAAGCATGTTGCATTAGGGAATAATCATCATAATTTTACTCCTCGAGTAATTAGTTGTGCCTGGGATTTTATTGGTTCTCTTTTTATGTCCTTATGTCCTTGATAATTTCTTTCATGTGTTTTTTTTTCCTCTGAAATTATTTTCCTACGGAAGCAGAGGTGGTTACATTACATGTATCACTGAATATAGAACCATGCAGTGCAGTAATAGTTACATGTAAAGTACATTTTAGTTTCAAGAATATTAGCTATTAGAAAGAAATGGTACAAATATATTTTTATGAAGTGAAATTAATATAATTTTAAAAATATATTGATGAAAATGCCTCATCTTCTCACTAAAATAAAAGTTGTGGAGTAGCTACATTTAAGGTTTTTTGTTTGTTTTTTTTTTTTTTTTTTTAGAAAACTCATAAAACAGCAACATTTCTGAACTTCATTTGTGGACAAGAACATTCACAATATATTCCTTCAAATTCCACTGTGGTTAGTTCTGAGAATAGTGTTGTGCCAATGTCCCAAAGGCATGACTGGTGGTGTTCTTTATTTTTTTTTTCCAGCTACTAAACTTGTGTGGTTGTCATGGACTCATCTACAATACTGTGGATAATAGTGCAGGAGATGCCCTAAGGATTTGTTCCCACAGTATGAAGACGGAGATTAGCTGTTTCTCTTCTGGCTTATTTCAGAGTGCATACCCAGTTAGGAGGACTAGGTTACTAAAACATTCATTTTGGCTATCTTCATTTATCAAATCTTCATTTGACATATGTCGACAATCTTATACTGAGAATAAAATCCTAAAATTTTCAGCAATAACATCACAGAATGTCATACATCTATCTTCTTTGTGTGTTTATTATAGAACATTTCTTTCCAGGAAATTATGGCAGATATTTGTAAAGTAAAGTATCAAGAGAGCTTTTAGATGGCAATTACAGCTTAACTACATAGGCTGACAATGACAGTGCCACATTTACATCAGCTATTACAATGCCTTCATTACAACATTGTTTGTCTCTCAATATCACCATTCTGCCTCCTGATTTTAGTGAGATTTTGTTCATACAACTTTATGCTATAAATTTAATGTTTGGTACATAACACTGAACTTGGTTTCCTAACAATTCTACACAATCTTTTCCAACTAAATCCTTTTAAAATTAAATAACTACGTAATGTGTATCCTCTGGCGAGGTATCTGCAACCAAAGGAAAATTCCAGTTGATGGATTTGAATCTGGCACAATATCCTTAAATTCCACTGCAATTGAAATGACATGAAAGTAGAAACAATCACAGCAAATTGAATAAACTTATGCAAAGCACAAATTGTATTTTTTTTCCTTACAATTACAAGAATCAATCTTCCTTTCATCATTTTCATCTTGTCAAACTAGAACTCTGAAACTCTGGATGAGTAGCAAGTGACTGGTAGCTTGAATCATCAGTTGAGTTGAACTTAACTTCTGATATTGTTTATATTCCCTGTAGATAGTTACATTTCTTACCATGCCAAGAAGGATAGGAAGCTTACATCTGTTTTATATGGATGGTTTTTGAAAAAATATATATAAAATTTTGATGTCTGTTTGTAAAGTTTATTGTGGAGACAGAGGAAATAATAGTAGACCACAGAAATAGCTCATTAGGAAGTACTGAATGTCACCATTTGAAATCAAGAAAACTGCTTGTTTGGAATTCTATAGCAAAATGGAAAGACTGATTTGGATGACAGCAGCAGTGGAATAACAGTCCTAAATTTTATTATTTGATGAAGGATTTAGTGCCAGGGCTCCTAATGCTAATGCTTGAATGATATAAACACACACTTGTATCCTATTTTTCCATTCTTGCTCCAGCAAGTATGTGAAATCACCCACAGTCAGTGACAGCTAATAATGCATAATGCCACCATCTCTACTTACATACAGACTGGAGAGGAAAGTAAGTCTCTCACAGTCAAGCTCATTACTTGTGAATCAATTCTCAGACTGAGAATTCCACTTACCGCGTATGACTGAGTTCTTGACCTCTTCCCTGTAAGATTATTTTCTGCAAGTGCTCTGGATGCTTGTTTTTACTCTCAACATGCCCCTGTATCATGGATATCAGGTTTCTTTTACTCACTCATTAAATATTGCATGAGTATTGTGTGCCATGCATTGTTACAGGAACTGGGGAAGTTTTTACTTTCTGAGAACTTTCATCCAAGTAACAGGTGATAGAAATAAAATAAAACATACCTATGTTCTGTAAGATAGTGCTAAATGATGTGAAGTACAATAAATTCAAAAAGGAGTTAGAAGATGTGGTAGAGGTTGTAACTTTACCTACATACAGTGATCAAGAAAGGCCTGCTCATCTGCTGTGGAAACATTTGAGCAAAGACAGGAAGGAGGTAGGAAAGTCAGTAACTGACATTTACAGAAGCACACTCCAGGCAGAGAAAGAAAGTGCAAAGGAACTGCAGGAGTGTGTGATATGCTTAAATAATAAGGTTGTCAGTGGGATGGTATGTAATATGTAGTGTGAAAAACAATTAAGTCACAGTAGTAATGGGGGAAGATTCATAAGATGTCATGCCACGTAGAATTATATTCCCACTTATGGTCTCCACGGATTCCTTTTCACCTTTTTGGCCAGAGATTCATGTTTTGGCTGTCTATTCATCTTTTAGACTTCTAAACTCTGTCTGATCCCCTCAATAATGTAGGTTTCTGAACGTAAATACTCGTACTCTATTTCTTTACTTATCTTACTTTTTTGCTAGGTTAAATGAAAAATTTTCTTTGAAAGTACAGGGAATATGAGTAACACTGAAATAAGTAAAAGCATGATAATAGCTAGTTATGTAGAATAGTCTTGTTATTTTAAATAGATTATGAAGAGGTTATTTCCTACTCAAATTAAAAGTAGCAAAAATAACAAAACCTAAGACTGAGATAACACAGTTTAGGGTGCTTACTGTGGGGGCATTCACTAAGGAAATGAAAAAAGGAATAAAAATCTTCCCATGTCATGGCAATGATCTCATTGAGGCCGGGCATGTGACTCACACCTGTAATCCCAGCACTCTGGGAGGCCAAGGCGAGTGGATAACATGAGGTCAGGAGTTCAAGACCAGCCTGGGCAATATGATGAAACCCTCTCTCTACAAAAAATACAAAAATTAGCTGGGTGTGGTGGTGTTGCGCCTGTAGTTCCAGCTACTCCAGAGGCTGAGGCAGGAGAATCGCTTGAACTCAGGAAGCAGAGGTTGCAGTGAGCTGAGATGGCACTACTGCACTCCAGCCCGGGCAATGGACAAAGACTGCATCTCAAAAACAAAACAAAACAAAAAAACCTCATTGAAGTCTGGAGTCTCAATGCATGATGTTGGAGGGGGCCACCCAGTTACACACATATTCTTGATTACCTGTAGAAATATTTTGCAACCTGGTAAGAAAAGCAGAATAACCAGTTGATAGAAGTAATCAAGTTATTAAGGCTTATCAACAATGTAACTGAGCATAGGGTGTACTGTCTGAGAATTGGGTCTACTGCAGCCAGGAAAATGTTGAAAAACTGAGTTAAGGCAGAATGAATGAGCCACAATGAAGTCTTAATTTATGGAAAGTGATTTCTGTTTAACCATCTTAATAAGAAACACAGCATAATTCTGCAAATTAGCTGAATAAATTTAGGTAGCAGAAATCAACTTGTCAAAATTCCACCATAATCATCAGCACCATTTACTTAGATTGAACACTCTTAATATTAGACATTTTAAATATGATAACAGACCAATTTAATATGTATAAGAGAATTATGACAAAAGTAATGAGAAACAAATTAATATATTAGAAGTTGAATACAACTCTTTGGTTATAATCTTCATAGAATAGCCATGATTAGAATAGAGCTAATATAGCATAGAGAGAATATCTATAGCATAGAAGTGATGAAGAGCATGGGCAAGTGACAGTAGTTCATGAACAAACAAAACATACCTAAAAGTCAGCCTCACTTTTCTTTATCTATTAGCCTATTGAATTAGCATGGTTGATACCTGTATAACTATCCTAAATGTGTCTGTATCTATTGTCTCTTCTTTTTTAAGGTTTGTAACATTTGGTAGAGTCTCAAGTATAATGCTACTTGTTGTGAAGGCACACTTCTTTAAAATAATATCGTCAATGTTAATGATTAAAATATTCAATATGGAAATTTCCCTGATTTTCCTAGACTAAGGATCTCTTCTTTTCTCATCATATATATTTACGTCAGTTGGTGCTAAATGTTGTGAAGTAGAATAAATTTATAAAGGAAATAGAAAATGTGGAAGTTGCAGTACACACACACACACAGATATATGAAATATACACATACACTGTGATTACATATATATACACATATGCATATACATACACTTAAATATGCACACACAAACCACATGGTTATAATTCCACATCATATCTCATATTATAGATGATAATTTCTTGATGGTTTCAAGTCACATATTTGTTTGTTTTCCTATTGTTTCTCCACTTTCTCACTCCACAAATAGATGCACATCTTGAGATTATATTACCTAATTGCAAGTACTCATTTACAATTTAAAGTATATATGGGTATTATGCCATAATAATTTCATCTTGATCACAGGGTTGAATGGTATTACCATTTTTATTATACATAACCTTGACCAGGTGGTATTAACACCAATGATGTAGATGGGATTCTTAATGAGATCTTGTGTTTTAAGAAAGCAGGAAGCTGAAGGTAGATATATGAGCTAGTATTTAAGAAGCAAATATTGGAGATCAAAGGTAAATAACAAGAAATAAGGGAAACTCAGAAGTATTCAGCGTCAAGGAAAACAGAAGGTTTATACTTTATGCAGAAGAGAGTGGTGAGGTATATGAAGCATTGATGAAAGTCAAGTAAGATGAAGTTTTGAATGTGCCTACTCAATGTAATGGCATGGAGGTCATTTTGGACTTCATTTATTTATTTATTTTGAAATGGAATCTCACCTTGTCGCCCAGGCTGGAGTGCAGTAGCGCGATCTTGGCTCACTGCAACCTGCCTCCAGTGTTTAAGCGATTATCCTGCTGCTGCCTCTCGAGTAGCTGGGATTACAGGTGCGCACTACCACGCCCAGCAGCTTTTTTTTTGTATTTTTAGTAGAGACAGGGTTTCACCATGTTGATCAGGCTGGACTCGAACTCCGGACCTCAAGTGATCCGTCTGCCTCGGCCTCTCAAAGTGCTGGGATTATAGGCATGAGCCTCTGCTCCCAGCCCATTTTGGACTTTAAATGAAGCTTTTTTAATCGATTGATGGAGTTAGATTTCTGTTTACAATGTGTTGTGTAACAAGTGGGATATAAAGAAATGAGATAATATGTGTAAACACAAGAACTTATTAGAAATTATTCTAGGGAAAAAAAGGAAGAGATAGTATCTGAAGAGGAGAATTATGTTGTTTTGTCTATAAACAAAGAAGTGAATATCTGAGTAAAAATAGATTTATAGATTTGAGGATTAAGGTGGTGACTGTTTCATTGATTTCCATTTTCTATAAGGAATAGGTGATTAGATCATATGCCAAGAGCGAAGATAGAGCTACTGGATTAAAGACTTGAGATATAGAGAAGTTATGAAATAGAAATTTCAGAAATTTGAAGCAAATGGTTACTAGGAAAAGAGAAAAACTATGGAACAGTATTGAAAGCCCAGTATAAGTCCACCCAGTTTGTGATATTCTCTGGAAGTGCTGATCATTTTGGATCAGTTTTGAAAGGACTAAACATTATTGCCTGAAACATAGGGACTACAAGGGTCATTTCTTTTGCTTATAACATCAGGCATAAAGATAGCACTTATGGTCATTTAATCCCTTATCATTGTCCCTAATGCAATTTTGCACTTGAATGATCTTGAGAGAATAGCTGTTCTTTCCACCAGAGTGTGATGCTTTCCTAATGAACACCTGTGCATGATATAATAAATGATTCATTGAATTGCCCACACCAGGAATCAAATTCTGATCTATGAGAACTATTTCACAATCAACCAACCTCTACTAAAATATGCATTGTTGCTTGCCTTGTGGAACTAAAAGAAAGCAGAAATAGAAAGAGAAACTTTTTTGTTGTGAATTAATGAGAACTAGACATGAATGTTCAATATAAGGAAAATGCATGCCATGTTATTGCTTGTCACTTCTCTGGTTGTCACGGTGATTCGAAGCAAAAGTTGGTATATAATTAAGCAAAGATATTTGTACATATTTACTTTATACATAGAAGTAGGAAAAGAAAGTAAGCATGCCAAAATGCCATAAAGGTCGCTTTAGAAAATATTGTAAACTTTTTCTCCTTAAGAAAATGGTTACTCATTTTTAATGTGTGAAGGAATCACCTTTGGATTATTTTAATAATGCAGAATTTGACTTGGTTACTTAGGAGATGGGAAAGAGGAATCTGCATTTTAAGTAATCATACTAGCTTTTTCTGATATGAGTGGTGTAGAAATTATACTTTGAAAAACAGAACATCAGAGTTATTTACTGTATTTTATAGTATGCCATACTTTATTATTTCATTCTACTTTATGATATTTTAAATAATGTAAATTATACTTTTGTGATGCAATAGGTCAGAAAATGCAGGAGTAGTCACTAATTCATTCTTATCCCACTCTAGACCTCTTTGAAGACCTTCATGGGGTAGTGTTGCTAACATAATACATAACATTTCATGCTTCTATCTATGCATACACACACAGAAAAATTATTATTTTTTAAAAAAGTAAACACACACACACACACACACACACACACACACGCATGGTTTCTATTAGAATGAAGCAAAAATCCATGGCAATATATGCAGATATGGACAGGCCACCAACAGCTATATTACTCACATGCAATAAAAATATGTGTAAAGTAATAAAAAAAAGATAAAGGAATGCATGGCTAACCAGATAGTAGCAATTTCTATAGTCCTCACTGGCCATTAAAAGAACAGTAAAGACTAATAGTGATTAATCTAAACTAAAAGATCTATAGACTGTACCTTGTTTAAGGGCAAGGAGACAGAATAATAATCGGTGGGCTATATGAATGTCTGAAAGCAAATTACTCTTTTTGGACAAAGCCCTCCACCATTGAATATCAATTGGATAGAGTATTCAAAATGATCAGGATGGTTGCAAAAGAGAAAATAAGGATACTTTCTAGATAACTTGGGAGGGGGTTAATAGTGGAGGACTATCTCAGTGACTACAAGACCATAGCTCTAACATACAATTAAAACAACAAAAGACATCTCTAGAGTCATGAAAGTAGAGAAGCTAACTTAGGAAAAGTTAGCTACCTGACTCTAAAAGTGTTGATAATGTTCATTGTCTTTTAGATAGGTAACAGAAAAAAAATCATAGTTACTTCTCATACAAGTTATTTTATGGAAATATAAAAGATCAGAAGACCACACAAAAAGGATTGGAGCAAATCAGGAAACAATGAAAATAACGCTTCTCCAAAACATAAGAGTATTGTAAAGTAATATTTTCAATGAGCAAAATAAAAGCTATGAAAAATAACGTACCAGAATTAGAAAAAAAATCAGACATTAGATGATTAGAGAAAAAAATTAAAAGTGAGGTGAATTCACTTAGCTAATAAAAAAGAAAATGATTATTTAAGAAGACAACCACCAAGAGAATAATAGGGAATAACCCCAGCCTTACAGAACTAAAAGATGACTAAGGAAAAAAATGATATAACAAGTAAAACTAACAAAAATGTAGTAAGCACTAACAATTATAGATAGAAAACACAGATAAATATTATATACACATTATATATATTATATATATATATAATATATATATATATTATATATATATATATAATATATATATATATATATATATTCATCCAGGAAATCAAATATAAATTGATATTTAACAGTGAAGGGCTTTGTCCAAAAGGAGTAATTTGATTCTAGATATTGATATAGTCTACCAATCATATGTATATTTTCAGTAAATCATATGCATATGATATATATAATACATGATCATACATACATAATCATATATATGTATGAGGGTTCCTGAATAAGAGAAACAATCACCATTAACAGAAACATAGCATTATTGTAATATATGTAAAATTATCTGAAATTTCAAAAAGTTCTTGAAACCATATAAGCTTTTAAAGGATAGACCTAGTATCTGGGAAAATTGAACTACGTAGCCAAGAGAAAAATATGTCCAGTAAAATGACTGATCTTTAAATATAAATAAATAAATAGATAAATAAATAAATAAATGGTTTGAACGTCTAGGCAAAAAGGCTACGTCACTTGTGAAAGAAAAATACCAGATCCATATCCTCATAGGTTTTTCAAGAAGAAAATATACATGATTTTGCTTTAATTGAAATAAATATATATTTATTTTTATATGCATATTTATCTATGTATTTATATTTTTTAATTTAGCCAAACTGATCTTCAATTATTAAAATTCAAAGACTACTTTTTATAAACATTCAATAACTCAGAATTTTTTTCCTATTCATCCTTTGCTAGCACCTACTCAAGAACAAACTTAAACCTCCAAAATGGCTACAGAGACATCTTCTTATGGACTGGTGGATTTTCAGAAGCCCACTAAATATGTGATGAGAAGAAAACTACACAACAAATAGTGTCAGATGATTTAACAACATTTCCATTCTGTTTTCATTACTAATGAGGACCAGATATCTTTCATCTGATTCATTCTAAACTCTACATTGGATCTCAAAGAGCAGAAAGTTAAAAGATAGTTATCCCTTTGCTTTCAAAACCATTGCAGTGTCTTTAAATTCTTTGACATTTCTAAATAAGCTTTAAAAGTTTCAGAATATTTACAGAAATACTGAAAAATAAAGAGTTCCCATATAGCTCACAATAAATTTCCCCATATTATTAACATCTTGCACTAGTATGGCATTTTCACAATTAATGAACCAATATTGACATATTATTATTAACAAAGTACAAACATGCTTAAGATTTCCTAAGGTTTTACCTAAAGTCTTTTTTCTGTACTAAGATCCCATCTTGGGAGCCAAGTTACATTTCGTCATTTTGTCTCCTTCGTTTTCATTTGGCTGTGACAGTTTATGAGATGTTTCTAGTTTTTTGGTTAAAAAAATAACATAATTAAGTGATGCTTATGAAGTACAGTATAATGGATGTAGAATAGAATTGGATAGAAAAAAGTGAGAAAACAGGTGCATCAAATATGACTCCTGTATCACCAGATAGTACAGTTATATCAAAAGCAAAGAACTAGAAAGAATCTTGTCTTTTTGTTTGATTGTTGTTTGTTATTATTATTTTGTGCTTATTTTTACATGGGTAGGAGTGCAGACAATACTTTTGAATTTATATTTTATTTGGATAAGTTGTTAAGATATATATATGAGATATGTAAATGTAAATTTGTATTACTCATTTTATTTAAACATATATAAAACTGCAGAAATATTTAGCATTTATTAGAACATTTAAAAGTTTTCAGAAATATTATAAAATGCAGAATTTTTATTGTAATTGTTACATTATTTTTTGTAAAAATCTATAAAACTTTAGAAATATATTTACTGATTTATTTAGTAAAATTTGAGACATGTACACAAAAGCCTTAATGCTCTCTTTAAAGTAAAGATACTTGAATCCAATCTTTTACAGATGTGAAAAGAGAGGCTCAGGAAATCAAAACATCTTGACTGAAGCCACTGAAAATTAGTTGGCAGTCATGAAATTGACATGGTAAGAGAAAAGCCAATATCCTGACTATGTCAAAGGCTTGTTGTCTCTATTGCTTCTCATGTAGTAGAATATCACATCACTGAGTTTATGTTCTACTTTCAGAAGTATTCAGCACCTATGTAGTCTGCTTGTGGTAATTCTTCAAGGCAAAACATAGGGTTAAAATTAAAGTTCTGATTTGTCATAAATATTTCTTTTCTCATGTAAATAAATATATAGGCAGACTCAGTAACCTTTAAATATTTGCATGTGATCTAGCTATAGTTTTATCTTTCAAATATATATGTATGTTAATGACCTTTAATATTTCAAAGGTTTTAGAATATAACAAAATTTGTCAAACATCAAAAATGATGTCATTTTAAAATTCCATTTAAATTTTTATGCTGTAATCACTGCGATCAGATTTTATGTCTCTAAAAAAATTAATGTAGCATTTGTTAATTCTCATCTGAAACATACATGTCATATTTTAAATCTAATATGTATTTTAATAGCATGTATGTGGCATATAGACATAGACGAAAGGATGTTCTCTATGTTTATTTCCACTTAGTGTTTTAAATAATGACATTATCATAAAACATGCCATGAAATGTTCTGACATTGCGAATACTCATTTTGAAATATGCTATTAAAATTTAAATTAATATGATTTAATAAGTTTGTAATTCTGCCAAAGGCTCTCTCACACATTCTCCCTAAGATATAACTGGTAGAATGTAAGTTATTTATTCTTATAGTACTTCACAAATAGTCTTTTAAATATAGTAAAAAAGTTTAATACAAATATCAATAAAACATGAAAAGTCTAATAAATAAGTAAAGTGATTGTGACTGTCTTATATTTCTTAAAATCTATATAGAAAAGAAGAAAATTTAACTCTGTTCATTTAAGGACACATTAAACAGTGGTGGTAATTATCATATTTTAGAGAAGTTAAAATCTACATTGATGCAATTATCAATGAAGGGTACTGCCTGTTGCTCTAAACTCCATAGAGATATTAAATCCAAACTGTCTTAATATTTTTAAGGATGATTTATATTATTGAGGTTATTGATTACTTATTGTGCTCCAGGCAACAAACTTTTTACACCTCTGATTATTCTATTGTATGCTTTATGGATTATAAAATTTGCCGTGGAAATGTAAATTAAGAATTAGAACTTTTGAAATAAAAGATTCAAAGTGAGAAAAGTTTATAAGGCTAATATATCCGAGTAGAGAATATAAAATAAGCACTATACTATTAGTTTTAGGTGCACTAATGCTTTCCAATACAAAAGTCTAATTTTATAAAATTTACATTTTTAGACTAGAGGGTACAAGTACAGTTCCTGTGACCCTCTTTAGCTGCCTTGGACAGTCCTTTTCTGAATTATAATATTTCTTCATTTTCATTCATTCCACTACATAAAATACAAAAACTAAAATGATAGCCATTTCCAGGTCTCTGTGTACTCATAATGCCCTTCTAAAATGTATCATTCGCTATGGTAAAATGTGTCTTTTAGGTGATGAGGTTTCCAATAAACTCGCATAATATTTATTTTCTGTGCACACCTTTACTTTGTATTCCTAATAGGCTTTTTTGGTATGAAAATCTAGCCTCATGTTATTTCACCTGTTTCTAGAAATTAGATTAGAGATTTTCATAACCCTTTAAAGTATATTGTAAAGGCTGAATAGCAAGTGAATGGGGAGCAGGAAAAAGGAAGAAGGTCCATGTGGTAATGAATATGTGTAAGAGTTGGGGGTAGTCATTACGTAATAAGTATCCTTTACCTTGAATTAACACTTTGTAGAACGACTGGCATATTGGGATGCTCAAAATTATTTATTTAATGAACAAATAATTGGGCTAACAGAACTTAAATTTCAAACGCGGCAACTTTGAAAGTTGTATCTGGAAAAATAAGCAAGGAGTTGATCTTTGAAAATGAGATACTATTTCAAAATACTTAATAAAGAGAAAAAGATACAGAGAAAAAAACATAACTAGGTGGAACACCTAAATATACAGAAAAAGACCCATATAAAAAGAAGCTGGAATGAGCAGCCTATGAAGTAAGGAGAGAATCAACCAACGATAAATCAGGGCAGATTTCAACACATTCTGGCTTTTGCCTTCAGCACTAAATATATTATTCCTTTTGTGAGCGTGTGTATTTTTTCACTCTCCATTTATTTATTTATTAGTTGACAAACAATAATTGTATCAAATTGTCCCCAAAGCTGTCCTTATGTGCTGTTTCACATTCCTTGGCTTCAGTTAACCTGGTCAAGTGTGGTTCAAAAATATTAAATAAAATATCTAGAAATAAACAATGTATACGTTTTAAATAGCATACCACTGAGTATTATGATGAAATCTGGTGCCATGCAAACAAACAAACAAACAAACAAACAAAACAAACAAAAACAAAAAAACATCCCTTTGCTCTTCATATCCATGCTGTATAGCCTATCTGCCCCTTTGTTACTTAATAGCAGACTCACTTATAGGATGGACAGATCACAAGAAGAATAAGGGTGAATACAGCAAAATAAGATATTTTGAGAAAGAGAAAGAGACTACATTCACATAACTATTATTAAAGTATATTATAATTTATTATAACTTGTTGTTTTTTCTCCTATTGTGCTTAATTTAGAAATTAAATTATTATAGGTATGTATGCAAAGGAAAAAAATGACAGTATATATAGGGTTAAGTGATATCAATATCCATGGTTTCAGGCATCCACTGAGTGTCTTGGAGTATGTCCCCCAAAGGGGTACCACTGTATTTTTAGAATACAGTGTGATGTTTTGATACATGTGTACACTACGGAATAATTAAATTTGGCAAGCTATTTTTAAGAAGATCACCAATAACCTTCACATTAGTACATGTGATGGGCCATATTCAGTTTTCACCTTAATTGTCCTGCTAAAACCATTTGATACATCGTTATTCCTTTTTTGATACATTTTTACCTAAATCCTAGTACATTATAATGATCTTACTTATCTTCCTATCTTACTGTTCACCCATTTTCAGTCTTCATTACTGTTCCTTCTCCTTATTATCTTAATTCTGGAGACCCCATGATGTCAGATTTAGGTGCTTTTGTGTTTCTTTTGGTGATGTGAAACCTTGTTGTTCTATATATCATCTATATTTTGCCCACTTTTAACTTTTTATTTACAGGCCAGACATCTCCTCTAAGAACCAGTCACATAGTCAGCTTCTCGTTTGAATTTCTAATACTTTGCTGTTCAGAATTTGGTGCAAGCATGAGCGATGTCAACATTGCTCGGAGAATATTAGAAATGCATTTTTCTGAGCCCCACTCCAGAACGCTGAAATTTAAATCTGCATTTTAAAAATATCTCAGGATAATTGTATGAATATAAAATTTGATAAGTATTCATTTCATAGCCCAAAGTTAATAAATCAATAACAAAATATTGATCATACTATGCTGGTTCAAGTTATTATCTTTGTTTCAGTTGAAGAAAATTTCTTGATTGCAATCGCCAAGGCTAAATAAGTTAAAATGGCTCATACTTCCTTTGTTTTTCTCTGACATGCCTTATTCAAGCCGTCGGAAAATCCTCACAGCTTCTCCATTAAAATATATCTAAAACCTATACCCTCACATCACCTTCACAACCTTCACTCTGTTCAGAACCCCTATAATAATCTCCCTAGGATTACCAACCTTTCAGTAGATCTTTCTTCCTGCCCTCCTACAGTTTTCTAAACACATGAGTACGATTTCTTTAAAATATAAATCAAATCACACTATCTCTCTGTTCATATCCTGAATTCCTGTCCACACCACTCAGAGAAAACTCTGTAATCCTTACTATGGTTTTCTGTCTGATTATACCTGGATCTAAACACAAACATTTTCTGCAATTCATGAGGCCACTTCACTTGAGCAAAACCACCCTCCCTATTGTTTGTTATTTTACCTCTAGACATTTTGTTCCCATGGGATCTTAGTAATCCCTCTTGCCATTGCCTGGAAACCTGTACCTCCTCACAGCCACTTAGCAAACTCTCTCACTTCTTTTAATCTCTTGTTCAAATGTCTTTTGCTTCATGACAAGCCTGCATATTTATACTTTTCTTAATTTAGCAGGTCTAATGCATATTGGTGTCTCCTCTTCCCAGATGCCAGCTCTGTTAGGGCAAAGACTACTATCTACTTGCTTTATGAATCTATCCAAAGTGCATATTAACAGTAGCAAGGACATAAGGTGCTCTTAATATTTATTAAAGGAGTTAATGGTTTTCAAAAAGTAGTCATTAACCAAATGTGGATGTGATTACAGAAATTTTAATAAATTGATAGAGTGTAGCTTTCTGAAATGTAAATCAGAAGAAAAGTATGCACTATTGACAACTTATTCAAGACACTTACCTAGCATAATAGGTATTTGTTCTTTGCCCCACACATCCATAATTTATTATTTAATCAGTAGTCCAATGCTTTTTCTTTGTGAAATATACCTCTCCTACAATCTCACCAATATTTATCTCACACCAGCCTTAAAAGTCATCTCAAGCTAGTAACTAGTATGTATTTCCCACACCCATAGCCAGGTGACTCCTTCAGGGGTTGGCAAGTAACAAAATAGAGTCCATGCCTGTGACTGACCTATATTTGTGTTGGGAACAGGCCCCCCAAAACCTGGCCATAAACTGGCCCCAAAACTGGCCATAAACAAAATCTCTGCAGCACTGTGACATGTTCATGATGGCCATGACGCCCACGCTGGAAGGTTGTGGGTTTACCAGAATGAGGGCAAGGAACACCTGGCCCACTCCAGGGCGGAAAACTGCTTAAAGGTGTTCTTAAACCGCAAACAATAGCATGAGCCATCTATGCCTTAAAGACATGCTCCTGCTGCAGATAACTAGCCAGTCCCACCCCTTTATTTCGGCCCATCCCTTTATTTCCCATAAGGAATACTTTTAGTTAATCTATAATCCATAGAAACAATGCTTATCACTGGCTTGCTATCAATAAATACGTGGGTAAATCTCTGTTTGTGGCTCTCAGTTCTGAAGGCTGTGAGACCCCTGATTTCCCACTCCACACCTCTATATTTCTGTGTGTGTGTCTTTAATTCCTCTAGCACCGCTGGGTTAGGGTCTCACGGACCTAGCTGGTCTCAGCAGTTTGAATTCCAAAGATGGAAATGTGTCTTGTGTTTCCCAAGTTATAGTGTTTAAAAACATGAAATCTTTAGCTCTTATGTCTATTATTTCACTATGTAGGAAGCAGCCTTGTGGAAAGACTGAAACATGGGCATAGTCAGTCTATAGTGTCAGACAAAATGCAGCTGGTCACTTCCATTGAGCTTTCCTATCAAGCCAATCCAGAAGTAGGACTTACATTTGATTTTAAGTTGCATGAGATAGATATTTCATTTTCTGTTTAAAACAGTATAAGACATAACTTGCAAAAGAAAGTCTTAATTTCAATACAGATATGATAGGGAGAATAGGCATTCTGAGATGCTAGAAGGGGTGTATATTCTGAGGTCTTTTAGTTTATTTCATTAATTTTTAAGGTGAGATATAGTTCAGATTCTTTAGGCATAACTGAAAATGAGAGACTAGAAAGGAAAAGGTTAAGCATATCAAATATGTATGGGATTTTTGACAAAATTGAGTACTCAGGGGAGTAATAAGAGATGGATGTGACATCAGGCTTGGTGTTAGATGGGGGAGTAATAACATTTCCTAAAGTACTGGGAACAAAGCTGGATGGATTAAAAAAAAATGAGTGGGATTTATTTGTCCTGATAGTGACGTTAGAGTTTAGGAACTATTACCATTTACATTATGTAGTAAAATTTGGAAATTATTCAATGTTTTTTATTAAGGGAAGAATCTGAATGAAAATATTCTATATACTTAAGACTTGAGAAAGACAAGCATGGGGGATAATGGTATTGGAAAGAAAACCTGTATGGAAGCAGTTGTAATCATCAAGTCATGAAAAAAGAGGGTCAAAACTCAAGAAAACATATAAGAAATGGAAATGAAGGGGTTGACAAAAGGAATGTCACTTTGACATGTGCCATTCATATCCTTTTGGGCCTTATTCATATTAGGAATATTTCAAGCTCATTGAACAGAAACTACGATATCTATTGGGTTGTGTGCTGTGCAAAACCTATTTTCTATGCTCAATAAATGTTCAACCATAATATCAATGAAGAAATACTTGACATAAGCACAAAGACTTTATGTAGGAGGAAATCATTTGTAGAATCATTAATTAACTCTGTCTTTTGAATAATTTTCCATCTTTTTCCATTTTTCTTGTTAGGGAAATGGCATCTCCATTCATCAAATAGATATTCAATGTCAGCAAATCACCCTACTAAGAACCAGGGTGACAAGAATAAGTTCTTAAAAATAAATCTAGAAATTAAAAATATGCAATGCTTTTTACAGTTGTATGGAGTAGTAAATAATGCATCCATAAGTGTAGACAGATGTTGAATTACATAGACATTTAGAGTAGAAACAATAACACTTTTGCCTGGAGTGCTTAAAAATGACATTTTGAAATAAGCAAGATGTAAGCTAGCTAGAGCTTGAAGAGTAGAATTTAGAGAGGGAAAATTGTGGAAATAAAGCAGTTTCACATTTAAGGGTAATGGTGTGATAAAAGAATAGTGGTGAAAAATGCAATCAAAATATAATGTATAAAGCTGTGCAGTTTCAATGTTTCCAATGTAGGGAAATAATGGAAGGTAAGGCTAGGAAGACACTATTTTTTCAGCATCTGGAATTCAAGACTAAGGTACTTAACATCTTCCTTGGCACTAAGAATCCATTGAAAATTTTGAGAAGAAAGGCTAAAAGTTGTGGTCTTAGGGGAAAAAGAGATTTGTTGTTCAGTTCAGGGTGGATGGTAGAGGAGAACATTAGATGCAGTGAAACCTCAGCTATTTTAATAGTCTGGACATAAATAGGATTAATATAAACTGCAGGGTTGGTGAGAAATGAGGTAAACAAACAAATAGAGGGGATACATACAGGAAAGGAGCAGTTTATGATGGTTTACATACGGTGGATGGGGTTGAGATAGAAAAATGTAGATGGCCCTCATAAACTAGTGGTGCTCTTAACATATTATTTTAGCACAGGCCATTGATAATTGGCATTTTATTTTTGCATTTTTAGCAAATTAAAAATGAATATTGCTAACAATGACATTGCTTATTCAAAGGAAAATATCCTGTAAAGAGATCTTTTGGTTAAGACTTGAGAAAAAAACTAGAAAGACTACAACTTTCTACACCCTCCCTAGATCTATGATTTTGAAGCTTCACATCAGTTTCACATTGAAGTACATTTATTTACATAAAATTATAAAACAAATTTCACATAGAAAATGCAATAGTTGGAATACACTAAATCATCTGTATAATTTTAATGCAATAATAAAACACACTGAATCTTTTAAAAGTCATTTTATATATTAAAAAATAACCTGTTTAGATGATATCTCCATACAGTACATTCAAATGAGATAAAGGAAATTTGTATCAAATCATTTCAGAAAAGATTAATCAATTTTGATGAGTAACCTCTGAGGAGGAGGAAGCACAGTAGTAGATGTAATATAAAACACGTGGTTGGAATCAAAGTTGTCACATCTGGAAAATAAATTTAACATATGGTTTATAATCATAGAGAAAAATAAAGAAATGTGCCTTATCTAAGTGGGACTGAATGATATTAAACATTTATATATAGCCATTGTAGACCAGGCCTGAACTAATATTTTTCTGCTAAATTACAATTAAGTTATACTGGAGTCAATAGAATGTGTAACGAATTGAACAAAATAATACGATGTTATTTGGTCTCTGTGGCCAAAATCCACTAAGTACTAGACATTTCACGAAACCACTTTAGTTTAATACTTTTATTTTAAATTTTACATAAAATGACTGTATCCTAATGGAAAATCTGCTGTGTGGATCAATGTGATAATAAGACAACATTCATCATTAACATAAATTTATTAAACAAAAAATGATACTAAGTACAATATAAATGTACTTAGCTCCCTTAAGGAGCTAACCATTTAAACAACAAGATGATGTACCTTTTATACATTTATATGCATTTATTTTTATATTATTCCTAATATAATCATGACTTAAATGAATACTATGATGGTTGTATGAAAGTCACATGATTGTTTTCTTGTTGGTTGGCTTTCATTATAACAATATTAGGATTAAAACATATTGGTCATAAACCATAGGCACAGGGTCAGATTTTAGCTTCCCATCTCACCAGCTGCATGATCTTGGGACGGCTACTTGAAATATCAAACAATCTGTTTCTTTCTTTCTTTCTTTCTTTTTTGACAGTTAAGACAGGTTTATTAGAGAAAACAAACATGAGAGGGGTTTTTGGCCGAGTTAGGTTAGAGGTCCACTCTTCTACAGACTAAGAGTTTATTATTATTATTATTTTATTTTACTTTAAGTTCTGGTATACATGTGCTGAACATACAGGTTTGCTACATAAGTACACATGTGACATGGTGGTTTGCTGCACCTATGAACCCAACATCTAGGTTTTAAGCTCCACATGCATTAGGTATTTGTCCTAATGCTCTCCTCCCCTTTGCCCCCACCCCCCAACAAGCCCTGGTGTGTGATCATCCCCTCCCTGTGTCCATGTGTTCTCATTGTTCAACGCCCATTTATGAGTGAGAACATGGGGTGTTTGATTTTCTGTTCCTCTGGCAGTTTGCTGAGGATGACGGTTTCCAGTTTCATCCATGTCCCTGCAATGACATGAACTCATTCTTTTTTTATGGCTGCATATTGTTCCATGGTGTATTTGTGCCACATTTGCTTTCTCCAGTCTATCATTGATGGGCATTTGGGTTGGTTCCAAGTCTTTGCTATTGTAAATAGTGCTGCAATAAACATACGTATGCATGTGTCTTTATAGTAGAATGATTTATAATCTTTGGGTATATACCCAGTAATGAGATTGCTAAGTCAAATGGTATTTCTGGTTCTAGATCCTTGAGAAATCGCCATACTGTCTTCCACCATGGTTGAACTAATTTACACTCCCACCCAGGGTGTAAAAGCATTCCTATTTCTCCGCATCTTGGCCAACATCTGTTTTTTCCAGACTTTTTAACGATTGCCATTCTAACTGGAGTGAGATGGTATCTCACTGTGGTTTTGATTTACATTTCTCTAATGATCAGTGATGATGAGCATTATTTCATATGTTTGTTGGCCACATAAATGTCTCCTTTTGAGGAGTGTCTGTTCATATATTTTGCCCACTTTTTGATGGGGTTTTTTCTTGTAAATTTGTTTAAGTTCCTTGTAGATTCTAGATATTATACCTTTTTCAGATGGATAGATTGCAAAAATTTTCTCCAATTCTGTAGGTTGACTGTTCATTCTGATGATATTTTCCTTTGCCGAGCAGAAGCTCTTTAGTTTAATTAGATCCCATTTGTCAATTTTGGCTTTTGTTGCCATTGCTTTTGGTGTTTAGTCCTGAAGAATCTGCCCATGCCTATGTTCTGACTGATATTGCCTAGATTGTCTTCTAGGCTTTTTATAGCTTTAGGTTTTACATTTAAGTCTTTAATCCATCTTGAGTTAATTTTTGTATAAGGTGTAAGGAAGGGGTCAAGTTTCTGTTTTCTCCATATGGCTAGCCAGTTTTCCCAGCACCATTTATTAAGTAGGTAATCCTTTCCCCATTGCTTGTTTTTGTCAGGTTTGTTGAAGATCACATGGGTGAAGATGTGTGGTGTTATTTTCAAGGTATCTGTTCTATTCCATTGGTCTTTCTAACTGTTTTGGTACCAGTAACATGCTGTTTTGGTTAGTTTTGGTTACTGTAGCCATGTAGTATAGTTTGAAGTCAGGTAGTGTGATGCCTCCAGCTTTGTTCTTTTTGCTTAAGATTTTCCTGGCTATACGGGCTCTTGTTTGATTCCATATAAAATTTAAAGTTTTTTTTTTGTTTTTTTATTTTTCTAGTTCTGTGAAGAAAGTCAATGGTAGCTTGATGGGAATAGCATTGAATCTACAAATTACTTTGGGTAATATGACCATTTTCATGATATTGCTTCTTCCCATCCATGAGTAAGGAATGCTTTTCCATTTTTTTGTGTCCTCTCTTATTTCCTTGAGCAGTGGTTTGTAGTTCTCCTTGAAGAGATCTTTCACGTCCCTTGTAAGTAGTATTCTGAGGTATTTTATTTTCTTTGAAGCAATTGTGAATGGGAGTTCACTCATGATTTCGCTCTCTGTTTATCTATTATTGGTGTATAGGAATTGCTGTGATTTTTGCACATTGATTTTGTATCCTGAGACTTTGCTGAAGTTCTTTATCAGCATAAGGAGTTTTTGGGCTGAGAATATGGGGTTTTCTAAATATACAATCATGCAAACAGAGACAATTTGACTTCCTCTCTTCCTATTTGAATACCCTTTATTTCTTTCTCTTGCCTAATTGCCCTGGCCAGAACTTCCAATACTATGTTGAATAGGAGTGGTGAGAGAGGGCATCCTTGTCTTGTGCCAGTTTTCAAAGGGAATGCTTCCAATATTTCTCATAGAACTAATGATACTTTTATAAAATATTCATATGGAGGCCTGTAGTCCCAGCTACTCGGGAGGCTGAGGCAGGAGAATGGCGTGAACTGGGAGGCGGAGCTTGCAGTGAGCTGAGATTGCACCACTGCACTCCAGCCTGGGCAACACAGCAAGACTCCGTCTCAAAAAAAAAATTCATATGGAGTGATTAAAACAATATTTTGCACACAAAATGTCTTAATGAATTATATTATAATCTTCATATTGGAATTAGCAATTTTAGAAGTAAAAGAGAGTATTTCATAACTGCAAAAACTCTCCTAAAGAATAATTCTCAGGAGGACTATACCTAATATTTGTAATACTCTCTTAGGATAATACTTGCTTAGGATTTATATATATATATATATATATATATATATATATATATATATATATACACACACACACACACACACTATATATAATTGCTTAGGATATATATATAATTTACTTATTTATTATATATAGGCTGTTTTATATATAATACATAATTATGTGTTTTGATTGATTTTCATTTAAATTAATTTATCTTAAAAATCTTATTTTACACATTTTATTTTAACCAAATTAGACTATATTTCAAGTTGAATTATTATATTTAGTATTAGAGTACATTTTAATAAATTTATCCACTTTAATACATGAATATCATATATAATAGAAATCTTTTTAATTTTTAAAATTAGCATATTAAAACAGAAAAACTTAAGAAGGTAAGAAATTTTATTTAACTGCCCAAAGTGATATTTCTAGTTCAAACTCTCACTGAAATTAGAAGAGTGTTGTTTCCTTTAAGGTATTTTTTAACTATGAAGTTTATTGGAATATAATTTTCTCCTAAACCTTTGGGTTAGTTAAGCCAATAGGAGGCAGCAGCCAGGGTTTCGGGGTAGGAAGAAATAATATTTGATATAGTAAATGAACATTAAAGTAAATGTGAGTATTGGTATTAAGTTTTTAAATTGTTTTACTTTTATTTTTTAGTTTTTGTCAAGGTTTATTATTGCTTGAGCTGCTTTCTTAACAACAAAGTTTTCAGTTACACATCAGTTTCACTGGAGCACATTCTCTTCCACATGAGATGAGGCTGATTTTGATTTATGGTACTCTTTCCCATTCTTAGCGAAGGAGAAAATTAGCATAGTCAAGACGGATATTTTCTTAGCTTGAGATAGCTGTATTTTTTTTTTGCTATATTTCTGTTTCATCATTATGCAAGAAGAATCCGTAGAGTTTTGTTTTGTTTTGTTTTGTTTAAAAAGAAAAAAAAACAGAAAGAAGTCTGAGGGACAGACATTACTACAATAAAGCCTTGGAACTGTTGTATGTTATTTTAAAACCAGTCACCCCCACAATTTCATCTCAGTACTAGCAACCTGTACTGTTAAATGTGACATAGAGGCAGGGACTGTGTCTCTATAATTCTTATGATGATTAAGTGACTTAATATATGTAAGACTTTTGTAACAGCTCCAGACATCTAAGTGCTACAAAAGTGTTTCCTATCATTAATAGACTACACTCCAAAATGTTCAAATAATGTCTATTGTGCTATTTATCTGAATTTAATTCAATTAAATAATGAATTAATGCTAAAAAATTGTAGCCCATATATTTGGCAATTGAAAACACACATAAAATAATTGATGAGTGAAAGAAGGAATCATAGTAGAAATAAAACTGCAGTTAGAATTAGTAGAGCCACTAATGGAACCACTACAGGTATAAAAGTTTACAGATACAGCAATCATGCTAAAGGGGAATTTGTAGCAGTAAATGCTTGTATTAAAAAAGAAGGCTATAAAAATTAAAATAATTGAATATCAATCTTCAATACTGAAAAAATAAATCACAAGATACACCCAATGCCCATAAATATAAGTCAAGAGATTAAAATTTCTAAGCAGAAAGTAATGAAATATAAAGCAAAGATGTGAGGATCATCAAGGGCAAACACTGAGTTTTTCTAAAAGAATAGTAAAGTGGACAACTGCGATAAGATTAATGGAGAAAATATTAATTATTTCATCATATGCACTATCTTTTTCCATGAAAAAAACCTGAGAATTATAAAGATTAACTTATTCCCCAAACTCAAATAAATAAAGTAGTGGCTGAAATGAAACCTCTTTGATTGTGAAAGATATAATAAAAGATCACAACGTATATAGACATTTACAAATAATGGACTAATTCAAAATATTACATTGAGCTGAGTGTTAGTCTCAAAGTAAATCATTTTTATAACAATATATGATACATATAAATACAGGCAGAATATCATCCAAACAGTAAAAGTGTATGGTTTATTTTGTTTTATATTAATTATGGTGCTTTTGCTGTCTTGACTATATTCTTTTTTTTTTTTTTTTTGAGATGGAGTCTCATTCTGTCGCCCAGGCTGGAGTGCAGTGGCGCTATCTCGGCTCACTGCAAGCTCCGCCTCCTGGGTTCACAACATGCTCCTGCCTCAGCCTCCCGAGTAGCTGGGACTACAGGCACCCGCCACCATGTCTAGCTAATTTTTTGTATTTTTAGTAGAGACAGGGTTTCACGGTGTTAGCCAGGATGGTCTCCATCTCCTGACCTCATGATCCGCCCACCTCGGCCTCCCAAAGTGCTGTGATTACAGGCCTGATCCACAGCACTTGGCCATCTTGACTAAATTCTTACTGTATTAGTCACATTTTCACCTTTTTCATTTTTTAAAAAATACTGTTAGTAAAAGCCTTCTCTTTCTGCCTTAGTTCTGTATGTAGCTGCATTTTATGCTCTGTTTAAAAAATGACATGGCCAATAAAAATCAGCAATTTATTGACAAAACAAACGACTACTGTGTCATTGTCGGCAGAGTTAATAAAATGTTTTATTGATGTAATTTATTTATGCCATCTGAATAAGGGCATGAGGGTAAAAATCTTTTTATGAAGCCTGCCAATACTGCAAAATTTACATCACTTGGGGGGAGATCAAACACATTCAAATTACTTTCCAAACTGGCCCCATGATTTTAATATCCTGGTAATAATTAGAATAAAATTACATAGGAAAAAATTATTAGCTAAATAGGCATGTATGTATGGCTAGGAGATGTTGAACAACGTTATGCTTTGACTCTACATTTCATGGGAACTTTCATTTATTCATTCTCTGATTACTTACTGAGCCTAAATAAACGGCATTGACCCTGTCACCGTCAAGATTGTACAGAGGCACTGAGAGAGAAAAACACACGGAAGATACTGAAGACACTAGAATGGATTGTAAAAAAATAAATAAAATGCACACACGCACACACACACACACACACATGACACAGTGAAGGAAATAAGTGAACATATTTTAATTCTGCCTCTGAATATCAGACACTGCACTTAATAGGCTTATTCAAAGTTGAGAAGTAGTGTAACAAATAAGCCAGGGGAAGATTTTATTTTTATATAAGGTGTGATTCTGAATTTTATTTTACTAGCAATTTTAAAGATTATAATCTTAAACATTTATATTTATATTTTATGATGAGAGAGTTAGTTCCATACAAGGCCATAAATAAACACTTCTAAAGCCTTTCTGCTGGAGTATTCATAAATGGCTAAGGAGAGTAATTATATATGTCTTCATTCTCTATAATGAGTCTAGAACAGCCCTGAGACTAAAAAAAAAATTGAATGTACTTTATCTTAAATATCTATGAAATGTTTGTTTTATATACAAGACTGTTTGGAAATAAGAAACTATCATTTCAGCATGGTTATCATATCCTAACATTTTATTACATATTTTCTTCATGTTTTTTGAGTAAATATCTGAATACAGAATGACCCAATATGTTTATTTTTCAGCCCAGTCTTCCACCAGAATTCCACTTTACTAATGGATGAATATAGAAATAATCATTTGAGAATCACAACTCTGAACCTTATTGTGTGTTCAAACCACTATTTTCAAAGTATGATAGAAACTTGATGATTTAAAATTGTGTGAAACTACTGATAAGGGAAATATTGGTTGTAGTTTCTGGAATCAAGCAATCTTCACTTAATCACTATCATTTATGTCTAATTAGGAAGCTAAAGATAGCCTTCATTTTCTCATGCTCCTCCAAGATATTGGGATACATTATTTTGTATATTTTACTCTGTGACCCATTGAAATGAATTAACTCAGATCATAAATTTAACATTGTGGAAATAGGACACATCAGGTGAATGTAATTGAACTTTACCCTTGTTTACCCTTTCTCTCAAAGCTGGAATACTTGTTAGTTTTCTCTGTGGATATGCTCCAATTTTCTGATTCCCATTATTAAATATGTTCAGGCTAAATATCTATTGCAATTTTGGTCAAGTGTTTGGCCTCATGTTTCCACCTATTTCTGCTCAAGTGTTTCCGCTCCATTTTTGGTATCTAGCCTACATTTAATTGTATACATGTGTATCAATCCTGTATACACACTTATATAAACACATTGATTGGTATGTATACTTAATTCAGCATATATGTATACATTAAATCAAGTATATATATATATATACACATATATATACACTAACTTCAGAATTTATAGTAACCACTTTTTTACAAAAATCACTTTTTCCTTTAATCATCCACTTGAGATATCATGAATATTAATTATTTCTAATCATGTTCAGCTCTATTACTATTACTTATCGCCTTGTTTAATAGCCTCCATGTACACCTTTATCAAAATCATTGATAAAAAACACTGATTGAGTTTGCTAAATGCCAGTAAGATCTGTTTCTCCAGTAGGGCATTACAAGAATAATCAATAGTCTTTGCATAAACTGTGCAATTAGATCTGTATGTACCAAATTTAATAATGCTTTAGTATATATTGTTCCACTTTGTTAAAGATAATATTCTGAAAAGTTTAGATAAATTATTACATTTTCCTAAGGTGGTAGTCTGAGAATGAATACATCCAATAACCATGTTACATTGCATGTCTTATTTTTAGCAAAGCTATCCTTCCTAGTAGTGATAACATTATTTTTCTACGTACTCCCTCATTTATCATAAGCAATTAAAGAATTATTTTTTGTTTAAGTGTAGTAAGTTTTGTATTATAATTTACAAAATCTAACATTGAAACACTCTGCATAATTTTTTCAGATTTGCATATGGCTCAGTGACATTCTGAAATTTTGACATGATGTTGAATCTAGCAAGTTTAAGTAAAATTGACAAGCGCTTCCAAGTCATTTATTACACCTATTAGGATCCGACAGCAGGCATGGTTAGAGAAATGCCAGATGTCAACACCTTTCATTTCAGAACAATAAACACAGTTTTAACAAAAGTCATAAATATAGCAGACTGTAAAGAAACTTAAGCAAACAATATATTTAAAAAAAACTGATTAGTTTCAAAAATAAATTATGTTTTGTTATTTTTTTTTCTTTCCTCAGGAACTTGCTGATTCAGAGCAGCCCCAGTGGTCTTTATGAACTTACAGTCTTCTATGAATATTTGTAGTGGCAGCTTTAACAATAATTAACATTGACTGTTAAAATATTTCACTTTGAAAGAGCACTTACTTTGGAATAGAGAAGACAGTAGTCTAATTTTCAAAGAATATGAACTTTAATTTCTTTGAGTGGATTAAATTTTCTCTAGACATTTTTTTAAATTACTGCATTCCCTATAGACAACTGTTACTTCATCTTTTCACCCCTCCACTTTTTCTTTACATTGTCTCTCTTTCAGTGTATGGTTTGAATGAGCTATTCTTTCTAGCAGGCAAAGTGGTCTGGCTGGAAGTGAAGACTGAAAAAAGATAGTTTCATTCTTCCAAAAAGATGTTACTAAAGTTAATGAAAGTTCAATTAGATATCAAGTAACTAATTTTACGTCTTTTTAATCATGGCAATCGGCAACCACAAATTGTGCTTATTGTAGTGTAATATGTAAGTCCACTTGAAGAGAATATCCTGGAGGACAGCAGCAGGATTCTATAAAGAGAGTAACTCTGGAATTCACACATAGCACATCAACCCTAATACATACATATATCTATATGTATTCATTTGCATACATAGGTACATATATTTATCATCTTGCTCTGACATGCATTATTATATTTTGAATCTAGAAACAGGCTTAGTAAAAAAAATATTTCAAAAAGACACTCTACAAAAATTAAAGCTATACAGGGAAATAAAAAGATAGTAGGTGCAATGAAGATATGAGTATTATGTTAGCTAGAAGACACAAAGGCATACTGCAGTTTGTGGTTTCACAAGAAAGACAGTTTAAAATGACCATGAGTATAAACTAATTTCATGATTGTAGAATGCTAAAACAGAGTGGAAGTGAAGGTCATTGCAGTTAAGAAAAAAATAATATATTCTGATGTTTGCTTTGTGCAATATTTAAAATCATTTTAGGAGTAGATTTGTATTAAGTCAGATTAAATAATAACACTTCTCGATTTTTCTTCCTTGCATAGTTCCATGTTAGTATGGGAGACAAGACACAAGAGACATTTTCTGTAAGAACTGTACGGCAAGTGATATGGTTTGGCTGTGTCCCCACTCAAATCTCATCTTGAACTGTAGCTCTCATAATTCCCATGTGTTGTGGGAGTGACTGGTAAGAGGTAATTGAATCATGGGGGTAGTTCTTTCCCATGCTATTCTCATGATAGTGTTTAAGTCTCATGAGATCTGATGTTTTTCTTTCTTTCTTTTGAGACTCTGTCACCCAGGCTGGAGTGCAGTGGCACGATCTCAGCTCACTGAAAGCTCTGCCTCCCGGGTTCACGCAATTCTCCTGCCTCAGCCTCCCAAGTAGAGTAGCTGGGACTACAGGTGCCCACCACCACACCAGGCTAATTTTTTGTATTTTTATTAGAAATGGGGTTTCACCATCTTAGCTAGACTGCTCTCGATCTCCTGACCCGGTGATCTGCCTGTCTTGGCCTCCCAAAGTGCTGGGATTACAGGCCTGAGTCACCTCGTCTGACTGGAGATGTGATGGTTTTAAACAGGGGGGTTCCCTGCACATGCTCTCTCCTGCCTGCTGCCATGTAAGACTTGACTTTGCTTCTCCTTTGCCTTCTGCCACAATTGTGAGGCCTCCCTAGCCATGTGGAACTGTGAGTCCGTTAAACCTCTTTCCTTTATAAATTACCCAGTCTCAGGTAAGTCTTTATTAGCATCAAGAAAACAGACTAATACAGCAAGTAAAGCAGAGCTGTCTTCTGTTTGTGCTGGAAGGCATCTGTAGCACAAGGGGTTGTTACAACTCACACACGTTGGTTGTCATAATTTATCTGAGGGCTCACTTGTTTGTATGGTAGTAACATGGCCCACAAACCTATCATCTCCTCTAGAACTCTCTCATTCAATTTCTTGAATCCTGGTCCAGCTTCATGAAGAAGGTCTCTGTGTTCTGCTGGAGGATACCCCAATTAGAAGTTGGAGGCTCGGAGGCAGTGACAGATTGACTCAGGTAGAGTCCTTTCTTGTGGATTATATACTGCAGATTGACATTTTTCCTTGCCTTCCACATGTATACCCATATTTTCTTATAAATTGGATGTCTTACATGTAACAATTGCCTCAAGAAACTATGTATTCAGTCCTACAATTGTCTATTTACATTGCATATTTTAAAAGACTACATACGATCTGTGCCACTTTTATAAAATTGTATTTCCTATATAACTTTTCTATGAAGACTTTTGCAATGAAAAGAAACTTTTCTATGTAACTTTTTGTAATTAAAAGAAAATCTTCCAGGAGGAGCCAAGATGGCCGAATAGGAACAGCTCCGATCTACAGCTCCCAGCAAGAGTGACGCAGAAGACGGGTGATTTCTGCATTTCCATCTGAGGTACTGGGTTCATCTCACTAGGAAGTGCCAGACAGTGGGCGCGGGTCAGTGGGTGCGTGCACCGTGTGCGAGCTGAAGCAGGGCAAGGCATTGCCTCACTTGGGAAGCGCAAGGGGTCAGGGAGTTCCCTTTCTGAGTCAAAGAAAGGGGTGAGGGACGGCACCTGGAAAATTGGGTCACTCTCACCCGAATACCGTGCTTTTCCAACGGGCTTAAAAAATGGCGCACCACGAGATTATATCCCACACCTGGCTCGGAGGGTCCTACGCCCACAGAGTCTCCCTGATTGCTAGCACAGCAGTCTGAAATCAAACTGCAAGGTGGCAGCAAGGCTTGGGGAGGGGCGCCCACCATTGCCCAGGCTTGATTAGGTAAACAAAGCAGTCCAGCAGGGAAGCTTGAACTGGGTGGAGCCCACCACAGCTCAAGGAGGCCTGCCTGCCTCTGTAGGCTCCACCTCTAGGGGCAGGGCACAGACAAACAAAAAGACAGGAGTAACCTCTGCAGACTTAAATGTCCCTGTCTGACAGCTTTGAAGACAGCAGTGGTTCTCCCAGCACGCAGCTGGAGATCTGAGAATGGGCTGACTGCCTCCTCAAGTGGGTCCCTGACCCCTGACCCCGGGCAGCCTAACTGGGAGGCACCCCCCAGCAGGGGCACACTGACACCTCACACGGCAGGGTATTCCAACAGACCTGCAGCTGAGGGTCCTGTCTGTTAGAAGGAAAACTAACAAACAGAAAGGACATCCACACCAAAAACCCATCTGTACATCACCATCATCAAAGACCAAAAGTAGATAAAACCACAAAGATGGGGAAAAAACAGAACAGAAAAACTGGAAACTCTAAAAAGCAGAGCGCCTCTCCTCCTCCAAAGGAACACAGTTCCTCACCAGCAATGGGGAACAAAGCTGGATGGAGAATGACTTTGACGAGCTGAGAGAAGAAGGCTTCAGACGATCAAATTACTCTGAGCTATGGGAGGACATTCAAACCAAAGGCAAAGAAATTGAAAACTTTGAAAAAAATTTAGAAGAATGTATAACTAGAATAACCAATACAGAGAAGTGCTTAAAGGAGCTGATGGAGCTGAAAACCAAGGCTCGAGAACTACGTGAAGAATGCAGAAGCCTCAGGAGCCGATGCGATCAACTGGAAGAAAGGGTATCAGCAATGGAAGATGAAATGAATGAAATGAAGTGAGAAGGGAAGTTTAGAGAAAAAAGAATGAAAAGAAACGAGCAAAGCCTCCAAGAAATATGGGACTATGTGAAAAGACCAAATCTACGTCTGATTGGTGTACCTGAAAGTGATGGGGAGAATGGAACCAAGTTGGAAAACACTCTGCAGGATATTATCCAGGAGAACTTCCCCAATCTAGCAAGGCAGGCTAACATTCAGATTCAGGAAATACAGAGAACGCCACAAAGATACTCCTCGAGAAGAGCAACTCCAAGACACATAATTGTCAGATTCACCAAAGTTGAAATGAAGGAAAAAATGTTAAGGGCAGCCAGAGAGAAAGGTCGGGTTACCCTCAAAGGGAAGCCCATCAGACTAACAGCGGATCTCTTGGCAGAAACCCTACAAGCCAGAACAGAGTGGGGGCCAATATTCAACATTCATAAAGAAAAGAATTTTCAACCCAGAATTTCATATCCAGCCAAACTAAGCTTTATAAGTGAAGGAGAAATAAAATACTTTACAGACAAGCAAATGCTGAGAGATTTTGTCACCACCAGGCCTTCCTTACAAGAGCTCCTGAAGGGAGCACTAAACATGGAAAGGAACAACCAGTACCAGCCGCTGCAAAATCATGCCAAAATGTAAAGACCATCGAGACTAGGAAGAAACTGCATCAACTAACGAGCAAAATAACCAGCTAACATCATAATGACAGGATCAAATTCACACATAACAATATTAACTTTAAATGTAAATGGACTAGATGCACCAATTAAAAGACACAGACTGGCAAATTGGATAAAGAGTCAAGACCCATCAGTGTGCTATATTCAGGAAACCCATCTCACATGCAGAGACACACATAGGCTCAAAATAAAAGGATGGAGGAAGATCTACCAAGCCAATGGAAAACAAAAAAAGGCAGGGGTTGCAATCCTACTCTCTGATAAAACAGACTTTAAACCAACAAAGATCAAAAGAGACAAAGAAGGCCATTACATAATGGTAAAGGGATCAATTCAACAAGAAGAGCTAACTACCCTAAATATATATGCACCCAATACAGGAGCACCCAGATTCATAAAGCAAGTCCTGAGTGACCTACAAAGAGACTTAGATTCCCACACATTAATAATGGGAGACTTTAACACCCCACTGTCAACATTAGACAGATCAACGAGACAGAAAGTCAACAAGGATACCCAGGAATTGAACTCAGCTCTGGACCAAGCGGACCTAATAGACATCTACAGAACTCTCCACCCCAAATCAACAGAATATACATTTTTTAAAGCACCACACCACACCTATTCCAAAATTCACCACATACTGGGAAGTAAAGCTCTCCTCAGCAAATGTAAAAGAACAGAAATTATAACAAACTATCTCTCAGACCACAGTGCAATCAAACTAGAACTCACGATTAAGAATCTCACTCAAAACCGCTCAACTACATGGAAACTGAACAACCTGCTCCTGAATGACCACTGGGTACATAACGAAATGAAGGCAGAAATAAAGATGTTCTTTGAAACCAAAGAGAACAAAGACACAACATACCAGAATCTCTGGGACACATTCAAAGCAGTGTGTAGAGGGAAATTTATAGCACTAAATGCCCACAAGAAAAAGCAGGAAAGATCCAAAATTGACACCCTAACATCACAATTAAAAGAACTAGAAAAGCAAGAGCAAACACATTCAAAAGCTAGCAGAAGGCAAGAAATAACTAAAATCAGAGCAGAACTGAAGGAAATAGAGATACAAAAAACCCTTCAAAAAATTAATGAATCCAGGAGCTGGTTTTTTGAAAGGATCAACAAAATTGATAAACCGCCAGCAAGACTAATAAAGAAAAAAAGAGAGAAGAATCAAATAGATGCAATAAAAAATGATAAAGGGGATATCACCACCGATCCCACAGAAATACAAACTACAATCAGAGAATACTACAAACACCTCTATGCAAATAAACTAGAAAATCTAGAAGAAATTGATAAATTCCTGGACACATACACTCTCCCAAGACTAAACCAGGAAGAAGTTGAATCTCTGAATAGACCAATAACAGGAGCTGAAATTGTGGCAATAATCAATAGCTTACCAACCAAAAAGAGTCCAGGAACAGATGGATTCACAGCCGAATTCTACCAGAGGTACAAGGAGGAACTGGTACCATTCCTTCTGAAACTATTCCAATCAATAGAAAAAGAGGGAATCCTCCCTAACTCATTTTATGAGGCCAGCATCATTCTGATACCAAAGCCAGGCAGAGACACAACAAAAAAAGAGAATTTTAGACCAATATCCTTCATGAACATTGACGCAAAAATCCTCAATAAAATACTGGCAAACTGAATCCAGCAGCACATCAAAAAGCTTATCCACCATGATCAAGTGGGCTTCATCCCTGGGATGCAAGGCTGGTTCAATATACGCAAATCAATAAATGTAATCCAGCATATAAACAGAGCCAAAGACAAAAACCACATGATTATCTCAATAGATGCAGAAAAAGCCTTTGACATAATTCAACAACCCTTCATGCTAAAAACTCTCAATAAATTAGGTATTGATGGGACATATTTCAAAATAATAAGAGCTATCTATGACAAACCCACAGCCAATATCATACTGAATGGGCAAAAACTGGAAGCATTCCCTTTGAAAACTGGCACAAGACAGGGATGCCCTCTCTCACCACTCCTATTCAACATAGTGTTGGAAGTTCTGGCCAGGGCAATTAGGCAGGAGAAGGAAATAAAGGGTATTCAATTAGGAAAAGAGGAAGTCAAATTGTCCCTGTTTGCATATGACATGATTGTATATCTAGAAAACCCCACTGTCTCAGCCCAAAATCTCCTTAAGCTGATAAGCAACTTCAGCAAAGTCTCAGGATACAAAATCAATGTACAAAAATCACAAGCATTCTTATACACCAACAACAGACAACAGAGAGCCAAATCATGAGTGAACTCCCATTCACAGTTGCTTCAAAGAGAATAAAATACCTAGGAATCCAACTTACAAGGGATGTGAAGGACCTCTTCAAGGAGAACTACAAACCACTGCTCAAGGAAATAAAAGAGGATAGAAACAAATGGAAGAACATTCCATGCTCATGGGTAGGAAGAATCAATATCGTGAAAATGGCCATACTGCCCAAGGTAATTTACAGATTCAATGCCATCCCCATCAAGCTACCAATGCCTTTCTTCACAGAATTGGAAAAAACTACTTTCAAGTTCATATGGAACCAAAAAAGAGCCCGCATCGCCAAGTCAATCCTAAGCCAAAAGAACAAAGCTGGAGGCATCACACTACCTGACTTCAAACTATACTACAAGGCTACAGTAACCAAAACACCATGGTACTGGTACCAAAACAGAGATATAGATCAATGGAACAGAACAGAGCCCTCAGAAATAATGCCACATATCTACAAATATCTGATCTTTGACAAACCTGAGAAAAACAAGCAATGGGGAAAGGATTCCCTATTTAATAAATGGTGCTGGGAAAACTGGCTAGCCATATGTAGAAAGCTGAAACTGGATCCCTTCCTTACACCTTATACAAAAATCAATTCAAGATGGATTAAAGACTTAAACGTTAGACCTAAAACCATAAAAACCCTAGAAGAAAACCTAGGCATTACCATTCAGGACATAGGCATGGGCAAGGACTTCATGTCTAAAACACCAAAAGCAATGGCAACAAAAGACAAAATTGACAAATGGGATCTAATTAAACTAAAGAGCTTCTGCACAGCAAAAGAAACTACCATCAGAGTGAACAGGCAACCTACAAAATGGGAGAAAATTTTCGCAACCTACTCATCTGACAAAGGGCTAATATCCAGAATCTACAATGAACTCAAACAAATTTACAAGAAAAAAACAAACAACCCCATCAAAAAGTGGGTGAAGGACATGAACAGACACTTCTCAAAAGAAGACATTTATGCAGCCAAAAAACACATGAAAAAATGCTCACCATCACTGGCCATCAGAGAAATGCAAATCAAAACCATAATGTGATACCATCTCACACCAGTTAGAATGGCAATCATTAAAAAGTCAGGAAACAACAGGTGCTGGAGAGGATCTGGAGAAATAGGAACACTTTTACACTGTTGGTGGGACTGTAAACTAGTTGAACCATTGTGGAAGTCAGTGTGGCGATTCCTCAGGGATCTAGAACTAGAAATACCATTTGACCCAGCCATCCCATTACTGGGTATATACCCAAAGGACTATAAATCATGCTGCTATTAAGATGCATGCACATGTATGTTTATTGCAGCACTATTCACAATAGCAAAGACTTGGAACCAACCCAAATGTCCAACAATGATAGACTGGATTAAGAAAATGTGGCACATATACACCATGGAATACTATGCAGCCATGAAATATGATGAGTTCTTGTCCTTCGTAGGGACATGGATGAAATTGGAAATCATCATTCTCAGTAAACTATCGCAAGGACAAAAAACCAAACACCGCATGTTCTCACTCATAGATGGGAATTGAACAATGAGAACACATGGACACAGGAAGGGGAACATCACACTCTGGGGACTGTTGTGGGGTGGGGAGAGGGGGGAGGGATAGCATTAGGAGATATACCTAATGCTAAATGACGAGTTAATGGGTGCAGCACACCAGCATGGCACATGTATACATATGTAACTAACCTGCACATTGTGCACATGTACCCTAAATCTTAAAGTATAATAATAATAAAATAAAATAAAATAAATAAAAAAAGAAAGACATGTTAAAAAGAATTAAAAAGTAAAAAAATAAATAAAAATAGAAAAAAAAACAAATTCAAACAGGGTAAAAGAGAACATTCAAAAATAGCCCATGCAGTTTACCAGTTATATTTTTCAAGCCAGTAAAATTGGAACAAAATATATTTGGCTGTAGATAACTCAGGAAGGCACAGCAAATTATTTGCAGCAAAACAAGGTTATTGGTTGTCCTATTTGATAAAATGATTAAAAATAAGTTTTACTATCCCACCTTAGGCATGTTTCCTCCTGCAGATAAATAATTAACATTATTTTAGATTGGTTTGTTTCAGACATCACGGTAATGATATATTCCTTCAACTCTAATTAATTGCATGCATAGAGCCGTAGAAAACATTTTGTGTAATCCAAAGGCTACTATTTATCAGGTGTTTCAGACTTTCAATCACTTGTGAAGAACCGGCTAAACGCAATTAGTGACAAGTTATTTCTTAGAAACAAACAGAATAATTAGAAGAGGTGGCTTGATATAACTAACAAAAAAGTCATTAGAAAGGTTGTATTCATGTTTCAAAATGAAGGGAATTGCAGTGTGAGAACATTACTGTGACTACTACAATAGAAGTTTTAAACTAAGATTTATTAACATGTTAGGTGGAGTGTTACATAACTTACATATGTATCCCTTTTAATATAAGTAAAGCATAATCTTCAACTCTGAGAATTCACATAAATTAAATGGAATGAAATGTAATTTGAATGGTCAGTAAATTGGTATCAAGGAATAGGGTGATAAAGAACCTCAGGATTTCTAAGTATTCTTACTATACTTTTAATTCATTTTCAATCTTTTCTTGAAATTGTTCCTTTTTGGGTCATTTTCATATTTTTTTCTTTTTTTTTTTAGACGGAGTCTTGCCCTGTCTCCCAGGCTGGAGTGCAATGGCATGACCTCGGCTCACTGCAACCTCCACCTCCCGGGTTCAAGCAATTCTCCTGCCTCAGCCTCCCGAGTAGCTGGGATTACAGGTATGAGCCACCACGCCCAACCACACATTTTTTTCTTTTACAAAACTAATTAGTTCGCTCTTTTTGGTACTGACCCAGTTTAGATTGGTCCTAAGTCATATGGTAACAGGTACATTGTGATTTATACACACACTATCTTTTAGTATTTAGGCATTTAGAAAGTTTGTTTAAAATTTTATAAATTTGCCCTCCATTTTGTTTACATCTCCCCAAAATCCTAACCAACTTAAGGGGTAATAATGTTTTCTCATTATTTGCTATTAGATTTATCTACTCAGTAAACAACTAACAAATATAATTTGCAGGGTGAGAAAATTTCATCAGATGAAGGAATGCCACAGAAACATCTCATTTTGAATATAAACCAATGTTTGGAAAACATTGTCTTCCAGAAGTTCTGTAGTTTTGAGTTTTACATTTAAGTCTTTAATCCATCTTGAGTTAATTTTTGTATATGATGTAAGGAAAGTGTCCAATTTCAATTTTCTGCACGTGGCTAACCAATTATCTCAGCTTCATTTATTGGATAGGAAATCCTGTCCCCATTACTTGTTTTTGTCAAGTGTGTCAAATATCAGATAGTTGTAGATGTCTTAGGACACACCAGCAAATACATTTTTAACCAAATTGATTAGACTTTAGTTTCTATTTTATTTATTTTTTATTTTTTATTTTATTATTATTATACTTTAAGTTTTAGGGTACATGTGCACAATGTGCAGGTTTGTTACATATGTATACATGTGCCATGTTGGTGTGCTGCACCCATTAACTCGTCATTTAGCATTAGGATAGTTTCTATTTTAATGGTCAGGAATAATGTGGAATAAAAAATCCTTGTTATATTTAAAAGTAATTCAGCTTTACTTATACTTAGGTTTATTAGCTGTCCTTCGGTGCAAGAACAATATCTTAACCTTAGCAGATCCACAGGGTCTATCAAGAGTATTTACTTGCAACATGATAATTAATACTAGCAAGGAATTAATTAGCTAATAACTAATTATCCTGTAGACAGTACTATTAAAATCTCAGCACTTTATACCAAGACATATTTACATATTGCTGAATTTTCATAAATTAATATTTCAATTATCTTTGGAACTTCTCATATTGAATTCTCAGGAATAGTTAAATATTGGAACTTTTGTTTTAAAATTTCTTTTTACATCTTATAATTTTTTTATTTCTCTAAGTTGATATTGTTTTATTATTTTATTTAAGAATTGAGACTATACTGAATTACTGAGCGTACTTCAGCTTAATTTTCCATTACATCAAACCCTTCTTTAAGAACCAAATTGATCCTAATGTTGTCATTTTTTTTTTGCATTTTCCTTTAACTTACAATTATTTTTATCTTAATTTTAGGAAAACTATAACCCTGTTTAATATCGTCTCCCAAGTCAAAACCAGAGAAATAAAGCAATAAAGGAAACATTAGAAAAAAATGTTTTCTAATTGCTGTAGATACAAAGTTTATAAACAAGGTCAATCACAGAAGGTGGAAAACAATCATTTTGGTGAGGTTTTAGTTGTGTTGTGTGTGCCTATATATGAGATAACATTTATTAGGCTATCAATGTTAATCTCATCCAAGAAGGGGAGAGTACATTGATCTCTGAGACTCAATTTATTTCTAATTAGTAAATTAAAAGTCAGTTTATCAACTAGCAAATATTGCCTAATAACCTGAAACAGAATAAACACTAATATTATTTATATTTTACCAACATTTAAAATATTGTGCATCTGTTGTTTGTAAAAATCTGAATACTCCGGTTTAAAAAAGCTTCTAAATTTTATTTATAGAAAATAATAATCTGAATTTCATTTTACAAAATTTTATGAGCAAATATTGTTGATATTTTTCACAGGTAAAATATAGGCATTATGAAATGTAAACTAGAAAAGAAAGTGTAGATTCATGTGGCTTAGCTGAATCAGTGAGTACAAAATGAAGAATTATGAGAAAATAATTAAATATTGTACTCTATACATAGAGACACTCCTTCAAATAATCAATAATTTTGAGAGATGATCATATTACAGTAAAAGTTTTTTTGTTTGTTTTACTTTTTATAATTGCTTATTAAAAGGACGAGTGAGAAACTGGAGTGTATTAAGCATACAATGGTAGGGAACTAGAAACATCAGCCTTGACACTAACTTCATCCATAACTAACTGAAAATGTAAAAGAGATGTTGGGGGTCACATAATTCACTTCATATATTTTGATATCCATTATGATAATATTTTATTTTAATACTGTAATTGAAAGATAAATTTGCAGGTATTTATTTTGTACATGATATTTTTGAAATATATATATATTGTGTGGTGACTGAATCTAGCTTATTAACATATGCATTACCTTACATTGTTATTAATTCTGTGATGATTAATATCTAAAATACATAAGGAAAACAAACAACCTAATTAAAACGAAAGCAAAATATCTGGACAGACATTTCTCAAAAGAAAATATAAATGGCCAACAAGGCTATGGAAAAAAATGCTCAACATCATCATGGAAATTCATATTAAAGCCACAATGAGCTATCACTTCATATCTGTTAGAATGGTTATTATAAAAAATCCAAAAAAATTGTTGGTTAGGGTATGGAGAAAAAGGAACTAGCACACTGTTGGTAGGAATGTAAATTAGTCCCGCCTTTGTGGAAACAGTATAAAGTTTTCTCACAAATTTAAAATTGAACTATCATATGATCCAGCAATCTCACTACTGAGTGTGTGATATATATATATATATATATATATATATATAGAGAGAGAGAGAGAGAGAGAGAGAGAGAGTACAAAACCAGTGTATTGAAGAGATATCCACACTCCCATGTTTATTGTAGCACTATTCACAGTAGCCAAGATCTGGAGTCAACCTGTGTCCATGAACAGGTTAATGGATAAAGAAAACATGACATATATACACAATGGAATACTATTCAACCACAGAAAAGAAGGAAATTCTGGCATTTGTGACAAGTGTGAACTTGGAAGACATTACGTTAAGTCAAAAATCCAGCCACAGGAAGACAAATACCACATAAACTCTGTCATATGTGGAATCTAAAAGAGTTTAACTTATATAAGTAGACAGTAGAAGGGTAATTACCAGAGGTTGGAGTGGTTGGAAATGAGATTTGAAAGATGTTCATCAAAGGATAGAAAACTACAGTTAGATAGGAGGAATAAAATTTTAAGAGATCTATGGTACAACATGGTGACTTTAGTTACCAATATATTGTGTTCTTGAAAAATGCTGACAGTGGATGTAAAATGTTCACAAATAAAATATTAACTCTGTGAGATGATGTTAGAAATTAATGTAAGTATTTCTTTTTGTCTCACGATAGGTATGTGAACAAGGGTGATGGTTGCTTTGATGGTTGAAATGCAGATGAAGGCCGTTGCCTTCTTTCAATGTTCTTCAAGAGCTTTTGAAGGGAAAGGACCAACGTAGCATAGAAAAAAAATGTTAAATGTAGTGTCAAAAACTTCCATCATAAACTTAATATATACACTAATTCGAAAAGGTTATCTGTATCTCTGAGGATTAGTTACCTCATCATAACAATATGTGGTATATAGTTGGATTATTAGGAAGGCTGAATTAAAATGTAAGTGACGTGTCAGAAATGTAAGTTATTTTAGTAGTAATACCATATTTACTTAATTTAATATTTTAATAGGCATATATCAGTGATTTTGCTTTAATATTTTAAGAAAATTATTTTATTTTATTTGAAATACTAATAAAACTTATTTAATCTACAAGTTCTTGTTTTCCAAAAATATCACTGCAATATGAATTCAGATGGTTGACATGTAAAAATTGCAACCCTCTCTAGTTGAATAAATTTCCTATAAATGTTCATCTCCTTTAATTGATGTTCATTCATGCAAGAAAATATATAACACCAATCAAATTGCAGATGTAGTAATGAAAAAGCAAAACTGTGCTGTGAGTTTTGAAGACCTCTTTAATTTGACAGCAGTTACCTGACTAGAAAGAAAATAGACAGAATTATTTAGTACTGCAGAATTTGCTGCTGGGTTAAAATTGACATTGAAGGAGCCTACCCTTTGACAATGCCCCCATTGGCAACAGTGCCACCATGTCACCGTAAATAATCCTGCTGGGATCAATTGCCATGCTCCCTAGGGAAATTGTTGTCCATAATATCACAAAAAAGTAATGAGAGCAAAAGATTTTCTGCAAGAACATGAGGCTTTTCTAAGCATTAAACTAACAAAGCTTGAACTAAGTCAGCCGAGAAGTACACTGTGGGAAACTGCACAGAAACTGCACATCAGCAAAACGTCTTGGCAGAAAATGGACATGTAGAAGTGCAGTGACTGTCTTATTTATTCACCACTCTTGGGAACACTAATGTGAAAGTGACTAATATGGTATAATAGTTCCCAGAACCAATTAATTAATCATAGCATGCCATTAATAGATACATTCCTTGGGGGAAATATTTCATGCGCAGGGAAATTAAAGCATTTTATTATGATAAAGTTTCCCTAGTCAAAAATGCTTTAAATTTACATTCTCACACAGTTAACTAAGTGGGTATGAATTTATTTTTCTATTGTCTACAGGTGATTTCTGGAGAGAAATATCTTAAGTGTTCATGTGGAGTGGAATTAGAGCATGGCTCTTTTTGTCATCTCCTACTCTGCATTCACTGAAAATATTTTGTGCATTGATCCTACTTCCTAGATGAATATAATGGAGCTCAGAAAGCTTAAGTGATTTGCAAGTTGTGGCAGGGCTGGTAAGTGGCAGTGTTGTTTTTGTACTGCAAGTTTGGAATTGAAATCTCTCTCAACCATGCAGCTTTCTTTGTATGGCAGAATTATAACCACATCTAAAAAATCAAATTCTGAAACAATATGAGCTACATTTTACCATATCAAGAACAGTTAATAAGGATATATTTGAATGGCTTTGATCCATTTGATCCGATTAATTTTTATGGCCACATTGTGAATTATAGGCATTTTAAATTTAATTCTGTTTTTTAACTGAAATTTGGCAAACATATTTAAAACACTTGTGTTCTCACCACATAAATGACAAGTATGTGAGGTAATGCATATTTCTATTAGCTAGATTCAGTCATTCCACATGTATATATAATTTAAGACATATAATGTATAGAATTTTATCTGTCAGTTAAAATAATAAATCATAAGTCAGAAAAATATTCACTGATATTGGACAGAATGTTTAGGCATATCAATTACTGAGTTTATATTAAAAGACAAATAGCTGTCTAGCTTAAAAATAGTTATAGTATTTTTATAGCCATCTCTGGTTATCTCTGCAATTAACCCTGGATCAAATTTCCATTCTTTTCTTTAATACTCAGACTACTTCAAAGAAAATCAGATATGAAATTTTGTTGAAGGCTCTATGAGGTAAACTCGGTCATGTGTGGAGAGACTTCATAGCACACCACTATGCATGATTTATACTCAAGTACAACTCATATATCTTCTTCCCACAAAACATCTTCCTCCATTCCCTTGATCCCTTGTTTTTTCCAGGCTTTTCTTGGACTCCCATGGGAAGAATATACTATAATATTCAAGAGGGCTTAGGAGGACAACAGACTAGTGTTGGCCCTGAAACCATCATCTACTCTGGTTAAAAAGTTTAACCTAGATTTATACTGACAATAAAACCTACCACATAAGGTTAAAATGGGTATTAATAAGAAGACTTTAATGTGTTTAGCACAACATACAACTAACTATACTTATTGTGATAATGCTGACAAAAAGTGTTTGAGGCAGAGAAGGAAAATCGTTAGTCCATTTTACATGATCTCCATCCTTCTTTCCCCAGAGTATATAACATACAATACAACTAAAAATGAATTTAAGACATTTAAGCTTTTTAGGCTTATCTTCTGATAATATTACCATTCATAAGTTCTTCTAAAGATGGCTTTTTAAAATTATACTTTAAGTTCTGGGATACATGTGGAGAATGTGCAGGTTTGTTACATATATACACGTGCCATGGTGGTTTGCTGCACCCATCAACCTGTCGTCTACATTAGGTATTTCTGCAAATGCTATCCCTCCCCTAGACCCACACCCCCTGACAGGCCCTAGTGTGTGATGTTCCCCTCTCTGTGTCCATGTGTTCTCATTCTTCAACTCCCACTTATGAGGGAAAACATGCGGTGTTTGATTTTCTGTTCATGTGTTAGTTTGCTGAGAATGATGGTTTCCAGTTTCATCCATGTCCCTGCAAAGAACAGGAACTCATCCTTTTTTATGGCAGCATAGTATTCCATGGTGTATGTGTACCACATTTTCTTTATCCAGTCTATCATTGATGGGCATTTGGGTTGGTTCCAAGTCTTTGCTATTGTGAACATTGCTGCTACAGATGTTACAGACAGCTTTATAAAGTAAGCACTCAAAATCCTGGCTAGAGTCTTGTCTTCCTCCTAGGTCATCCTCTTGAGGTTATCTTCATATTTCTTTTGCACTAGAATCCCAGATAATATGCTAGCCTTCTTAATTATGTTTAACTTGTTTTATCTGTCACAGTGCTTTAAGTCAGTGAATTAACCAAGAGCAGATTTCAGGGTCTATTTATATCCATGTTCACTGGTTAGCTGAGAGGTGGTTTTTCTAGACAAATATGGTGCTTGAGTTTTATTGTTAATTCTGATCCTACGAATTAATGCACAACATTCTGCAAGCTTTATGGGTAAAGTTTACAATGTCTTTATAATAATGTAATGTCTTTTAAGAATAAAAATTACAAAACAACCAAAACGACCTATATGGTTTCAAACTGTGATATTTTTCTATTTCTTTTCGGGCTGCTACAGAAAGTATATCCATATTCTAATACACATTTAAAATGATTTTGTTATATTAGAAATCACTGTAAGTGACTAAGAAGAAAAAGCAATATGAATATAATTTTAACTGCCATAGACTTTTTATTGAGATGAGTTTTGCAGTTCTAGTAATCAACAGAAGAATTTTAAAAGAAAAATAATTAGAATAATCTCTCTTTGTTTCAGTGCCAGGCACTGATCTCGGTTCTGGCATTAGAGGTAAGCATGATAGTTAAAAATTTCTAGTCTCATAGAATTTATATTCTGGTGGGTGAGAGAAACAATAAACTATGTTTTAGTAAAAATATACAGGATATTAGATGATTCTAAGGAGGAAAATGAAGCAGGGAAGAAAAACAGGGAGTGCTTGGAATATTTCTAGTAATATGATTAAGGAAGGCAACAATTTGAGAAAACATTTGAACAAAATGATGAACAAGGTAAATTGGTGAGACATGTGGCTTTCAGAAAGGACATTGCACTCATAGGAAATGAGTACAGGGAAGCAAGTCTGGAAAATTTGAAAACCAAGGCTGAGGCTTCAGTGGACCAAATGAAGGAAAAATCTCCAGTGATAGCAGAGAGCAAATGAGACATGGGCTATGTCAGATTGTGGAGAGGAACTTATGAGTCATCGTAAGATTCTTGGATTTTACTTTGAGTGAGATGGAAAGTAAGTAGAGAGTACTACAAGGAAAATTGGTGAGACATGTGGATATCAGAAAGAACATTGCACTCATAGGAAACGAGTACAGGGTAGCAAGTCTGGAAAATTTGAAAAGCAAGGCTGAGGCTTCAGTGGACCAAGTGAAGGAAAAATCTCAAGAGTGATGGCAGAGAGGAAATGAGACATGCGCTATGTCAGATTGTGGAGAAGAACTTATGAGTTTTTCCAGGAATCTTGGATTTTACTTTGAGTGAGATGGAAAGTAAGTAGGGAGTACCGATTGAATAATATCATCAGCACTTTGGTTTCTTTGTTGATAATCGATTGAGGTGGGCCAGTGTGAAAGTTGAAAAATATGACATTATCTAAGTAAGAGATGATGGTAGTTTGAAACATGGGGGTAGATGGAGATGTAGAGGGACAAAAAATAGATTGTACATAGTTTTGCATTAACAAGATTCCCCCATAGATTGATTGATTATTGAATGCTTAAGAAGAATTATGCATGACTCTAAATTTATTAGACTGAACAACTGCAAAAATGGAATTATCTTAGTAAAATGGTGGATGATACAGGTGAAAATGTTGACAGTTGTGGTTATATTAAATATAAGCTATCCATTAAATATTTAATTGGAGATGTTAAATAGGTATTTGGACATATGAATCTGAAATACAGGAGAGAGGTCTGGCCCAGAAATAAACTGTTGGAAATTAACTTTAATTTGCATGAGAAACATAGATGGAAAATTAAGTGATTATAGACGGTAAACAGTTGATACAAACAGTAGATCATTCTTCTTGTTGAAGAAATAAATTGTTCTTGTATCACTGTATTTCTAGATACATTGTTTTGGGGGCAAATGGAGATAACTAGCATAACAAACAGAACATGGTTGTTATTAAATAGCATTAAATTTACTGAGTAAAATGGAAAAATATATTTGGAGTTATTGTTTTATATTAAAAAGTTAAATAACATAATTAACTTATAAGTATAAAAATTATAAATAAATTTATAGAAAATAATTTTGTTACCATTTCCTATCACATCTTTAGGCATTAAAAAATTGTTAACACTTATTTAATCATAATTATCTTCACAAAATGTTTTTGACATTGATGGAACAGGGATTTGCAAAAGAGAAAACTGAGAAACAATTTGGATTTCCTAGAGCTACTCAACTGGTCTGTTCCATAATTGGAAGAGTGCTGGCAAAAAAACATAAGATAATTTTACTTAATGTTCTGATTTTACAGAGAAAAACCTGAGACACAGAATGCTCAGTGAATTACCCACATCTCTTCCTGATCATATTTTAAATGTCAAAACATTTGCCTTTATAAAGTCAGTTTTTCAATGTGAAATATGTGGAAAGTCTCACTAAAATACCAGTTTGTTTCGAAGAAAAGCAAGATTGGCTTCACATAATATAATTCTTTCAAGAAATTTGTCTCATATTTTATTTTATTCTTGATGTTAGCCACTTTAAAAAGCTTATGTAGATGATGAAGTGAACATTAAATTAGTAACACACCTATTGAGATTAAATCAGTATACACAATTTGAGTCCTTGTCTTTAATGAGTTATGTGTTTGATTTTGACAATTTTGTCAAGAGTACATATAAATAAAAATTTCAAAAAAAAGTTATTTTAGGCATTGGGACAAGATACTTGAACTGTAATTTGTGATCCAACCAAGAAACATATTTTATTCTCTCCCAAATGTTTTGGGAGAGAATAAAGTATTCTTTAGAGAGAATAAAATATTTGGAAGGTGTCTATTTTTTGTCTTTTGTTTTCTTTGTTTTTTTCAATATCATACCTGATGTGTTTGCTTTGTTTGTTTGTATTTACATGGTATTGTATCTAGAAAAATAATTCAGTGCAGACGTTGAGGTCGGGGCCAGCAGATTTGTATAATTATCTTTTTCATCACTGAAGTGCCATTATATATCAACCAAGGCATGCAAAACCTTTGGTTTCATGTAAAGCAAAATACAGTAATTAACGTTTATAATGTATTCTCCATGTAAGTGTAATGAATTTACCATCTGACACCATAATTTTGAAAAACAGAAAAGCTTGAAAATAATTTAAAAGGGCTTTACATTTAAATTTAGATACAATTACTTAAGACTGATGATGAGAAAGACAACTGGAATCCTTCTTATTAATGACCATATGGATATAAATATAGGTAGAGATTTGAGAGAGGATTTGCTGCTCACATTTTTTCTTTAGCACCATAACTCATTTCCTAAAGACCCTCTTCCAGTGAATGACTTTGTGAAAAGTTTTAGGGAGCACTGGACATTCTTTGCTCTCAGATATTCTGGCAAGTTAACAGAACATAAGCTTGAGTGAGTTTATTCTACATAAATGGATATCTCTATAAATAAATAAATATATATATGTGTGTGTGTCTGTGTGTTTGTGTATATGCATACACATATATACACATATATAAAACCAAATTGAACTTTTTATTTTTATCTGTAAACTTGAACTATATTAAAACAAGAAAAGTAACTTTCCAAGCCATGAATTGCCATGGAAGAAAAAATAAATTACTATAAAACTTTATCTTGAGGAAAATGAAAAGACAATTTATCTGTCTTCAAAAGATGGGTTACAACAGGTTTCTAATTAATCACTGCAAACTTTTTATTAGTGAGTTTCTCTTTCAGTTCAGGGAGAGGTAGTAAAACCTATTAAACCACAGGAATAATTATAGTTGAAAATATAAATTGTAACTTTTTGCAAAAATTTTACTGTTACTATTGTAATTGTGATAATGGCAAGATGTCAGTTAATCAAGACTACCAAAACAATGTTTAAACTATATAATGATTTTCATTTTTCCACTCAAGCTGAAGTAAAATATTAATTATGTATTATACATCAGTGTTATCATAAACTTATTTTAAGACAAGTATAACGCAATTAACCACAGACATTGAGAAACTTGTTTTCTAAAAATAAAACCAAAATTGAATTTACAAATTTTACCTATCAACAAAAAATTAACAGTAATTAACTGAGCACAGATATTGGGCTTAGCCTTATGCTAGAATAGAAAGATTATAATAAAAATAATAGACAACTATGATACTTTCATCAATGTATGAGAATTTCACAAAATACAAGTATTTCTACTACTATAATAAAAGGCACTTCTACTTGCTCAAGTTTAACAGATAAGATTATACGAAAAGTACTACAAAACATATGTTTGTATTGAAAAAGAAATACATCTAAGTATGTCATTTATTTCAAGGAGCATTTTGTTTCTATCAAGATATATCTATGTAATTTAGCAGCTGTCAGTTGTAATTTAAATTGTTTGTAAAATGATATAAATAATTCATAGTCAAAGAGGTAGAAAACTGTATAATCTTTCTTTGTATGTTAGACAAATTATAGAGTATATCAGAAAGAAAAAAAATAGCAAACCTTAAATAAATAATAAAAGGAAAGAGTACCCTAAATGCTATTGATGCTTGAATTAATATAAAGAAGCCCCCTTTCCCTGTTGGATAGGATGCTCGACTTCATATGCATTTTGTCATAGAATGCAATTCATTTCTCTTTGAATTTACTGTCATTTCAGTAATTATGTAATTTCGTAAGTGTGTACCTTTTGTGTAGTTAGGGAGTCTTCCCAGGGCACTATGACCAAGCATGATCTCCAGGCAGTCCCTCATACTCTCCCTTTATAGGGAGGCCCTTCTAGTTTCTATTACTACTGTTCTGATTGTCTTCACACTGTGCCTACTCAATTATCATCCTCCAAAGTAATCATTTGTGATATTTTCCTAAAGTACCTGAACAAAATAATGCCTAGCGCCTTTTAACTAATGCAGCCAAATATATGAATTTAAAACTACACAATTTTCTGCACCTAATTAAAGATTATGATTAACTATATGTATAATAATCCTAAAACTAAATACTATACTCTCACAGATAATTACTGATCTCTGAAAGACAACAAAGTAATATATAGTAATATTGATTTTGATTTGAATAAATTATAAACTCAGGTTTGGCAGACAAATTAATAAATTAATCTCTAATATCTGTAAGAGAATTTAGAATTTCATATATAGGGGTACAAAGAGAAAAATTATCAAGGAAATGGTTCAGTAGGTATGAATTTTGTGTTTCACAATTACCATGGTATATTATATATGTTTAACTGTAGTGATGTAATTTAAACAGAAACACCCTCAGAGACATGGGGTTAAATATTCCTCATACAGGAGCACATGTCCATTTTTCTTTTAGTTCAAATAATTCATTTTTCTGCCTCAAGGAATAAAAGATGAATCTCTCTAAGTTTTTGAATAAATATTACATTGCATGACAATATATGTGTGTGTTGCACAGGAAAATTTTACTACGCTTTACAAGTTAGAATTTAAAAATAAAAATGATATGCAGAGTTAATCACCTTTTGCTTTGCAGACAATATTAAGATATTTGAGATAATTTTACAGATATTTAATTTTACTTGGTACTGAGCATTTTTAGACAAAGATTTCAATATTATAGATACTATTCTCCTAAACTAAAGTGAAAATTTAATTACATTACACTTTCTTTCACATGACCATCACTTTTGTAAACTATGAAACATAAATGTCTACATGTTTAAAATTGGTTTTATGTATGTTAGATATATTTGAAGTAGTTTTCCTGTGTTAATTATTGTCTTCAACTGTTTTGGCACATCTTAATTAAAATATCTTATATAAAACATAAGAATTAAGTGACGCTATTTCATTAAACCATTATTAAAATATTCCTGAGAAATGTATCCTTTGTATCTAGGAAAACCGGACCTCAAACAACTTCATTTTAAAAGTTCATCGAAGGTTGGATTGTCTTTGCACAATTTAGATTTAAATAAATTATAAGCTTACGTCAGAGAAACCAATAAATTAATCTTTCATATCAGCAAAGCAATTTTGAATGCTTTCATAAATAGAGGTGCAAGGAGAAGCACCAATAAACATCTTGTCTTCTCCAAAGAAAAGATCAATAAAATGAAAAGTTGTTTTTCTAAAAAGATAAACAAAAGAGATGAACCCTTATATAGACTAAAAAAGAGAAGAGAGATCCAAATAATTAAAATTAGAAACAAAAAAGGAGACACAAACAACTGAGACCTCAGAAATACAAAGAATCATTATAAGAGGCTAAGAGATTATAATGATCAACTGTATGCCAACAAACTTGAAAACCTAGAAGAAACGAATGAATTCCTGAATGCATACAACCTACCAAGATTGAGCCATGAAGAAATAGAAAACGAACGCCAATAATGAGGAGATTTAAGCCTGATGTTAAAATCTCAAAGAAAAATCCAGTACCTGGTAGATTCACTGATTAATTCCACCAAACATTTAAAGAAGAACCAATACTAATTCTACCTCAAATTTACCAAAACAATTGAAAAGGAAGGAACACTTCCAAACTCATTCAAAAAGATCAGCATACTCTGATACCAAAACCAGACAAGGACACAACAACAAAAGAAAACTACAGGTCAATATCCCTGATGAACATAGATACAAAAATTCTCAACAAAATACTACCAAACCAAATTCAACAACACATTAAAAAGATTACTCACCATGATCAAGTGGGATTCGTCCCAGAGATGCAAGGATGTTTCAATATATGCAAATCAATAAATATAATACACCACATTAACAGAATCAAGAACAAAAATCATATGATTTCTATTTCAATATATGCCATCAGAAAGCATTTGATAAAATTCAACACATTTTATCATAAAAATCCTCATCAAAATGGAAAGACAAGGAAAATACATCAAAATAATAGAGGTCATATATGATGAACCCATGGTTAACATCATTTTGAATAGGGAAAAATTGAAGGCCTTTCCTATAAATAGTGGAAGGAGACAAGGAAGCTCACTTTTCACCACTGTTACCCAACATAACCCTGGAAGTCTTTGGCAGAGCAACTAGGCAAAAAAGGAAATAAGGGCATCGAAATTGGAAAGGAAGAAGTCAAATTAGCCTGATTTGAAGATGACATGATCTTCTAGAAAAACCTAAAGATTCCAGAAAAAACAAAAGCAAAAACCTGTTAAAACTGATAAATTCAGTAAAGTTGCAGGATACAAAATTAACATACAAAAACAGTTGCATTTATACACACCAATAGGGAACAATTTGAAAAAGAAATCAAGATAGCAATCACATTTACAATAGTTACAAAAATATAAAATATGTAGGAATCTAACTAATGATGTGAAAGATCTATCCAAGAAAAACTATAAAACTCAGATGAAAGAAATATAATTTCTTCAAAACAAAAAGAAAATTACAGGCCAACATTCCTGATGAACATAGATAAAATATGTCAATGGAATTTACTGTTCTCCACAGTGGATTTACTAATTTACATTTCTACCAACAGTGTACAAGGATTCCCCTTTTTCCATCTCCTCACCAGTATCTATTATTGCCTGTCTTTTTGATATGAGCCACTTTAACTGGGGTGGGTTGATATTTCGTTGTGGTTTGATTTTCATTTCTTTGATGATGAGTGATGTTGAGCACTTTTTCATCAGAGAAAAATGAAAAGATATTACATGCTCATGAATTAAAAAAATTAATGTTCAAATGGCAACACTATCAAAATCAGTTTACAGATTCAGTGCAATCTTATCAAAATATTCATGACATTCTTCACAGAAAGAGAAAAAAAATCCCCAAATTTATATGGAACCATAAGAAAGAAACCCCAAATAGCTAAAGTAATTCTGAACCAAAAGAACAAAGCTGGAGGCATCACACTATCTGACTTTAAAATTTACTATAAAGCTATAATAACCAAAGTATCATGGCATTGGACTGAAAACAGGCACATAGACCAATGGGGCAGAATAGAGAACCCAGATATATATCCATACATTTACAACCCACTCATCTTTGACAAAGGCACCAAGAACAGGCAAGTACTTTCAGTAAATGGTACTGGTATATATAGACTTTTGTATAACTTTATGCAAAAGAATAAAACTAGACACCTGTATCTCACCAACCAATAAATGAAAGTAAAACATGGTTTAAAAACTGAAATGTAGGATCTGAAACTATAAAACTACTGGAGGAAAACACTGGGGGAAAACTCCAGGATATTGCTCTGGAAAAAGATTTTTTGTGTGTGTTTAAGACCTGAAAACCCCAGGCAACCAAAGCAAAAGTAGACAGCTGTGATTACATCAATCTAACAAAGCTTCTGCACAGCAAAGGAAACAATTAGAGAAGTGAATAGACAACACACAGAGTAAGAGAAAATATTTGCAAACTATCTATCTGACAAGGAACTAATAACCAGAATATATAAGGAGCTCAGACAACTCAATAGTTTTTTTTAAAAAAAGCAAATAATCTGATTTTAAAAATTGGCAAAAGATCTGAGCAGATATTTCTCAAAAGAAGACATACAAATGGCCCATACATATATGGAAAAATGTTCAACATCACTAATCATCAAAGAAGTGCAAATCAAAACCACAATCAAATATCATCTCATCCCAGTTAAAATGGCTTGTATCGAAATGGTTTATATCAAAAAGGTATCAAAAATAACAGATACCGGTGAGGAGGTAGAAAAGGGGAATTCTTGTACACTGACGGTAGAAATGTAAATTAAGGCAGCCACTATGGAGAACAGTATAAGGTTCCTGTAAACATGTAAAAATAGAGCTACCATATTATTCAGAAATCCCATTGATGTTTATATGTCCAAAAGAAAGGAAATCATTTGACAAGTGTGGTAGCCCACACCTGTAATCCCAACATTTAGGGAGGTGGAGGCAAAATGATTGCTTGAGGCCAAGATTTCTACACCATCCTGGTTAACATAGCAAGAGCTTGTCTTTAAAAAAATAAAAAGATTAAATTAGGTGGTGCTTGCCTGTAGTCGTAGCTACTTTGGAGGCTGAGGTGGGAGGACTGCTTGATCCCAGGAGTTTGAGGTTACAGTAAGCTATGATCACGCCACCACACTCCATCCTGGGTGACAGAGTGAGATTCTGCCTCTCTCTCTAAAAAAAAAAAAAAAAAAAAAAAAAAAAAAGACAGAAAGAAAGGAAATCAGTATATCAAAGAGATATCTGCACTCCCCTGTTTATTGAAGCATTACTCACAATGGCCATGGCATAGAATCAACCTAAGTATCTATCAGCAGATGAATGAATAAAGAAAATGAAATACACAATAGAATATTCTTCAGCCATAAAACAGAATAAAATCCTGTCACTTACAACAACATCTAAGGAACTAGAGGCCACTATGATGAGTGAAATAAGCCAAGCTCAGCAAGACAAGTATCACATATTCTTACTCACAGGTGGGAACTAAAAAAGTGAATCTCATGAAGTTAGAGAATAGATTGGTGGATTCTGCTCAGATACAGAGTTATGAAATCCGTTGCTGTGGCAATACAGTAATAAATATCAAATGAAATATTGAATTATTCCTTATTAACAATTAATTTATCATATTTATATATCTACATCTAGATGATTTAATGAAGTAGAGAATCCAGAACAAGAAAAATAATAATAAAAATTTCATTTTCCTATGGTCAAAAATCAGTGCTTCATCCAATTTTAAAGGATTATAAAAATATTTCATAATATTGAAAATGCTTGTGTACATTAATTAAAAAGATACATTTATATGTAAAGTGATAATTATGTAAAAACATTTTTTTAAATTATACTTGATAAAATATTCCCAAATATCCCAGACGTCTTTATTTTTGGATAAAGAAAGTACAAATAGCTTTTCCACTATATTTCTATGTATTGACTACCATAGTGCAGAGAATTATAAGATGGCTTCTAATACACTTTGCTTTCTCTTGATGTGTGCTCCCTTTATAATTTCTGGGATTATGAATATGATGAATCTTTTTCTTGTGATTATGTTAGGTAGCTAAATTGGTTTTAACAGATTATTCCTCTGGGCCAGATTCAAAGGCTTAGGTGCTTTAAAAGCAGAGCTTCCTCTGGCTGGTCATGAGATACTAAGTCAGAGACTGAGAGTGTAAGTGTTTGACACCCCATGATTGGCTTGAAGATGGAGGAAGACATATGGCAAAAAAAAAAAAAATGTGGATATATGAATAGGAGACAGGGTCTGATAAAAACAAACCAAAACAAAATAAAAACAAAAAAAGTGGGCAACTTTTAGGAATTGAGAGTGATATCCACCTAATAGCCAGCAAAAAACATGGGGACTCTTATTTCTACAGGCCCAGGAAAATTCTTCAAACAAGGAGTTTGGAACAGATATTTTTGTTTGTTTGTTTGTTTGTTTGTTTTTTTCCTCAGACCCTCCCAACAATAATGTAGCTCTAGCAATGCCTTATGTGTCTTAAGATATACTTAGCGGATAACCTAGCCACATCATGCTGGACTTCTAACATGCAAAAACGGTCAGACAATTAATTTGTGTTGGGTAAGTAGCTATGTTTGTGTTATTTCTTTCAGCAGTCCTAGGAAACTAATACAATTTTATTTTCAAAAATATAGAAGTAGTTTTCTTCTAATAGAAAAATATTAATTTAATGTTTACTGAAATCATCAACACTAATATTTAATGAATGAAATTATAATTTCCTAAAATAAAATGATTATTTCCTAAAAAAGTGCTGTATTAATCTGCTCGAATTACTATAAAGGAATACCCAAGACTGGGTCATTTATAGAGAAAAAAGGTTTAATTGGCTTTCAGTTCTGCCAGATATACAGGAAATGGTGCCAGCATCTCTTTCTGCTGAGGACCTCAGGAAGTTTATAATCATGGTGGAAGGTTAACCGGGAGCAGGCACATTATGTGGTGAGAGTGGGAGCAAGAGAGAAAGGCTGGGAGGTATCAGACTTTTAAACTAGAAGGTGCATGAACTAACTGAGAGAGAACTCACTTATTACCAAGGGGATGGTGCTAACCCATTTATGAGGGATCCAGCCCATGATCCAATCACCTCCCACCAGGTCCCACCTCAACACTGGGAATCACATTTTGATATAGGAGTTAAGAAGAAATCCCTTAGGATAGTGAGGGAGTCCTTTGTAAGGCTTTTCTCTTTAATGAAAAGCAGCCCCAAATCATTTTCTAACAAAGAGCAGCCTGTAAAGTCCAGCCGCAGATATAGACAAGCACGCTGGGAGCCTGCGCTGGTGAATACCTGCAGGAACTAAGAACTAGACATGTTCAACACGGCAATTCCCTCTTCCCTTTTCTTTGTCAGCCATATGTACAGTAAAGAGCAGACAAGATGGTGCAGATAAACTGGAAAGCCCATTTCATAAGGCAGGTGCGGTGGCTTGCACCTGTAATCCTACCCTTTTGGGAGGCCAGGCGGGAGGATCACCTGAGGTCAGGAGTTCGAGACCAGCAAGGCCAACATGGTGAAACCCCATCCCTACAAAAATACAAAAATTGGCCAAGCATGGTGGCACATGCCTGTAATGCCAGCTATTCAGGAACCTGAGGCGGGAGAATCACTTGAGCCCAGGAGGAGAGGTTGCAGTGAGCCAAGATCATGTTACTGCACTCCTGTCTGGGTGACAGAGGGAGAATCCATCTCAAGAAACACACACACACACACACACACACACACACACACACACACACACTAGTCCTGCAAAATGATGAATACAACTTATTACACTCCAAATGGAATTATTATGCATCAATTAGAAATAAATAAAAAAAAAGTATATCTAAATTAAACATTTTGGGTGTCTGTAAAATAAATCAAATGAAAGAGGCTTCTGATAGCCCATGAAACAACAATTGCCCATGACAAATTTGTAAAAGACACATTACAGAAGAGGGAGAATTTATTCTGAACGACTCTTGTTCAACATATTTTACAAATTCTCATCACCCTTGGCTTCAAATATCTTTACAAAATAGCTATACTATCTTTATAACCATGAAATGTCTTCTAAGAAAGTATTATGCTCTAAGTAAATGGTAAAAGTCATAAAATTAGCATATTTGAAACTGTGTATAAAGTAGTGATATAAATTCAGTAGTAATAAAATTAAATTAACATACACATGAATCCAAAAAAATTCATTGAAGGCCTAAACATCAAAAAATAGATTATTTTATATTTAATGTCCTGAAGTAAGCTTTGTAAGATGAAGTTCCGATATTAATACCAAAAGGTAGTCCAGAACTCAGATCTCTGCATAACTCATAAACTCTTATGAGAATGGACCTTCAAGTAAAATTCAAGCTTTATACATGTAGATTAAACCTATAGTTATTATTTATTGAATAATATTTAATAAAATATTAAGATAAATGCAGAGCAAAAGATAATTTTTCACAGTACATAATTTACATACTTATCAAGTTAAAAATTTTACACAGTGCTACCATTATGTAACTTTTTAGAAGTGTAATAATTTTCCAATAATAACATAATTTCACAAAATTTAGTTTTGTTAATTGGGGAAAATGTATCTAGTCAGTATTTTCTAGGTTATTTAAGACAAACATACGATAGAGTTAAGCTGGGTATTCAACCCCTATATATCATACAATAATGTTAATTTATTTCAGAATAATAAAAAAGGAGGAAAATTCTGTGTGCATGTATTTGTGTGTGGTTACTATTGCAACATCTACACCTCATATTGATATTTTTTAAAAGGTTAATAAGTTGTAAAATACATTTTTCTTTTTTCAACAATTTACTATAATTTACCACGAACTAGCTGATGTTTTATGTAATAATACTCTACTGTTGTTTTAAATTCTTTTTACTTATTAAGGCAAAACATGGGGACATAAATGAAAAGGTGGGTTCAAATAGTAGCTATTAGTCTTATTAGGAGTCTGTTTTGATACTACATTAAGGGATATCATGTATGTAGAATTGCTTTGCAAAATAAAAAGCACTGCACAGATGTTTATGGAACTATTATTTTAAAATCAGTAACATATGTTGCATTTATACATTATCATAGATATTATTAGACAATTAAATCAATTTGATCATTTACAGGAGTACTACATAATATTTTTAAGAATCATCATTCTCTCTAATATCATCATATAGCTAACACTACTATGTATACCCAACTTCACTTTTATGGGCAGAAGACTAATGTAGTTGTTACTTTTCCATCTAACATGCTACTTTTTATAGATATTATTCTATTCTCCTTTCCTGGAATATTTGACATGAGAAAAGGTATAGAAAATTGGACTGCAATCACTTCAGTGAAATTGATCCTGCAGGTTAGACTTTTAAAACATGTCTGAACAATGTAGTTGTTTTCTCTTTTAAAAAATAACTATATAATCCCTGGTTCCATATTCTATACCAAAGATAAATAATGTAAAGTAGAACTCAAACTGTTATGTTTTGTTTTGCTTTTTAACTTCAATGTGGTTCAAAATGTCATGCTGTTGCTTATAGCAAATGAATTATATACTTCTATTTTAATATTCTAAAATAAGTAGAAATGTTCTCACAGCATGAACACATTGGAGAGCGAATGCAATATCGCTAACTTGCTTATGTCTTGAAGAGCATTGGAGTTTATTTGTCTGCCAGAAAGTAGAGGCAAAAAGGAAAGTTGAGAAAGACAACATGGTTCTTTCGATGTTTTTCTCTAGTAAGTGACTATTAAGAATAAAAAGAAAGTAAACTTCCTTGAAGATATTAAGATGGTCAACTGCAATGTTTTGTGAATATTACTTTGACAGGTATTTTATAGAAAAAAAAAGAATATGTTATAAAATTTTAAATGATTTTCAACTTTCACCGTAAATATGGACTTTTCAGAAGGTTAAAGTCCTGAGTCAGGACTTTTGACTCTATGTTGTTTTCCTTATGAACTCATTAGACTCTAAAAATGTTCCAGTAGAGCATCCTATATAGTACCTTAAGCAGGTGTGTGGTCAAATGTCTTTGCATTTTAAGTATTATATTAGATCAGATTATGCACACTTTTACAATGACAGCTGCATAATGAAACATGGAACTGAGTTGGTCTTAGGATATATAGATGTTATAATTTCTACCAAGAAAGAGGCAGGGCTTAATATTAAGTTATTCTAATGAAAGAAACTTTTTTAATTTATTTTTTATTTTCAAACTGGCTTCTTTTTTTATTATACTTTAAGTTCTAGGGTACATGTGCACAACGTGCAGGTTTGTTACATATGTATACATGTGCCATGTTGGTGTGCTGCACCCAATAACTCGTGATTCACATTAGGTATATCTCCTAATGCTATCCCTCCCCCCTCCCCCAACCCCATGACAGTCCCCGGTGTGTGATGTTCCCCTTCCTGTGTCCAAGTGTTCTCATTGTTCAATTCCCACCTGTGAGTGAGAACATGTGGTGTTTGGCTTTTGGTCCTTGTGATAGTTTGCTGAGAATGATGGTTTTCAGCTTCATCCATGTCCCTACAAAGGACATGAACTCATCCTTTGTTATGGCTGCATAGTATCCCATGATGTATATGTGCCACATTTTAGGGATCTAGAACTAGAAATACCATTTTACCCAGCCATCCCATTACTGGGTATATACCCAAAGGATTATAAATCATGCTGCTATAAAGACACATATACATGTATGTTTACTGCGGCACTATTCACAATAGCAAAGACTTGGAAACAACCCAAATTTCCATCAGCGATAGAAAGAAACATTTTTTATGGGAATATAGAAGAACCTAACTCCCGCTCTATAAAGAGTACCACCAGAAGAGTATACTTACTAAATTTGCAAATCAATATTAAAGTAAAACCTAGTAAATATAATTTATCTAGTTATCAAATACATATTGAATCTAATTACAGATCTTCCATAGACATTGTACCATATTATTTTACCACAGCAGTGAATACATCTAAATTATTGGTGATTATTTTTCGTTGGGCTGATTATTTTATTTAATGCTCTCAAACGTAACTTTTCTGTCATGAATGTCTGTGTTGAATTTAAAATGTGCAAGGCACATTCTGTTTAATACCAAGAATCTACAAGGAACTTAAACACATTTTCAAGAGGAAAACAAAGAACCTCATTAAAAAGTGGGCAAAAGACATGAACAGACACTTTTCAGAAGAAGACATTTATGCAGCCAACAAACATGGAAAAAAAGCTCAACATCACTGATCATTAGAGAAATGCGAATCAAAACCACAATGAGATACCAACTCATGCCAGTCAGAATGGCAAATCATTAAAAAGTCAAGAAACAACAGATGCTGGCAAGGTTGCAGAGAAATAGGGACGCTTTTACACTGTGGGTTGGAATGCAAATTAGTTCAACCATTGTGGAACACAGTGTGGTGGTTCCTCAAAGATCCAGTACCAGAAATACCACTTGGCCCAGCAATCCCAATACTGGGTATATACCCAAAGGAATATAAATCATTCTATTATAAAGATAAATGCATACATATGTTATTTGCAGCACTATTCACATAGCAAAAACATGAAATTAACCCAAATGACCATCAATAATAGACTGGATAAAGAAAATGTGGTACCTATACAACATGGAATACTATGCAGTCATAAAAAGGATCCTGTCCTTTGCAGGGACATGGATGGAGCTGGAAACCTTTATCCTCAGCAAACTAACACAGGAACAGAAAATCAAACACTGCATGTTCTCACCTATAAATGGGAGCTGAACAATGAGGACACATGGACACAGCAAGGGGAACAACACACACTGGGGCCTGTCGGGGTGGTGGTGGTGGTGAGGGGAGGGAGTGCATTAGGATAAATAGCTAATGCATGCTGGGCTTAACACCTAGGTTATGGGTTGATAGGTGCAGCAAACCACCATGGCACACGTTTACCTATGTAACAAATCTGCACATCCTGCACATGTAGCCCAGAACTTAAAATGAAAACAAAATTAAATTAAACTTTAAAAAGTGTAAGAACATTGTTTTAAAGAGACAAAAATAAAAGGATGACGAACGATGTTTCATGAGTAGATTAATAATAATAAATAAAAACATTATGTGGTGAATAAAAGACATTCCCATTTATATAATGAACTTGGTCACCTACTCTAAAGATGCCTGTTGATTCCAACACAGAAAGACCATCGTTTGGGACATCATAAAACGAAACAAATAAGAGTGTATGGTATGTTCTCTTACCCCACCAAAACTCCCACACAATAGATCAGTTTTGAGCAGAGAGGGGATACAAATTCATTGTGCTGAGAAGCTTTGTAACAAATTGTTTCTTTTCTTTTTTTTTTTTTGTCAGAGCCATTCTTTTATTATTATTATACTTTAAGTTTTAGGGTACATGTGCACAATGTGCAGGTTAGTTACATGTGTATACACGTGCCATGCTGGTGTGCTGCACCCATTAACTCGTCATTTAGCATCAGGTATATCTCCTAATGCTATCCCTCCGCCCTGCCCCCAACCCACAACAGTCCCCAGTGTGTGATGTTCCCCTCCCTGTGTCCATGTGTTCTCATTGTTCAGTTCCCATCTATGGGTGAGAACATGCGGTGTTTGTTTTTTTGTCCTTGCGATAGTCTGCTGAGAATGATGGTTTCCATCTTCATCCATGTCCCTACAAAGGACATGACAAATTGTTTCTTAACTGTAATTTTCCTTTAAACCCAATTCATTACAAGGCTTCTTGGCATAATGGCATTATATCCAGTTTCTACTCAAAATGTTATTTTGTTCACATAGTTTTGTTTCTCTCTCTACTTAGAAAATAACTTATAAAGAGACATTTGTATATTTTATGAAGAACATATCCCGAAGATAACCAGTGGACATTACAATATGATATAATTTATTGTTCTGATTACTATTTTTAACATCGACGTTATTATGAAGACATGGGATACAATAGTCTGAGTCCTTAAAGTTTTATTTTGTCTTTTACAATTGATTATACATATGTGAATAATAACTCATAGATAGGCAAGGATTAGATATGAGAAGAAAATATTCCCATCAATAATGTAAATATACGCTTAGAGGAAGATTTTGCAGATTATTGAAACTATATATTGCAAGTCTTTCTATGCCTTTGTTCTAGTATTTAAATTCACTTCTGTCTCACTAGGCACAGTGGGTTGCACCTGTCATCCCAGCTACTAGGGAGGCAGAGGCAGGAGGATTGTTTGAAGCCAGTTCAAGACCAGCCTCAGCAATGTAGTAACATTCCATCCCTCTAAAAAATGTGAAAAAAACTCATGTCTGTCTTTTAATTTCCTAAATAATGTTGTGACAGCAAATCACTTAGAATAGTAAAGCACAGTAGGAGGTCTTTACAGAATAGGATAAAGGATTACTGGATGTAAAATTTTTGCCTTTTAAGATTTTTCAAGTTCTGGAAGTAAAAATAATTTAAAATTCTATAATTTAATGTTTATAAAAGTCATCTGCTTCAATAATTATTTGTCTTTCTTCTATTGAAAAATATATTAAACATTTTATGAAAATTGAACAATTGGTCAAATTAGCATATCAGAAAATTTTATGCAATTAGTTATTAAAATACACTGTAAGACTAGTATTTATTAAGAAAAAACTACTTTGATATTTACATGGTAATTATTCATATGAAATTGGTTTAAGCCTTCAATCACTATTTGTCAATTACATATATAACTAAAGCTACCATCATAATTGTGATTAGCTTATTCATTTTTGTATTCTTTGGAGAAGAGAGAAATAACATTCTGAAAGCGTCCTATGTCTTCCATTGTAACTTGTCACAAGGTCATACTTAGAGAAAGTGAATGCCATTAAAGAACAGAGATTACTTTTTTCAATATTTTAAAAATGTAAGTGATCAGTTCTGTACTTAACTTTTGTTGCTAATATAAATGTTTGTTTAAAAATGTTAAATAATAATAGTAATAACAGAAAGAATGAGAGCTTAAGTAGTATTTAGCATGTGCTGGACATGTCATAATCTTTTTTTTATTTTTGTTTATTTGGGTAAGCAAAAATGCTACTTTTTCTCTTCTGGTATATTTCAAAAAGTTTTGTCCTGGACTGACTACTTCATAACTGCCACTTCATTTTTCGAGAGATTATTTTTTGTTACTTCTGGTGTTTTAGTCTAAAGTTCCATTGTATGAAATGTGTCTTTTAAAAATATCATAAATATGTGGAGAAAGTTTTAGCATTTTTACTCCTTTTCCCCTTTATCGCCATCCAAAGTTTCAAAATATCATATATAATCCTAGTAATTATACTACTTTTAGTGATGCGTTACAGATCTTAAAGTAATATTTACTGCTAAATTTTAGCTTTCTTTCCTTCAAGAAATAAAGTAAATTAAATTTTTTAAAAGCTGTTCATTTTAAATATTTTTTGGATTTTCTATGATTAATATGCTTACCAATTGGATCAAAAACTTGATAAGATTTTTAAAGATAATATATTTTATTTTTACATTAAAATTTTTATTGTGTATATTTACGGGGTACAATGTGATGCTTTAATCTATGTATACATTGTAGAAAGATTCAATCAAGCTAATTAACATATCCATCACCTCACCAATTTTTTTGTGTGGTGAGAATGTTAAAAATCTACTACTTTAGCGATTTCCCCAGAAATACAAATACTATATGATCTCATTTATGTGTGTAGTCTAAAAAAGTTGGTCTCATAGATACAGAGATGAGAAAGGATATGAGAGAGGATAAGAGATGGTGAAAAGGAAGATCATAATCAAAGGACATAAAGCTTCAGTTAAAGGAGAAATAAGTTTTAGTGATCTCCTGCACAGCATGGTGACCACAGCTAATAACAGTGTACTATACATTTCAATTTTTACATTTTTAAATAATAAAACTAATTCCCAATGTATTAAATAGAAAAAAATGCAAGTCTATATATTGAAAAAACCAATAACAATTTCTTTTGCTTTCTGTTCAATGTCCTACTATACCACTGATGGTTAATATATAGTCATGAATAATAAACTGTTGCTTTTTGGTATACCATATATATAAATTTACTTTTGTGGTAGAAATAGGAAAAAGTGTCTTTTTTTATAGTTCTCTATTTCTTTCTAGGCAAATTCCAATAATTTTTTAAAATGTAAAATGAAAATAATTTTCTTTTACTTGATATCTTTCTAGACTTTCAATTTTAAACTCTAAACTTGCTGCATCATGCATAGTATAATAAACAATGAAGGCAAAAAACCTCTTCACACCCAAATAATCTGAATTAATATTACTTATAATAAAACATAAAAGCAGAGAGTAAAATAATGGTTGCCATGGGCTGAAGGTTGGGGAAAATGGGAAGATTTTGGTTAAAGTGAACAAACATTCAGCCATATGGGATGAATAAATTCTGGAGATGTAATGTATAGCATAATGACTATAGCTAGTAGCACTATATTATATACTTGAAATTTGCTAAGAGAGTTGATCTTAAATGTTCTTATCACACTCATACACACACACCAGCAAACCACAACTATGTGAGTTAATGAACATATTAATTAGCTTGGTCTGGTAATAATTTCACAATGTACACAAATGCCAAAACATCATATTGTACATCTTAAACATATGCAATTTTTGCTTTCCAAGTATACTTCAATAAGGCTGGAAAAAACTTACTCATTTTACATCTTTCCTATTATAAATATTGATGTTTCTCAAAATTTTAGCCAGTAGTTTGATTTTAGAAGGTATTAGTTTTTCCCTTTATTCAGCAGAATCTGCAAAATGGTAAATTTATATAACTTGTTCTATTCTTATTTTCTTCAAGTTAAGTAGACAATTTTCGAAATAGATATGATTGCAGGAAAACTTCAGTCTGAATTTTTTTAATACTAATAGTCAACAGTTACAATAAATAAACTAATATTTGCTGTAGAAGGGTGCGGTGGCTCACGCCTATAATCCCACCACTTTGGGAGGCTGAGGAGGGCAGATCACGAGGTGAGGAGATCCAGACCATCCGGGCCAACGTGGTGAAACCCGGTCTCTACTAAAAATACAAAATATTAGCTGGGCGTGGTGGTGTGCGCCCGTAGTCCCAGCTACTCGGCAGACTGAGGCAGGAGAATCGCTTCAACCCGGGAGACGGAGGTTGCAGTGGGCCAAGATCGAGTCACTGCCTGGGCAACAGAGAGAGACTTTGTCTTAAAGAAAAAAAAAAAAAGGCTTACAAAATTTTCAGGCTTATTTAAGACCCTAACTTTCCAAAAATGGCCTTACTTGATTTATCTTAGGGAAAATGTGGTCAAGTCTGCTCGATATGTAATTCGCAACAGTTGGTTGCAAATTTTATAACTTTCAGGTTAGACAGTTTTTTTTTTTCCCCAGAAGCCAAAGAACAAGAACACTTTAATAGGCTACAATGGTAAAAGATGCTGATCTCTACACCATTTTATCATTAAACGGAGAAAATAAACAAATCAAACTGTAATCAAGTAAAAGTCAGATTATTCTTCCTTTGAGGAAACTGTCTATAACTATCCATTCCAAAAAAAACTAAAAATAAACATGAAGAACTGTTTCTACATCTCATTAAGGACAGAAGTGACAATAGCTAAATGTAAGGCACGTAACAGGAGTAAAAGAAGACAGGGCTAAAATTTGGGATCAGGTCAAGACATTTATAATTTAGAACTACATTTTAGAGGATTAAGATGCAACCACTGAGTCCATAGTCCCTAATTAATCAAGAAAGATTTATCTGAAACCAAGGAGTTGAACCACACTTCCAAATAACCAGGCAAAGATGTATAATGTAGGATCAAGGTAAGACATTTATAACTTAGAACTACATTTTAGAGAATTGAGATGCAACCACTGAGTCCATAGTCCCTAATTTATCAAGAAAGATTTCTCTGAAAGCAAGGAGTTGAACCACACTTCCAAATAACCAGGCAAAGATGTACAGACAGCAATATGTCTTATTCATGTCAATAAAGCTGGAGGGGGAGAGAAATGGTCTCAGGAAAAATACGAGTACAAATCCTGGAAACTGTATGCTTCCATCACTTTATTTCCTAATTTAAATCTCAATCTAGTGAATTTGACATGGAACTTTTTTCAAAAGAGATGTGGTAGTCCCAAATTCTGGGTTATTATTAAACTCTCATACATGGATTAGGGGCCTCTGCTTCTTAGGATTAAATGGTTGGATGGATCAGAAATTTAGCATTCCCTTGAAAGTGATATGTAATATAGTTTTTTTTTTTACTGTTTATATTATGGAAGTAATAAAATTTTCATAAGCATTTTCCCCAGCACCCCCTTTTGTACATTAGTTAGGGTTTGTTTTCTAACAGGGAGAAACAAATCAAGTTGTGTTTTTATCAACCACCCAACAATCTAAATGAGAATGTGATACATTTGTTTAGATCTAGGGACTTTACCTGATGGTTAAGCTGGTTAGGACATTCGGAGGAAAGTGGAAAGCCCCTGGAATGTGTTTTCTGCAAAAATGAGACTCCTCACCATCTAGGAATAAGAATTTAACTGTCCAAATTTTAATATATTAAGAAAGATCAATACTTTTGGAGAAGAGAAAATTAATCCTTGAATAAATAATTCAATTTTATTAAATGACAGAGAATAAGACTTGCTAGGAGACTAAAGTTATTCAATAACACACACTTAATACAAAGAAAATTAAAACATAAAATAAACTGTTTCCTTTAACTACTATCATCAAGTGAAAATATTGTTTGCTATTTCAATTATATTCAATATATTGAGTTCTGTATTATACTATATATAAGATTCATGTTAATCTCAAGAATTAAATAATAAATAATAAAATGAGCTATATACAATAATCAAGGTCTAAAATGTTAACATAAAAATAACAAGATAAAGGCATCAATTTTGTTTCTTTCTTCAGCTGTGCTTTATGCAAAGCTCTTGATTAAAAATACAAAACTGGGTACAAATATGTGCACTCACTCCTGTGTGTCTGAGTATACGGGAATGTGCTCACATTTGCTGTAAGGGAGGAAACAGCAGGGCAACCTGTATAAATAAGGAGCAATGAAAAGAAACTAAGCAAAAGGCCAAGAGAGGTTGTAAAATGCTGACTAATTGTTCTTAGAGGAATTATCTGAAGCTCAACACGTTCAACGAACATGTACACCAGAACTTAAAGTATGTAAAAAAAGTAAAGTTTAAACACATCAATCAGGCATTATAGTATTTCCACTAGATAATCAAAACCTAAATTTAAAAAATACACCCATTTCTGTGGCAGATTGTGCTTCCAGGAGAAATTTATAAATAAATCCATGGGGGTAGGAACATGCTGGACCTATTTCTAGGTTAGTAAAATTTGCATTGTCTTTTCCCTCTCCCTCCATCATCAAATTCTACTCATTATTCCCTACATCTACACGCCACCTGGAAGAAACCTCCAATTATTTCAGATGATTTGCCTTCCCCATTCTTGCACCTACTGCAGTAGTTTTTGTCTATCAGTGTTACAAGGCTTGGCCTATATTTCTTCCAAGACACAATCCTGGAGAATTGTTATTAAAATAAAATTATAATATACTGATATGCTATTCAGCATATTCTAGAGAGTTATGTTCTTAGCAGATGTTCAGTAAATATCTGTTGTATAAAGGAAAAAATTATCTCAGCCTAGGCATCAATGAATGACACTTCTATGTAACATAAAGAGAAAATACCCGGTGTTGCTCTAAGTAATCTCGAGCTAATTTTAAGATTTGTCAAGTTGAAAAAGTTTTATACCATCACCTTATTCTTCCAGGTACAAGCTACTTACCTTGTAAGTGCATGAGATTTCTCAAATTTAAGATCTAATTTAGTTGAAAATTTTTATAAAAATAGACTTTGTAAATCACTTCCTAGCAGATCTTAGCGGTAGTGGGTTATTTCATATATTATCTATATTCATTAGACAACCAAGTAATACAATCATGATTTCTCAGTTTTATAGATCATGAAGTTTTCTCTCAGAGACATAATTGGTAGAATTAGGTTTTCCACATGCTATTTTTAGTAAAATATGCTAGCTCTTTTGAACTTTAGCCTTGGCTTCCCTCCTAAATTTCAACCTCAAATTTGAGCTATTGTTGACTGACATTTTCTACAGACCCTAAATCCAAAGCAGGCATAAATAGAAGGTAAGATCCTAGGATCCATCTTTGGAAGGCAATGTGATGTAGTTAGTTCTCAGGTCTATTCTCTATGTTTTGTAAAATCTTGGTTGAGGCAAAAAGTTGCTGAATTTGTTTCCTTACCTTGAAAATAGGCAAAGTAACCATCCTTACTCTATAGATTTATTGTGAGGAATAACTGATATGTTATATAAAAACTTTTGTTTACAGAGGCCTGGTATATGATAAGTGATTAATAAATGCTGTTATTATTATGTAATTATTGATTAAATTATTGCAAAGGGGGTTCAATTTCAATTTTCAATAGAAATCAAATTAGTTATTTTTACTAATTTTGTCTAATTTTTCCTTCAAATTAGTTTCTAATATATATCATTCTCTCTGTAAAATATATAATAGTTTAAATCAATGTCAAACATAGGTAGACATAAAATCATTTTAAAAATTTGAAATCAGTAAGAATTCAAGGATCGATACTTGTTACAGTTTACATGTGTTTTTACAATTAATTTATTCTTTTTCTGTTAGCTTTTGCAAAATACTTTTCATATAAAGGTTAATACTTGCCTGTAACAATCAAATAATAAATGACAAGACTGAGCTTTCCAAGCAAATAGTAAGTAGCTATGTAGATAAAACTTTAAATGCATTTAGTTTTTAAAAAATATATAATTCTAACTATATGGTGCCTGCTCCCTTTAATTTAATGTGATTAAATACAGCCTTTAAGACTATGATACCACTCGAAGTTATTGATTATTCTTGCTTTCATAAATGTATACTAATTTGACTATGTAAAATAAAAATATGGGTTTTTATTAAAAATACTTAAAAATTAATTCAGATGTAAAACGCTTTAATGTTAATATTAACTAAGAAGTGGGAAGCTTGTCTGTTTCATAGGGTAACAGAATCCTTGAATAATAATTTAGACAAGTAGCAACTGTATAAATATACTATCCATGATAATAATATCACAATTTTATCTCTAGAAACAAGAGTTCCTGGATAAATAGAAGGTGGAAAAAAACAAAATACTGAAAATAAAAATAAAAAATGGACTTTCTCATTTCATTTTGTTCTATACTTACCCTTATCAGAGGAAATATATTACAAAAGTAAAATCTTTACCAGTCAAAACTTATAGTTAATGTCAACTTATCATTTAAATAGCTATGACACTAATCCAGACCAAAATTGTCTCATTTCAAAACTACTGCAAGAGGCTTTTTCTAGGTCTTTATTTGTTATTTGAGTAATGAATTCATTCTGAATACAGCAGAAAGAATAGCCTTCTGTAAATCCCTTTTCCCTCTTTTCACTGCTATGCTGAGGAAACTACAATATCTTCTCACATTTATCAGCTCAAGTCCAAATGGCTCACCCTGCTTGACTTGTAAGACTACCCCTAATCTGTCTGTCCTCTACTTGTAAGACTACCCCTAATCTGTCTGTCAATGGATATAATCCATTGTAATTACTCTTGTTATTTCTCAACACAACCCAACCAAATTCAGTCATGTTTACATCTCACTGCCTTACAATTGTATTATATTTGTTTCTACTCTTATTAAAAACAGCATAAGTTTTTCTCAATTTTAAAGCCTTGAATAAATCATGATATACTGAAGTCCTAATTTGTTCACGTAGTAGTCTCAAAATAAAACATTTCAGGAAGCAAACTAGAATAAAATAAAACATTAATTGCACTAAAGTATTAACTTTGCCTAAAAAGATGTCTGACCTTTGCACTTGACCTCTGAGGAGGCTAGAGACTAAGGTTAGCCAGGTGGACTCTCAAGCATATCTACATGACCAAGTCCAAATAAAAACTCTGGAAACCAAGCCTTAGATAGTGTCCCTTGCTGGCAATACTCTCTACAAATTTTCACACACAGGAGTAAACATCTGCACAATTCCCTTAGGAGAGGACAATTGGAAGCTCCCTGCTTGGTGACTAGTGGACCCTGTGACCTATGTGCCTCTTTTAATACCTTTTGCTGTAATAAGCCGTAACAATAAATATAAAAGTTTGCTGAATTCCATGAGTCCTTTTAGTAAATTATTGAACCTGAGAATGGTCTTGAAAACTCTCAAACTTATCATGAACAAAAACTCCCTACAGGAAAAAAAAAAAACTCATAATTTTAGCAACATTTTCACCAATATTTTTTTCTAGTCTCATATTGAATCTTTCTCATCTATCTTATGGTTACATAGAGTGAATCTTTCTCAACATGTATACCAGAGCATATACATTCAAATATGTAATTGCATGTAGTATTTCTCATATGGTGGACAATTCCTTTTCCAGTAGCTATTTCTTATAAGGTACTACAGATTTTAAACTAAGTCATTATAGGATATAGTCTCTGTAAAACCACACTATTCCCTTCCTCCTTCCCCTTCCCCTTCCCCCTCTCCCACCCCCTCTCTCCCCCTTCCCCTCCCCATCTCCTTTCCCTTCTGTTCCCTCCTTATTTCCTTCCCTCTTTCCTTTACTCTATCCTTTCTTACTTTTCTGTCTTCTCTAAAGACTTCTTAACATACTTCATTTTTTAGAGCAATTTTAGATTCACAGCAACATTGAGAGGGAGATACAGATTTTCCATATGCCTTCTTCCCACACACATGCATAGCCTTCTCCATTATCAACATCCCTCACTGGAGTTGTACATTTGTATTTTTTAGTAGAGACTGGGTTTCCCCATGTTGGTCAGGCTGGTCTGGAACTCCCGACCTCAGGTGATCCGCCCACCTCAGCCTCCCAAAGTGGTGGAATTACAGGCGTGAGTCACTGCACCTGGCAGGAGTGGTACACTTGTTATAATTGATAAATCCACATTGACACATCAAAATCTCTCAAAGTCCATAGTATATGTCAAGGCTCACTTTTGGTGTTGAATATTCTATGGGTATGAAAAAATGTATAATGGCATGTATCCATTATTATAGTAACATACAGAGTATTTTCTCTCCCCTAAAATTCCATTATACTCAGCCTATCCATTGCCTTCCTCCACCAACCCCTGGCAACCACTGATTGTTTTCTCATCTCCACAGTTTTTGTCTTTTCCAAAATGTCACATAGTTGGAATCATACAATATGCAGCCTTTTTAGATTGTACTATTTCACTTAATGATATGTATTGTGGTTTGCTCACCACAATATGTCTGTTCTACATAGCCATGAAATAGGCACTTAAATAGTTCTTGGATGAATAAATAAACTTTGCCCATAGTCATGATTTTATGGCCAAAATGTTGTTTGTCTTCCTTGTGTGCTTTGAGCTGGGTTCCTAATTGTTGAAAAGTAGATGATTCACCTAATTACAGCAATGGCGATATGAGGTAACTTT